>NC_000014.9:65672319-65975349 GCF_000001405.40 Homo sapiens
ACAAGATGTTTCCTCAGCCTGAACTAACTACACATACTAGACCTGATTCTTCCACATAGATTGCTTGTGATAATTCAAAATGGGAATCTTGCCTTTATGTTTAATAGTTTGAAGTACCTTTCAACAATATTTATTTATTGTTTTTTGTTTTGTTTTTAGAGACAGAGTCTTGCTCTGACACCCAGGCTGGAGTGCGGGGGCATGATCCTAGCTCACTGCAGCCTCGAACTCCTGGGCTTAAGCAGTCCTCTCACTTCAGCCCCCACAGCACCTGGGACTACAGGCATGCTCCATCATGCCCAGCTAGTTATTTTATTTTTTATTAGAAATAGGGTCTCACTATATTGCCCAGGCTGATGTCAAACTCCTGGCCTCAAGCAGTCCTCCCACCTCAGCCTCCCAAAGTGCTGGGATTATAGGTGTGAGCCACTGTGCCTGGCCTCAACAATTTATAATTTGGTTTTTTAAAGGATATTGACTATTTTAGGCTATATATGATGACTAGCTTTCAAAATGCTTTTCTAGCTTATATAAACAATATTGAATAGATGATTTAGTGATAGAGAACTCCACTTAAATTCAGTTCCCCACTTCAATCTTTTTCCTTGTAAAAATTAAAAATTATTCACCTTAACAGTTAAACTACCTAGGCTGTTCTGTCTTTCCTTCTCTTGTCTTTTTCCCACTGTCTTAATAAATACATAAGTTAAACTGAATTCTTAATATGATAAATGTAATTGGAAAATTTTATTTGTAAATGAAAATAATGACTAGTAAAAAAATAATTTATAAATACGATAAAGTTTGATGCCCTGGAGGCGAGGTGCCTGGTTTAAATACATGTTTAGGTAGATGACCGTTTGGTATATCCACTTATCTAAACTGAACAGTTACCTTCTCTCCATGCCTCATTTCCAAAAGGTTTTAGTCAAAGAGTTTTATTTGACATCCTTAAGGTTTATGTGGAGGCAACCTTGAAATAAAAGTAATTCAATTAAAGTATTTGCTATTTGCTAGATACCTATGCTGTACTACATGAAGACAGACACAGTCTCTTTCGTGTAAAGGGCAGTCAAGGGGGAAAGATAGACAACTGAATAAGCAATTAAAATATGTTGTGCTAATGTGGTGGTATGGTTAAGACTACCCTGAAGCAAATATCTAATGCATATTTGGGGTTCTTTTGGAAGAAATGATTTTTAAGCTGAGACCTAAATTATGAGTAGGAGTCAACCAGGTAGGGACATGGTGGAAGAATTTTCTGTCAGTGGGCACAACATGTAAAAAGACAGGCAAGAGAACATGGAGTCACTGGGGGAACTAGTAGTAATTCATTGTAAAGCTTGAATACTGAGAGACTAGCTAATGTTTCCTTTTAAAAACAAGCATCACTTACAGGATTTCCATTTTGATGGTTGTGTATTCTTGTTCTTCACTAAAACTGACAGGTTTTAATTCGAGAGTCAAAGCTGTTTTTTTGATTTTGGTTTAGAGAGTAGACAGAGTTATAAGAAATTGATTTCAGATGACTTTTTTGTTATCTCATAACTATTAAACTGTTTATTCAAATATCTCACTCAGGTCAGAAGGAAAATCTTTAGCAAGTAGAACACAAATGAAATTATACTTTCAGTCTTTCCTTTGATACTAATATTTTAACCTTTACAAAACTACTAAGATGTCTGTTGGAATCATCTAAATATTCTAACCAAGTTGTATCCTTAATAAGGATTGACGTCAGGTAGACTAATTTATAAACTGATATTAAGCAATAATGTGATTAAGAATATATAGATATAATATACATATTAGGCTATAGATATGCATATGTTAAGTCTTTTTACAGTAGTATTTTCAGTCTTTGATAATTGTATTAATAGAAACTTAAAACAAGTACATTTACTATTTTTGATCCCTTATGCTGCAAAAAATCTTGATTTCTCTGTTTAGGGGATCTGAGGGAGAGGAAGGATATTAGACTGTGAGTCTGATCCAGTTCTGTTGTTTTTAGCTTTCTGAACTTTGTGAATTAACTTAGCTTCTGAACCTCAGTTTAGCTCTTTAAAAAACTCATGATACTCATTATCTACCTCCCTGTCCACCTGGAATATATTATTAGGTTATAACCTGCAACAACAGGAAAGTTATCCTTTTATTCTGAGATGAAAATCATGCCTTTATAAGAGCTTCATATGTAGTTTTCTGTCTAAGTTAAATGGAAAAGTTGAAAGAAATACAGAGAAGCAAGATAACTTCTGAGAATAACTTCTAGACATTCAGAATATCTCTATGCTTAATAAACCCACAATTTAATCAAAATAAAATTCTGGGCCACTCATAGAGTCTCTCCGCAGCTACCTGAAGCCTTCAGCAGTTTTAAGTATTTTTTCTATCTCAACATACCTAAGATAGAAGGTATACTCTTTCTTATGATAGTTATTCTGTGTAATTAGTGAAACTGGCTTTGTTGCAGCAAAGATCTGGTTGTGCAGGAGGCTATTTGGAGAGTGAGTTGGTACCACATATAGTTGAAAAGCTAGCTGTCTCCTCTCCAAGATTCTAGTAGGTTTCTCTGCCCTTTACCTGACTCCTTTTAGAATCATTAACCTAAACAAGTATCATTGCAGGTACATAAGGACTTTTGATTCAACTGCTATAAAACTTTTTTGTTTTACTACTTATGGGCCACAAAAGAAAGAAAGATCTTTGCTTCAGGAATTTAAAATTCCAGTTAGAATATACTTAATGTCTCAGAAGAAGTTAAGCTGCTTTTCACCATTACATCTTCTTTCATTTCCCACTTAAGGAGATAGAAGTCTATGGTATCTCATTAAAATCTAGTGGGATCATCAGGAAATACAGGAATAGGGAACTGAAGCTTTGTCCACATTGTAGCCTTGACCCTTGTGAGCCTACACTCTTACAATTACAGATATTTATTTTCGTGTTTATCCTGTAAGTGCTTCTCAGATTGAGTTGTGAGTAAACCTGGGGAAAGTGAATTAGAGATTTGCAACCTACCAGGATAAAACATGGTACATTTTCTTGGACTATTAATTTTATTTACTGGTAGGTAAGCTAAATCATTTTCAAATAATAAAACAAGATCTGTAATGGTATAAAATGAAAATTTGATCAAACTCCAGCCCATTGATTGAGGCCAGACTTCATATTCTCAGTAGCATGAATTTACCTTCCTCTGCTGTTAGGAGCATTTTGGTGGAAAATTTTAAGAAACACCATTCTATGAGTTTTTTAGCTGTTTATTTCACCTTGACAGAGACTCCATATGGGAGCAAAGCAGCAAGGTACTTCTAGGTTATTTACCTTCTAGGTTATTTACACAGTGCCAAGCGTTTGACCAGAGCACATTAGATGTAATAAGAGAGGCCGGGCGCGGTGGCTCACGCCTGTAATCCCAGTACTTTGGGAGGCCGAGGTGGGCGGATTACCAGAGGTCAGAAGTTCAAGACCAGACTGGCCAACATGGTGAAACCCCATTTCTACTAAAAATACAAAAAAAAAAAATCAGCCTGGCGTGGTGATGGGCACCTGTAATCCCAGCTACTCAGGAGGCTGAGAGGGAAGAATCACTTGAACCTGAGAGGCGGAGCTTGCAGTGAGCCGAGATCGCGCCACTGCACTCCAGCCTGAGCGAGAGAGCAAGACTCTGTTTCAAAAAAAATAAATAAACAAAAAATAAATGTAATAAACAAAACCTGTCTCCCCAGATCCCCATCCAAATTTCAAAACATTACCCTTCTAGCTATGTGAAGCACTTTTATTAAACTGTAGATTTTGTTTTGAAAAAATAGTCTATTACCAAGAATGAATCTTTTAAGCAATTTATTCTCCCCTTTTTAGAAAAGGTTCTGGCAGAATGAGTTCAGAGATAAAAGGACGTGTGACTTAGGAAAAAGCAATACGTATTTAGCATCCACCTCACTATGGAGTGTAAACTATTTCATTGGAAAAGTTTCTGAAAAATCTCCTAAAGTCTATTTAGGACCTATCCAAGGTTGTTAGAGCTAGAGATAGAATCCAGGTGTTCTTAATTTCCTGTGGGGTGTCTGGGCCACATAGCCTTGATAACTGTCTCAGAAATTATCAGTGTTTTTATAAATACTGATATACCTATTATGATAGATGTATTCCTTAAAGATTTGGCATAAATTATTACAAATTGAGTCGTGTTTGAAACATTCCAGCGGAGCTAGATTACAAAGTAAATAATCTTTTTTCTAATAGGAGCTAGTAGTCGGTCCCCTGAGTCACCCCCCACCCCTCCTTCCTTCTTCCTTCCCTCCTTCCCTTCCTTTCTTCCTTTTGTAAGTATTTGGGTTTTTCTGTTTTCCTCAGACATACTTATGTGAATCTTTGAGTCTCAGTCACAGTTGACCTTCAACTCAAACACCAAAGTATAGAAAAAGAAGATTGCAATCTTTCAGTAGCATTTTGATAACAGAGTCTTGTTTGCTTAAAACATGTGGATCACGTTAGAGTGATTCTACAAACAAGATAATTGTTGACATTTTGAAGAAAGTAAAGAATGCATCCTGTCCCTTTTGGTTAGTTTTATATGCCAGAGCTCTGAGTATGATGTGAATCTGTAATTTCTTTGTCTCCCTTCCCCAGGATTATATAAATTGTAGGCTAATTTCATGGAATAGGAAATAATAAAGTCCGTGATCTTTAGTGGAGTTATACATATTTTTTTCCCTCCAAAAGGTTGTTACTCAGTAAGAAAGTTCTATAGTGGTTTATACATCAGTTCCATTGGAAAGAAAGACATATTTGTGTGTGTGTGTGTGTGTGTGTGTGTGTGTGTGTGTGCGCGCGCGCATGCGCGCGCACGTATGTGTGTGCGCATGTGTGTTTTTAAGTAATAGACTTTATTACTCATGCATTTTTGTTGCCTTAGCAGAAGGTCAAAAGCAGATTACAGAATCATAAACCTTCTTAGATGATACTTTGGTATCAGGCTTCTTTCTTTTGTTTTGCTTCCCCAAATACAAAGATCAAAAATATTCTTAGCAGTTATTGAAAATAATTAGAGTTGAGTCTTCCACCTCTTCCTAAAGAGGTCCTCCTTTTGATTCAATTTAAGTTTAGTCTCCTATTATAAGTAGCCATTAAACTTAATGCAGGTTATATTCTCTGGAAGCAAGAAATTGCAACTAGTGATACTATAAGTCATACTGATTTTCCCAAAAGATATATTACAATTAGAGTTATCATTTTTGTTCAGATTTTGATATCCAACTTTACTTTTGAAAAAGTACAACTGCCAGCAAATACTGTATTAGGTATAAATAATGGGCACATTTATATTTATAATGTTTTTAATTATAAAGTTTCTTTAAAAAAAATGGATCAGTACCATAAACAGGGAAGTACACTAGTCATTCAGTAAAAATTTGAATGTTTCTAGATGCCATGGGAAATATAAAGATGACTCTTCAGGAACTTGTCATTGAGTATCATGAGACCCATACATCTGTAAATGTAAAAAAGGTAGTGTCATAAGAGAGGTATAAGGTCCTGTGGGCCACCAGAGAATAGAAAAACTGTTTCTGGCTAAAGCAATCAGAGACTTCACTAGATCCATGAGCTGGGCTCTTAGAGAATGAAGAACATCATTTACCAGGACAGATCAGTGTCATTGATTTGGAGTCAGAAGTTATTAGCTGTGTTACTTTGGGTAGTGTCCCTTAACCTCCCTGTTCTGTGTACCTTACAGAGTTGTTATGAGCATTCAGAGTGATAATATATTTGACAGTGGTTTATATATTCTAAATCACCATATGTTATTATTACCACTTTAGTTTTATGGGAACAAAGCAAAATAACAATAATAGCATGATTGGGTTATAGAGTTTCAGCAGGGCTTCTTTTAACTTTAACAGCCAACATTAATGAAACTCAGAGCTACTTGATGGCTTTTTGTGTAGCCATCCTCCCAAAGAGAGCCAGCTTTGGCTCCCTAGCTCCCCTAGCCCACATGAGGATCATTCTCCACTTCTGTTGGGTTTTATTTAGGTTGCCCTGTAAAAATCTCAGTGTCTAGGCTGACTAAACATCAAAAATATGCTCCTAATCAAGGAGCTGACCAGTTTCTCTTAGTTTCTGGGACAGGGTTGCCTTCTTAGCTAGAGCCATCGCTGACCCCAGTCAGAGAGCTCTCCTGACAAAACAGTCTTCAGATAGTCTTTTTAAGGTCTCCAAGTTGATAGGATGATGGCTGGGAGTAAAGGGGGGTACTAGGAATAAACCATTTTGTCTTGGAGCTCTAATATGTATATAATACTAAGAGAAGCAAAAATAGGCCCCTGTGAAGCCTCTACTCTGTGGGAGCTAACGCTTAGGAATCTGAACATACCCCAGGTAGGAATTTCCACGTAAATTTTACCTAAAAGTAGAAAGGGTTTTTTCATTTAAAAGTCTTTTTTTCTAAACACTGCAATGGAATTGTACAAATCCTAAGGATCTGAATATTAGAAATAAATACATAACAGTGAGGGCCTTTGACTGAGAAAACATCCCTTTGGTATCTCTCTATTGACTGGAAGGAGCTACATAATGCCAGACCAGCAGAGATTATGTAAGCAACCAAAAACGTAGTATTGAAGCACTGCAGCATGATCCTTTCCTCTCTAGGTTTTGGGTCTTGTATATTATATTTGAAGCTATTATTTAGTGCATCTAGGTTCTGGCTAGGAATGAACTGGAACATTTCAGTGGGATTTTAAGGCATGGTGAAAAAAGTAGTTGATGAAAGAGTAAATCACCGTGTTTTTCTTTCTTTGCTGCCACTGCCCATCTTGCTGTGTTCACTGAAATCAAGTGTAGGAGTTGGGGAGTAGGTTAAATACCTGCCTCTGCTGCTACATCTGGCAAATCTTGATCCATATAATTTAGAATTAATAATAGGACATTGGCAAAAATAGGCATTATACTGTATGTTCCTCTTTTCTAGATTAGATCCAGTACCAACCATGGGGCCACCCAAATTGAGACATTAGAATCTATACAGCAATCTTTCTGCATTCTTTGGAAATATAATACCTAGATTGAATTCAGAATATGTTATCTACATTTTAAAAGTTATATGGTGTCTCTATTTCAGAGGGAAGATTAATATTTTATGGCCTGTCATAAATGACCATCTTAGAGGCACCCATTTGTTTTATGTATGCATTAATAATGGAAATTGAGTTCATTCAACTATTGTAATTTTTGTACATCTGTATCATGATTTATATATTGCCTCATTGATGAGCATGTAAATTATTTCAAGTTTTTGCCATTATAAACAGTGACATAGTATCTTTATGCATATCTCTTTGTGCATATATATTAATTTTCCTAGGGCAGTGCTTACAAACTGTATCACATTATACTATATGTAAAAATTATTTTTACTGCCCATATTATCACCTGGGGGATGGTGGCAAAGCTACAGAGGTCTCTGACAGTGTGTCACATATAAAATCTTATGCTCTAAAAAAGGGCTTGACAAACTATGGTCCTCAGACCAAATTTAGCCCCCTACCTATTTTTGTAAATATGGTTTCATTAGAATATATTCATGCCCATTTGTTAGTGTGTTGTCTATGGCTGCTTTTACACTACAGTGACAGAGTTAAATGGTTCCAACAGAGGAACCATTGTATATGGCCCACTGTATTAGTCAGGGTTCTTCAGACAAACTGAACCAATAGGATATATAGTGAGATAGAGCCTGAAAGATGTATTATAAGGTCAGTACCTTATAATTAGCTCACACAGTTATCAAGTCTGAGAAGTTCCACGATCTGCCATCTGCAAGCTGGAGACCCAGGAAAGCCAGTAGTGTATTATAGTTGAAAGGCCAGACAGAGAGCTAGAGGGCTGATGGTGTAATGATTCCAGTTCAAGCCTGAAGGCCTGAGAACCAGGAGTGCCAGTGGCAGAAGACAGATGACCTAAAGATATTCTCTTATGTTTTCTTCCAGAAACTTTATAGTTTTAGCTTTTGCATTTATGTCTATGATCTCTCTAGTGTTAATTTTCATGTGTCACATAAGATAAGGGTTAAGACCATTGTTTTCCGTATTTTTATTCATTTGTTCTAGCCTTATCTGTTGAAAACTTTTCCCATTTGAATTGCCTTGGTCCCTTTTGTCTAAAATCAATCAGTAATATATGGATCTATTTCTGGTTTCTCCATCCTGTTCAGCTGCTCTATTTGTGTCTATCCTTACACTTTAAATTTTTATCAGCCATCAGATATTTCACAGCATGTTGATTAGAAAGCTGTACATATGCCTAGAAGTGGTATTGTTAGGTCATATGAAAGTATACGTTTCTTTAACTTGCCTACATATGCCTAATCCCTCTATGGAAAAATTATTTCAGTATCTCCTCTGCTCTCAGAATCCTTCTCTTTTTAATCTGTCTTCCACAGTGCCATCAGAATGATATTTTCGAAACCAAATATGACTTTCTCTCCTAAGGCCTTCCATGGCTGCTTAGTGTATAGAAACTCCTTGCTTAGAATATAGGATATAAGCTCCTTCACATAAACAGCCTGCTTTTCAAAATGTGCCCTGCACTCCATAATTCACTAGTCCACCTACAAATGTATTCCTTGAAAGTTTTGTGTACTTTTACTGATATACTGGGAACATGTAATTCTTCCTCTCTAGAGAATATCTTTCCTCCACTTCATCCCATGAAATCCTATTTATCTTTTAGTATCATTCCCTTTGTGATATTTCCCTCCAATTGTCCCCATGTTTTCACTGTATTTAAACAGTTCATGTTTCTTTGAGTATACTGTGAGTTCTTTAAGAAGCTTGTCCTATTTATTTTTGTTTCCTCATTGCCTAATACTACTGGCCAATACTTGTTACTCAGTTTTTTTAAATTAAATTGTCTATGATAAGCAGAATGGTCCTTGAAAAATTTTAATCTCCTTCTGAATCTATCAAATAAAGAAAATACCACCTTACCTATGTTATTCAAAGGTTTCTGGTGAAGAGCAAATGAAGTAATAGGCATGGAAATGTTTGAAGAATGTTTTAAAAATGTGATGGCCTTATTGTTGTTTATAACAAAATTTCACTAGAATTAATCCTCTTGGTTTCTTACAAGCTTTATTATGGTGGAACTTTGCCTTCATATATTTGCATTGGTTAAAATTATCCTAATATTAAAAGACTTTAAAGATTTTTATTTCTAATGTTTCCAGTAAAACTGAAAATAACTTAGTTAAAAAATATTTTTGCATTTAAAACTATAGAAAATAAGGCATTTTCTTTATAAAATCTCAGTTGTATGTGTGTATGTGAGTGTCTTTTTGGATATCTTTGATTCAGTGAATATACTGAGTACTGCTCAGTTCAGGCACTATGATCGTGATCACATTACAGTAATAGCTAATATTTAGTGAACCATACTACGTTACTGTGCTAAGAACATCACATATAATCTAATTTAATATTCACAATAACCCTTATTATCCACATTTTATATAGGTAAGTAACTTGCCAGAGGTAGTACAGCCGCTGATACAGAAACCCAGTCTGACTTCAAAACCTGACCTTTAAATATTGTGCTCAGGGATCAGCAAACTATAACACCCACAGCCTGGTTTTGTAAGGCCTGCCATATTTTCAACAGGTTGTTTTAAAAAAAAGATGTGACAGAGACATATGTGGCCTGCAAAGCATAAAATATTTACTATCTGGCCCTTTACAGAAAGTGTTTGCCAGCCTAAAGATGGTTAAAGAGAGTCCCTGTAACTCTGGAAGCTCCCAATCCAAATAGGAAATAAACACAAACATTTTAAAAGTCTGCCTCAAGAGGCAAAATGTGGTTAGTGATGTTATTATAAAGATTTAAACAAGAATCCCAAGGGGGCCAGGTGTGGTGGCTCACGCTTATAATCCCAACACTTTGGGAGGTTGATGCAGGAGGATCGCTTCAGACTGGGAGTTTGAGACCAGCTCATCAACATAGTGAGACCTGGTCTCTTAAAAATAAAATTTTTTTTAAATTAGCTGGGCATGGTGGCACATGCCTGTAGTCCCAGCTACTTGGGAAGCTGAGGTAGGATTGCATGAGCCCAGGAGTCCAAAGCTACAGTGAACTAGGATCATGCCATTGCACTCCAGCCTGGGCAACAGAGCAAGACCATGTCTCAGAAAAAAAAAAAGGAACCCCAAGGGATTGGAGGTTGTAGTCATTCCAGCCAGAAAACTTAGAAGAAATGGCATTTGAACTGGTTTTGAAAAAGTTGTAAAGTGACCAGACATCTTAGGTATAGAAATCTGCACACCCGGAGTACTTGGCAGGTGATGATAAAAATACTTGCCCATGACATGCCAAGATACCAGAACTCCTGGGCATTATTTTTCCTTCTACCTCTTATTTGCTGAATTATGTAGAAGAGTGCATCAAAACATCTGCTTCTTAGTTTAGCCTTTAGTCAGTTGTGAATAAAAAATTGGTTCTGATAGTTATCTTGTATTTTTCAAGTGAATCAAAAACAAATCTGATAGAGGGTGCTTCAGTGCAAGTTATTTTTTAAGCTGTAAAAATGTGAAAATGGTAGTGCTTTAGTTAAATAAACCTTGCATTTTGTATTCAGTCTTAGCTGTCATTGGATTGGCAAAACTGAAAACCAATGTTTACATTCACAGTAATTGCAATTTTTTTTTTTTTTTTTGATACGGAGTTTTACTCTTGTCACCTAGGCTGGAGTGCAGTGGCACCATCTCGGCTCACTGCAACCTCCACCTCCCAGGTTCAAGCGATTCTCCTGCCTCAGCCTCTTGAGTAGCTGGAATTACAGGCGCCCACCATCATGCCTGGCTAATTTTTTGTATTTTTAATATAGATGGGGTTTCACTATGTTGGCCAGGCTGGTCTCGAACTCCTGACCTCGTGATCCGCCCGCCTGGGCCTCCTAAAGTGCTGGGATTACAGGCGTGAGCCACCACTCCTGGCCAGGTTTCTTATTTTTAGGAATTCAGCATGTAATTTTATAATGCATTTGCATTAATTTGGGAGAAAAAATGAAACCATGCTTTTGAAGAATATTGGCAAAAGTTGTCAAGTTAAGATAGAATTGCTTGTTAGGAAACTTTTTAATTGAATTGAGGAAATGACACAAGATTGGCATTGTTATTACTCAACCCTTGATTGTAAACAGTGCCAAAAATATAATAACACTGCCATGAAAGATTTATATTTTGTAAATAAAGCACACAGAAAAATATTAAACTACATTGGGAGATGCATTTTCTGCCAACATAATTAAGAATATTACAGTTAAATAATCAAATATTTGGATATTGAGGAATTTTATTCTCAAAGAGAAAAAAGGATACTTTATGTGGATTGAAAAATATTCCAGACACCAAAAATAAAAGCAGAGGAGGCATAAAGATTCCCTGATTTTACAGTTTGTGTAGAATAGCATCCATTGTATGAATAATGAATATTATGTCTATATTCATGACATTTTTTTAAAATCTGATAATAGCTTCAAGCTGTTTCTTTTTCTGAATATCATTAATATTAATATATAATCATTAAACTAATTAATGTGTATGTGGGCAAATCACTGTTCCCTATTCTATTGTGGATATATAATTGAAATTAAATGTTTCTCATTTGAATAAGTGAAATCTCTTCTTTGAACATTTTTCTTAGCCTGAAAAGAATATATATTAATGATAAGTAGCAACTTTGGTTTCTTTGTTATACGTTGGTGCAGATATTTTGGTTGGCATTGATTTTATATTAAAAATATATATATATTTTATCGCATTTTCAGTTTGATAAAAAGACTTCTACTATAATAACTATAATATACCCTTAAATATTTATCAGTACATATTCCTCTGTATTTTAGTAGTGGAATTATCTATGTAATTGAGTGAAAACAGGAGTAACCACAGATGCATAAAAAAACACATCTGTAAATTATTGCATTTGCCATCTTTTATTAAAGACTGCCTTGCAATTCTGTTTCACGGAAATGAATTACCAGTAGGTCTTTAGAGTATGCTAAGATGACGAAAAGGGAAGAAGGAATTCTTCTCAAAAGATTTGAATGTAGTCTTTGAGTTGTAGCTAAAGAATAGTCTGAACCCTCTATCTACTCATGTCATTCTTTAAAAATAGTGGAAAGAAATGGTTCCAAAAGCTATATTTTGAAGCTATTATCTGTTGTCAAGGGCAAACTAGCATTTTAAAGCTATTGCTTTGATATGGTTTAGCTTTGTGTCCCCACCCAAACCTCATCTTGAATTATAACCCCGAGGTGTTAAGGGAAGAACCTGATGGAAGGTGATTGAATCATGGGGGCAGTTTCCCCCATGCTGTTCTTGGTGAGTTCTCACACACTTCGTAAGCATCTGGCATTTCCCCTGCTCTCACTTCTCTCACCTGCCACCATGTAAGACTTGCCTGTTTTGCCTTCCACCATGATTGTAAGTTTCCTGAGGCCTCCCCAGCCATGTGAAACTGTGAGTCAATTAAACCTCTTTTCTTTATAAATTACCTAGTCTCGGGTATGTCTTCATAGCAGCGTGAAAATGGACTAATACATGCATTTTGGTAAAACAGTATGTTATTATCCAGTTTCATGTTTAATTAGTTTAATTTAAATTAATCAAATGCCATTTTGTATTAGGGGCCACAGGTAAGAGAAACTCACAGAAAAGGATTGTTGAATTTGTGGATTTTTAAAGGCCATTGCTGTCTCCTTTCCTGCCTCCTCTCTATATTTAGGCTAGTGACTACCAGAAAGAAATAGGAAGATAAAAGCTCACACTTAAAACAAACAAACAAACGAACAAACTTATTTTACAGTCTTTTATCAATGGAGTATGAGACAGCATATTTTTGCAAAGTACCGCTCCATTTCCTAATTCAAAAAGGAGATTTGGACACAGTTTTCCCTGGCAGCACTGAAATAAGAATTTGCTTTCTCTCAGTGGCCGTATAAAACAGTGAGAATAATGCAGTCAACTCTCTAAATTAATTTAAAGAAATATAATTGTAGATAGTTTGAAATGGTAAATATTCAAAAAATTAATTTTCCTTCACTTTGGACAGTTGTATGCCATGCTATTGTAGGTTAACCCTATTACCAGAAAGGGGGTCCCAATCCAGACCCCAAGAGAGGGTTCTTGGATCTCACACGAGAATTTGGGGCAAGTCCATAGAGTAAAGTGAAAGCAAGTTTATTAGTAAAGTAAAGGAATAAAGAATGGCTACTCCATACGCAGAGCAGCCCTGAGGGCTGCTGGTTGCCCATTTTTATGATTATTTCTTGTTACATGCTAAACAGAAGGTAAATTATTCATGAATTTTCTGGGAAAGGGGTGGGCAATTCACGGAACTGAGGGTTCCTTCCCATTTTAGACCATATAGGGTAACTTCATGATGTTGCCATGGCATTTGTAAACTGTCAGTGATGCTGGTGGTAGTGCCTCTTAGCATGCTAATGTATTATAATTAGCATATAATGAGCAGTGAGGATGACCAGAGGTCACTTTCCTCACCATCTTGGTTTTGATGGGTTTTGGCTGGCTTCTTTATGCAAGTTGTTTTATCAGCAAGACCTGTATCTTGTGCTGACCTTCTGTCTTATACTGTGATTTAGAATACCTGACCTCCTGGGAATGCAGCCCAGTAGGTCTTAGCCTCATTTTACCCAGCCCCTATTCAAGTTGGAGTTGCTCTGGTTCAGATGCCTCTGACAACTCCAGAGTAGAGAAGTGGTGAACAGAGGCCACAGAAATGATGAGCAGTCTACCTACCATGTGGAGAAGACACCTCAGAAATGGAGAGATTTTATATTTTTGTTGCATGATGGTAAACAGCTGTAACCACCAGCTTGGCCTTTTTGGCAGCTGGCTTTATTTAGCATTTTAAGCTTTAAGTTTGCCTCTGGTGCCTGGAATTGTTCAATTAAAATTTTAAATTTATTCTTATCATCCTCTAACACAAAGCTTACTTATACAATACCAAATCTAGCCTGAGACACTTGTTCTTGAATCGATTCTTTTTTAAATAATAAGTTCAGTATGAAATAAATCTCTGCTGAAATGAAAGAAAGCACCCATTATCATGGAACTGTGGTTCCTGAAAGCTACTTAGGTAGGTTAATAGTTGAGGCCTATTAATGGATATGCCATATTATTACATTAAAGCCATTCTCAATGAAGGATTAAAGTTGTTAGTTTTAAGAGTTGTTTTTGTTTTGTTAAGAACAGTTTGTACAATGATTGATTTTTGTCAAAGAATTGAAAATGCCATCTAATACAGGTAGGGAGAGGAGGTTGATTGTCAGTTTGATTTAAGTCTTAAAAGTTCATCAATTAGCAAAGAACAAGAAACTGTTTTTTTAAGAGGGCAAATTTTATGTATCTGTTTACCATGAAAGAGAACTTAAGAGAAGCTGTATTTCCACTTTTATCAAATTAGAACCTTTATGTCAATATTAACCAGAAAATCCTTAGTTACAAACTTGAAAACATCTATACTTAAGGACAGTTGTTCTGTTCATTCAAACAGAACAAGTTTCTTCCCAGGTTGAGAAGTCTTAGGTAACCTGTGACTCATGCTTTAATTTTAAACTACTTCTTCATATGGCCTTTCAGTTGAACTAAAAAGGCCTTAGATTTAGTAGAATGGACTCTTTGTGTTTCTAATTTGTGATAAGTTTGGCCTTTGTTAGTTGGTTAGAGGTTTCCTTGAATCATTCCAGGACTAGCCCTCTCTTTAGTCAAAGAGAAAACCTTTTCCCATCCTTAATAATTTTACCAGTTACTAGGTAAATCATTCCAGGACTAGCCCTCTCTTTAGTCAAAGAGAAAACCTTTTCCCATCCTTAATAATTTTACCAGTTACTAGGATATCATCCTTTTTTACTTTTAATCTTTAAAGAGTTTTTCTCAGTTATTCTTTCCAGAAAATCACATGGTGAGGTATCATTATTTTTAATTAACATAGAACTGAAGAAAAAAAGAGAGATTGTGTTAATTGGACAGTAGTGTTAGGGATCAGAATTTTCTGGATTTAATTACATTTGTATCATATTGTCATTTTGGTGATGCCAAATCTGTTTATTTAGCATAATTTCCTTTAAATAAAACTTTTAAGTTTAAAGCAATGAACACCTATTGCTGAAAAACCCAGAAAGTACAGAAAATCCAAAAATAAAAATACCACTTAAATATATATGTGCATATCTATATGTATTCTTTTTGGTCGGTTTTGAATGAATATATTTTTAAATATTAGAGTTTATTTCTTAGAGCAGTTTTAAGCTTATAGAAAAATTGAACAGAAAATAAGAGTTCCCCTATATACCCCCCACTCCCCCTACCCCCTGCACCAAGTGCCAGCCATGACTTATTCTCCCCAACCTTTTTAAGAGAGTCCCACTCTGTTGACCAAACTGGAGTGCAGTGGTGCGATCATAGCTCACTGCAGCCTTGAACTCTTGGGCTCAAGCAGTCCTCCCACCTCAACCACCGAGTAGCTGGGACTATAGGTGTGCTACCATGCCTTGCTAAGTTTTAAATTTTTTGTAGAGACAGGTCTTGCTATGTTGCCCGGGCTGGTCATGAACTCCTGGCTTGAAGCAGTTCTTTTGCCTGGGTTTCCCAGTGCACTGGGATTACAGGCATGAGCCACCATGCCTAACCCTCTATTATTAATATTTGTATTGGCATGGTATATTTGTCATAATCAGTGAAGTGATATTGATATATTATTAACTGAAATCCATAGTTCACATTAGGGTTCACTTTGTGCTGTACAATTCTCTTGCTTTTGCCAAATGCATAATGTCATTTATTCACTGTAGCATAATCATACAGAAGTTTCACTGTCCTAAAAATCTCATGCTCCACTTATTTATCCCTCCCCACCTGCCTTGCCCCTTAACCCCTGGCAAACTAATCTTTTAAATCTCCACAATTTTGCTTTTTCCAGATGTCATATAGTTGGAATCATACATTATGTGTTTTTTTTCTGACTGGCTTTTGTTTTTTTTAAGGTTCCTACATGTCTTTTTTGTAACTTTACAGCTCATTTCTTTTTATTGCTGAATTGTACTGTATTATATGGATGCATCACAGTTTATTTATCCATTTAACAACAGTTAGTTGGTGCTGGAACTGGACATCCACATGCCAAAAAAAAAAAAAAAAAAAAAAAAAGGCAGGGGAGTTGGGATTAGACACTGACCTTATACCTTTCACAAAAATGAACTCAATATGGATCATAGATGACATCTTGATTGCTTCCAATTTTTTGGCAATTTTGAATAAATCTAATGTAAATATTTGTGTGCAGGTGTGTGAGTGGGCATACATTTTCAACTCACTTGGGTAAGCTGTAGCAGTGAGATTGCTGGATCATATGGCAAAACTATGTTTAGCTTTGTAAGAAACTGCCAAATTATCTTCCAAAACGGCTGTCTATCTAGGCTGTTATAACAAAATATAAACTGGGTAGTTTAAACAACATACAGTTTTGGTGAGGGCCTTCTTCCTGGTGTTTACCTTCGCATCGTGGAGAGAGAAAATTCTGTGTCTCTTCCTCTTCTTCTGAGACCACCAATTCCATCATGGGAACTCTACCTTCATTATCTCATGTAACTTAATTACCTCCCAAAGGCCCCATCTCCTCATACCATCACACTGGAAGTTAGGACTTCAACATATGAATTTGAGGGGAGAGGAGGGACTCAAACATTCAGTCCATAACAGTGATTATACCATTTGGCATTTGCAGCAGCAATGAATGAGAGTTCCTATTTCTTCACATCTTCCCCAGCATTTGGTGTTGTCACTATTTCAGATTTTAGCCATTCTAATAGATATGTGGTAGTATTCTGTTTTAATTTGCAATTCACTAGTGCCATACAGTGTTGAGAATCATTTCATATGCTTGTTTGTCATCTGTACATCTTCTTTGGTGAGATGTCTGCTCAGGTCTTTTGCCCATTTTATAATTGGGTTGTTAGCTTTCTTACTATTAAGTTTTAAGGGTTCTTTTTATATTTTGGAAAGAGTTCTTATATATTTTGGTTATAAGAGTTCTATTTATATATAAAGTTGAGTTGAGTTGGATATAAGTTCTTTCATCTGTGGGTTTTCATTTCATTCTCTTAACTATGTCTCATAGAGCAGAGGTTTTTTGTTTGTTTGTTTGTTTTTTTGTTTTTTGTTACAGAGTCTCGCTCTGTCGCCCAGGCTGGAGTGCAGTGGTGCAATCTCAGCTCACTGCAACCTCTGCCTCCCGGGTTCAAGCAATTCTTCTGCCTCAGCCTCCCAAGTAGCTGGGACTACAGCCACATGCCACCGTGCCTGGCTAATTGTTGTATTTTTAGTAGAAATGGGGTTTCACCATATTGGCCAGACTGGTCTTGAACTCCTGACCTCGTGATCCGCCCACCTCGGCCTCCCGAAGTGCTAGGATTACAGGCATGAGCCACAGCACCCAGCCGAGCAGAGGTTTTCAACTTCACTGAAGTTTAACTTCTCAATTGTTTTATTTTATGGATTGTGCTTTTGGTGTTATATCTGAAAACTCATTGCCAAATCCACAGTCACCTAAATAATCTCCTGTGTTATCCTCTAGAAGTGTTACAGTTTTGCATTTTACATTTAGGTCTGTGATCCATGTTGAGTTCATTTTTATGAAAGGTATAAGGTCAATGTCTAGATTCTATACCCTGTTTTTGTTTGTTTGTTTGTTGTTTTTGCAAGTAGATGTCTAATTTTTCCAGCACCATTTGTTGAAATACTATCTTTTCTCCATTGGATTGCCTTTGCTCCATTTTCAGAGATCAGTTGACCATCTCTATGTGGGTCTTTTTCTGGGATCTTCTGTTCCATTCATCTATTTGTCTGTTTTCCAATATCACACTGTCTTGATTACTTTATATATAAAGTAATCTTCAAAAAAGTCTTTGAAGTCAGGTAGATCAGTCCTCTTACTTTGTTATTCTTCAATGTTATATTAACTCTTTTGGGTGTTCTGCCTTTCTGTATAAACTTTAGAATTAGCTTATTGATAGCCATAAAGTAACTTGTCAGGATTTCAATTGTGATTGTGATGAATTTATATATAAAGTTGAGAAAAATTGACATTGACAATATTGAGTCTTCTATCCATGAACCTGGAATAGCTCTTTATTTATTTAGATTTTCTTTGGTTTCTTTCTTCAGTTTTATAATTTTTGTCATATAGAGCTCATAATGTATTTTATTAGACTTTAACTTCTGTCATCCCTTTATCTCTCTCTCTCTCTCTCTCATTCTTGTGCTAATGTAAATGGTGGTGTGTGTTTTAAATTTCATTGCCCATTGGTGGTATATAGGAAAACATTTGACTTTTTTTTTTTTTTTGAAACAAGAGTCTCGCTCTGTCACCCAGGCTGGAGTGTAGTGGCGTGATCTTGGCTCACTGCAACCTCTGCCTCCCGGGTGCAAGCTGATAATCCTGCCTCAGCCTTCCGAGTAGCTGGGATTACAGGCGTGTGCCACCACACCGGGCTGATTTTCGTACTTTTAGTAGAGATGGGGTTTCACCATGTTGGCCAGGCTGGTCTCAAACTCCTGACCTCAGGTGATCTACCTGCCTCGGCCTCCCAAAGTGCTGGGATTACAGGCGTGAGCCACCACGCCCAGCCACATTTGACTTTTGTATATCAACCTTGTATCCTACAACCTTGATATAGTTACTTATTAGTTCCAGCAGGGGTTTTTTGCTGGTTTTTTTGGGGGGTGGAGGGGCAGGGGCAAGTTGCCAACTCTTGGGATTTCCTACATAAATGACCATGTCATCTGTGAACAAAGATAGTTTTATGTCTTCCTTCCCAATCTGTATACCTTTTCTTTCTTTCTTTTGTCTTATTCCATTGACTTCTGCTACTGACTGATTCCTTTTATTTTTAGTGTTACGTAGGAATGGTGAGAGGGGCCATCCTTGTGTTGTTCCCAACTTAGGAAGAAGGTATCAAGTTTCTCACCATTATGCAGTTTGCTAGCTGTAGGCTGTTTGTAGATGTTCTTTCTTGCTGAGAGTTTTTAATCATGAATAGGTGTTGGATTTGGTGGACTACTTTTCTTGCATCTATTGATATTATTAAATTATTTATCTCCTTTAGCCTGTTGATTTGATGGACTATCTTGATTGATTTTTCGATGATGAACTAGCACTGGATGTCTGAAATAAATTCCAATTGGTCATAGTGTATAATTCTTTATTTATTTATTTATTTATTTATTGATCATTCTTGGGTGTTTCTCGCAGAGGGGGATTTGGCAGGGTCATAGGACAATAGTGGAGGGAAGGTCAACAGATAAACAAGTGAACAAAGGTCTCTGGTTTTCCTAGGCAGAGGACCCTGCGGCCTTCTGCAGTGTTTGTGTCCCTGGGTACTTGAGATTAGGGAGTGGTGATGACTCTTAACGAGCATGCTGCCTTCAAGCATCTGTTTAACAAAGCACATCTTGCACCGCCCTTAATCCATTTAACCCTGAGTAGACACAGCTCATGTTTCAGAGAGCACTGGGTTGGGGGTAAGGTCATAGATCAACAGGATCCCAAGGCAGAAGAATTTTTCTTAGTACAGAACAAAATGAAAAGTCTCCCATGTCTACTTCTTTCTACACAGACACGGCAACCATCCGATTTCTCAATCTTTTCCCCACCTTTCCCCCCTTTCTATTCCACAAAACCGCCATTGTCATCATGGCCCGTTCTCAATGAGCTGTTGGGTACACCTCCCAGACCGGGTGGTGGCCGGGCAGAGGGGCTCCTCACTTCCCAGTAGGGGTGGCCGGGCAGAGGTTCCCCTCACCTCCCGGACGGGGCGGCTGGCCAGGCGGGGGGCTGACCCCCCCACCTCCCTCCCAGATGGGGCGGCTGGCCGGGCAGAGGGGCTCCTCACTTCCCAGTAGGGGCGGCCAGGCAGAGGCGCCCCTCACCTCCCAGACGGGGCGGCTGGCCGGGCGGGGGGCTGACCCCCCCACCTCCCTCCCGGACGGGGCGGCTGGCCGGGCGGGGGGCTGACCCCCCCACCTCCCTCCCGGACGGGGCGGCTGGCCGGGCGGGGGGCTGACCCCCCCACCTCCCTCCCAGACGGGGCGGCTGGCCGGGCGGGGGGCTGACCCCCCCCCCACCTCCCTCCCGGACGGGGCGGCTGGCCGGGAGGGGGGCTGACCCCCCGCACCTCCCTCCCGGACGGGGCGGCTGGCTGGGCGGGGGGCTGACCCCCACCCCCCTCCCAGACGGGGTGGCTGCCGGGCGGAGACGCTCCTCACTTCCCAGATGGGGTGGCTGCCAGGCGGAGGGGCTCCTCACTTCTCAGACGGGGCGGCTGCCGGGCGGAGGGGCTCCTCACTTCTCAGACGGGGTGGTTGCCGGGCAGAGGGTCTCCTCACTTCTCAGAGGGGGCGGCCGGGCAGAGACGCTCCTCACCTCCCAGACGGGGTCACGGCCGGGCAGAGGCGCTCCTCACATCCCAGACGGGGTGGCGGGGCAGAGGCGCTCCCCACATCTCAGACGATGGGCGGCCGGGCAGAGACGCTCCTCACTTCCTAGATGGGATGGTGGCCGGGAAGAGGCGCTCCTCGCTTCCTAGATGGGATGGCGGCCGGGCAGAGATGCTCCTCACTTTCCAGACTGGGCAGCCAGGCAGAGGGGCTCCTCACATCCCAGACAATGGGCAGCCAGGCAGAGACGCTCCTCACTTCCCAGACGGGGTGGCGGCCAGGCAGAGGCTGCAATCTCGGCACTTTGGGAGGCCAAGGCAGGCGGCTGGGAGGTGGAGGTTGTAGCGAGCCGAGATCACGCCACTGCACTCCAGCCTGGGCACCATTGAGCACTGAGTGAACGAGACTCCGTCTGCAATCCAGGCACCTCGGGAGGCCGAGGCTGGCGGATCACTCGCGGTTAGGAGCTGGAGACCAGCCCAGCCAACACAGCGAAACCCCGTCTCCACCAAAAAAATACGAAAACCAGTCAGGCGTGGCGGCGCGCGCCTGCAATCGCAGGCACTCGGCAGGCTGAGGCAGGAGAATCAGGCAGGGAGGTTGCAGTGAGCCGAGACGGCGAGATGGCAGCAGTACAGTCCAGCTTCAGCTCGGCATCACAGGGAGACCGTGGAAAGAGAGGGAGAGGGAGACCGTGGGGAGAGGGAGAGAGGGAGGGGGAGAGGGAGAATAATTCTTTTTATACATTGTTAGGTTTGATTTGCTAATATTTTGTTGAGGATTTTGCATCTACATTAATGAGAGCTATTAGTCTGTTTTCTTTCTCATGATGTCTTTATGTGGTTTTGGTATTAGTGTAATATTAGCCTCATAGAATGATTTAGGAAGGATTCCTTCTGTTTCTATTTTCTGGAAGAAATTATACAGAATTGGCATCATTTGTTCCTTAAATGTTTAGTAGAATTCACCAGTGAAACTATCTGAGTGTGGTGCTTTCTCTTTTGGAAAATTATTGTTTATTCTATTTCTTTGATCAATATAGAGACCTATTCAGATTACCAAATTCTCCTTGTGTGAATTTTGGTAGATTGGATCTTTCAAAGAATTGGTTCAATTCATGTTAGCTATCAAATTTGTGGGTACAGTGTTATCCATAATATTCCTTTATTATCGTTTTAACGTCCACGTGATTAGTTGTTGTGGCCTGTCTTTTATTTCTAATATTAGTAATTTGGGTCTTCTCCCCTTCTTTCTCAGTTAGCCTCACTAGAGGTTTCTTCATTTTACTGATATTTTCAAAGAACTAGCTTTTCAGTTTGTTAATTTTCTCTGTTGTTTTTCTATTTTCAGTTTCATTGATTTCTTCTGCTTACTTTGGATTTAATTTGTGCTTTTTTCTAGTTTGCTAATATGGAAGCTTAGATAATTGGGTTTAGCTTTTTCTTCCTTTTCATTATGTGTATTCAGTGCTGCGAATATACATTTAAGTACCACTTTTGCAGCGTTCCACAAATTTTAATGTTTTATTTTCATTTAGTTTAAAATATTTTTTATTTCTTGACATTTCTTTGATTCTTGTGTTATAAATAACACAAAGTGCTTCAGCTATCTTTTTGTTAATGATTTCTAGTTCCATTGTGGTTTGAGAGCATACTTTGTATGATATCTGTTCTTTTAAATTTATATTTGACCCAGCCATCCCATTACTGGGTATATACCCAAAGGACTATAAATCATGCTGCTATAAAGACACATACACTTGTATGTTTATTGTGGCACTATTCACAATAGCAAAGACTTGGAATCAACCCAGATGTCCAACAATGATAGACTGGATTAAGAAAATGTGGCACATATACACCATGGAATACTATGCAGCCATAAAAAATGATGAGTTCATGTCCTTTGTAGGGACATGGATGAAATTGGAAATCATCATTCTCAGTAAACTATCGCAAGAACAAAAAACCAAACACCGCATATTCTCACTTATAGGTGGGAATTGAACAATGAGAACACATGGACACAGGAAGGGGAACATCACACTCTGGGGACTGTTGTGGGGTGGGGGGAGGGGGGAGGGATAGCTTTAGGAGATATACCTAATGCTAAGTGACAAGTTAATGGGTGCAGCACACCAGCATGTCACATGTATACATATGTAACTAACCTGCACATTGTGCACATGTACCCTAAAACTTAGAGTATAATAAATAAATAAATAATTTGTTAAGGTGTGTTTTGTAGGCCAGAATATTGTTTAGCTTGGTGAAATGTTCCCTGTGAACTCGAGAAGAATGTGCATTCTACTGTGGCTAGATGAAGTATTCTATAAATCAATTAGATTGATGGTGCTGCTCAGTTCAACTGTGTCTTTACCAATATTCTCCCTGCTGGTTATGTCAATTACTGATAGACAGGTATTGAAGTCTCCAAGTATAATAGTGAATTTGTATATTCTCATTGCAATTCTGTAAGTTTTTACCTTATGTATTTTGACAGTCAGTTGTTAGGTGCATTATACATATTAGGTATAATTGTGTCTTCTTGGATAATTAAACCTCTGTCATTATATAATGCTGTCTATTGCTGATAATTTTTTTGTTTTTTGTTCATTTTTTTAAAAACTTTTTTATTCAATATTAGAGCTCAGGTAAGATATTGCTGATAATTTTTCTTGCTCTGAAATCTACTTTATTTGAAATTGGTAGAGCTACTCTAGCTTTCTTTTGATTTGTGTTAGCATGGTGTATTTTTCTCCAACCTTTTACTTTTAACCTATGTGTATATCTTCACATTTAAAGTGGATTTTTGTACCTAACATATAGTTGGTCTTCTTTTTTTTTTAAATCCACTTGGACAGTCTCTGCCTCTTAACTGGTGTATTTTGGGCTATTTACATTTAAAGCAGTTATTGATATAGTTGGGTTGTTTCTATAATTGTGGCTGTTTTCTATTTGTTGCCCTATTTTTGTGTCCTTTTTTATCTTCCTCTAGTTTTCTGCCTTCTCTGGTTTTAATGGGTCATTTTATAATGATTCCATTTTTTATTATGTCTTAGCATATCAGTTATAACTTCTTCTAGTGGTTGCCCCAGAGCTTGCAATATATATTTACCACAAATCCAAATCCACTTTCAAATAACTTTATATATCCCTTCATGGGATATATAATGCCAAGACCTTATAACAGAGTATTCCTAATTTCTCTCTCCCATCCCGTAAAGCATTACTATCATTCGTGTTAGTTATCCATAAGCTATGATCACCAAATACATTGTTGCTAGTATTATTTTGAATACACTGTAGGTAAATTAAGAACTTAAAAAAGATTTCATTTATACCTCTCTAACACTCTTCTTTATACATATTTGAGTTTATGATCTATATAATTTTCCTTCTCTCTGAAGCTAGCAACAAATTTCCTGTTTTGTTTATCTGAGAAATTCTTAATTATCCTTCAAAAGTGAAGGAGAAATACTGCAGAATGCAGAATTCTAAATGGGTGGTTTTATTCTTTCAAAGGAATTCAAACATCTTTATTCTATTCCACTCTCTTCTTGCTTGCATGATTCCTGAAGAGAAGGCACATGTAAATATTGTTCCTCTCTAGATAAGGTTCCTCCAGCCCAGCGTTTTTCAAAATTTTTTTCTGACTTTTTGCAGTTTGAATATGTTATTCTTAGGTGTAGTTTTATTTCTTTGGGGTTTTTTGTTGTTGTTTGTTTGTTTTTTGTATGGATACTTGATGTTCTCTAGGTTTTATAGATTTGTGGTTTTGTGTCTCTCATTAATTTTGGAAAATTCTCAGGCATTATTATTTCAGTAATTTTTTCTTTTTCTTTCTTCTCCTCTGGTACTCCCATTACATGTATGTCCACCTTTTGTAAATTGTCCCACAGTTCTTGGATATTCTGTTCCATTCTTTTAATTCAGTTTTGTAAGTTTATGTTCACATATCTTTAAGCTGATTCTTTCCTTGGTCATATCCAACCTACTACTGAGGCCATTAAAGGCATTCTTCATTTCTGTTATGGTGTTTTTTTATTTTTAGCATTTAAAAAAAATTTTTTTTCCTTGGAGTTTCCATCTCTCTGCCTGCATTACTCATCTATTCTTGCATGTTGTCCATTTGTTTATTATTAGGTTTTTAGCCTATTATTCATAGTTAAATTCCCAGTCTGTTACTTGCAAACTCTCTGTAATATCGGAGTCTGGTTCTGAGGGTTTGTATCTTCAGACTATATTTTTTGCCTTTTAGCATGCCTTGTAATGTTTTTATTGAAAGCCAAATGTGAGGTATTGGATAAAAAGGAACTGAAGTAGATAGGCTGTTAGTATGAGGTTTTGTGTTTATCTGGCTAGGAGTTGGGGTGTGCTTACTGTAGCCATAGCTATGGTATCAGATGCTAAAATTTCTTCTAGTGTCCTTGTTTTTGTCTCCCTTGTCTTTAGGCCTTTTAGAGACTCCTGAAATAGGCAGTTCTTTTAGCTGCAATTTCTCCTTATTGTTCATCAGTCTTATTGATGTGATGGTATGGTTTGTGGGGAGGAGGAAGTGTTCCGTAGTAATATCATTAGGTCTCAGTCTTTTAGTAAACCTGAATTGGGTATTTCTCTTCCCCCTGGTGGGTTAGGCTTTGATAAAACTCCAGTAGATTAAGCTCTGGTAAACTAGTTTTCCTTTAGGCCATGCGTTGTTAAGGATCTGTTGAGTATGAATTGAGCTAAAACGTGAAAATTCTCTGGAACTGAAGAAAAGTACAATTATGTTTTATTATAATGATAGTAATCATCACAAACAGCTATAAAAAGGAATATGAGGCCAGGTGCGGTGGCTCACGCCTGTTGCCTGTAATCCCAGCACTTTGGGAGGCCAAGGCAGGTGGATCACCTGCGGTCAGGAGTGAGGTGGGTGGATCACCTGAGGTCAGGAATTCGAGAGCATCCTGGCTAACATGGTGAAACCCCATTTCTACTAAAAATACAAACAATTAGCTGGGCGTGGTGGCACATTCCTGTAATCCCAGCTACTCCAGAGGCTGAGGCAGGAGAATCACTTGAACCCAGGAGGTGGAGGTTGCAGTGAGCTGAGATCACGCCATTCTGAGATCACGTCATTCCACTCCAGCTTGGACAACAAGAGCGAAACTCCATCTCAAAAAAAAAAAAGGAATATGAAAATAAGTTGGTTTTAAATGTAATGTTTAATTTTTGTAACTTCTGTTATTATAATGTGTAGAAATATTCCAAGTGAGATTCTTATAAATGAATTTCAATATTTATTTCAATATGAAATCTACAAAATTCTGAATGGAGGGACAGACATTCTAGCAATAATACATGCCTAGCATAATTTCATCTGGCTCTGTACTTCATATAAAAATTAACCATAACTTCTTACATTACTGAATAACTAAAATATAGATTCTATAATGTTTATCGAAATGCTCAAAGATCATTCTTTGGGTCCAGGAAATTAGAGGCAACTGCCTGGAAAAGTGTACAGTAAAATAATAAAATTAACAAAAACAAGAATAATATCTCTTTTCCTGTCATGTACTATTTCGGTAGTATATATTTATGAAATAGTTGATGGGTCTGAGGCAGAAGACCTATGTATTTCTGAAGTATTGTGCAAGCAGTGAGAAGAATAGAAGTGTCCATGTAGCTTAGCAAGTATTTATATTCCCTTTTTGTAGGTATTTGAGGTCTTAAACTATTATCTAAGAAACTGTTAAAGTTCTTAAATAAAGGTAGAACCTGAGTAATATTAACGTTTTGCATCGTAAAGTAATAAAACTGTGGCATTTGCAAATCTCAAAAATTACCAAGAATGATGCAGTTGTGATGCTGGATGGTAGGCTCATCTATTGTCTAGGTAAGCGATCATTTCCTATAGCAAACTGTGGGATCCCTGTTAGGTACGGCACGTTATATTATTAAGTTTATTTATTCAATTACGCATTTATTTTGTGCTTTTTATTTGCCTGCAATAGTGGTAGTTACTAAGGCAACAAAATGAATAGGTTTATGTTTATGTCCTTGTTCCAGACTTATGGGGGAGACAGATACACATAAAAACATGCAGTTTGCTAAATGCAATGATTGAGATACCTCTGAGAGTTAAATTTCTGAAAATTTTAATTCCTGAAAGCCAAAGATTTTCTGTACCACTTCTGTGTGGAGTACATATCAAATGTCGGGACCAGGGATACTAATTATTAACTCTCCACAGCCCATCTAATAGAATCTATTTGAGGAATACACCTCTCGCTGTCTTGTGTATGTCATGTAAACACTCCCTCCCTTCTACACACACACACACACACACACACACACACACACACACACACACACACACACACGCCCATGCAGAAACACATGCCCATTCACACCTGTTCCTAACCCTGGGAAACTAATCCTTTAGGCTGGGCTCTGCCAATCAAATTCCCTGTTTAGAGGTAATGTAACCTGGTAGTTGTGCTCTCCAACTCTGGAGTCTGACTGGTCTGGATTCTGACTCCTTCACTGGTCATCTGTAAGTGTACTTGCCCCATAGGATTGTTCTGGCAATTAAAAGAAATAATATTTCTAAGCATGTAGCACACTGCTCAGCACATGGTCTTAGTGTTAGAATCATTACAAGATAGGGACTCTAGTTTACATGGAGGTGAGACTAAGCTGTAAAATCTTGTAGACTGATGCTGATACCTACAAGGTGGGCTGTGAGCAAGAGATAAGTCACTTAGCAGAAAGGAGAGTATAGCAGACCCACCCAGACCCCACAGCCACATAGAAATGGGTAAGAATTGCAGATTTCTCATTGCGGGAAGATCAGTTATACTTTCTGCTCTTCATCTCTTGGCAATTCCATTGTATTCTTTCAGTAATCTTTCTTTTCATTTGAGCTAATTTGTCTAGGTTTTTATTCCTTACAACCAGTGAACCTTGACTAACACCATTCTCAAAGAATATTTACTGGTTTTTTTTATATAGGTTAGAGGAAATAATCATACGCAAGTTACGTTCCATGTAGTACTAACTTCTGAACTCCAGTATTCTTTATGAATTATATATTCTAGTCTAACCCAGCAGGTAGCATCATCAGGCATAAGTAATATTCTGTTTTTCCTCTTCTTATACTTTTCTGGTTTTTGTGGTATATCTACCTCTTATCTCCAATACTGCAAGGAAAAGAAATAATTTGTTGGTACACTAAGAAAATGCATCCTTTAGAGCCAAAATGTAACATAATCTGATTATGTTGTATATGTTGTTTCCTGTGCACTGAAGCCTAAGAAGAGCATTTTGGGTTATATCACTGATTCATTCCATTCACTACTCTGATTAACAGTGATTCTCAGTGACTTTGTAGGACATATGGTTGCCATCCATGACATCAAGGCCTGAATATTCATATTTTCCCCCAAACATTTCATCTCTGACTTTCATATTCTGTTGTGACAATTAGTTCTGTAAGAATTTTACATATTGTATAAAAGTTTTATTTTACATGCTCTTAAACTACTTTCTTTTCTTTCTTTCTGTTTTTTTTTTTTTTTTTTTTTTTTTTTGAGACGGAGTCTTGCTTTGTTGCCCAGGCTGGAGTGCAGTGGCTCAATCTTGGCTCACTGCAAGCTCCGCCTCCTGCGTACACACCATTCTCCTGCCTCAGCCTCCCGAGTAGCTGGGACTACAGGCACCCGCCACCACACCTGGCTAGTTTTTTGTATTTTTTTTGTTTTTAGTAGAGACGGGGTTTCACCGTGTTATCCAGGATGGTCTCGATCTCCTGACCTCGTGATCCGCCCGCCTTGGCCTCCCAAAGTGCTGGGATTACAGGCTTGAGCCACCACACCCAGCCTCTTAAACTACTTTCAATGAAAGGGTCCTAGTTCTAAGATTTAATGAACACATTCTTGAACCCCCATCCAAATATTTGGATTTTTGTAAGCTTTGAACATACTGCCTCTCAGCGTTCATCTTTTTAGATAGAAGAGAATCATCCTATTGTCATTTGGGGGGATCACCACTCTTTTAAATAAAATGATTTGTCTTCTTTATTAGACCATTCTTTGATCTGCAGTGGTTGAACCACACATATTTATACATAACACATCATGTATGTGTGTCCAACTTAGTGATCTGTTGAATTAACTTTAAAATCATTTTGCGTCCCCTCTAAAAGTTCTTTCTCTAATCTTTTTAATCTTTTATAAATTTCACTGACAAGAATAATGTTAATTTTAATGATAATCAGGGCTGAAATTTATTTCTGAAAACATAAAATATTTGTATTCATGTTGTGATTCATTTTGGATACCATCAGGTGTTATATCCCAAATTTTGGATCATATCATCAAGAGTAGATACTTTAATTTATAAGGTCTTCATGAGTAAACTGAAATTTTTTATCCCTAATTATGTCACTTAAGAAATTAAAGGAGGAAATATATTTAAGGACGGAAGCAAAATGTGTGTGCTTTAATGTTTAATGGTTGGAAGTAAGTGTTTAAATAGATAATAGGAAGAGGAGTTTACAAGTTTAATAAACCTCTTTGTGATAAATTTGCTCCTGGGTTTTCTGTCCCAAAGTAGGCTATTTTTCCTTCATGGAAAGCTTATTACGTAATTTTACATAATTATTAGAAAATACGACTGTCACAGGACAGCTGATTCTCATTCTCTAAGGGTATTATTAACTCTTAACCATGAGCTTTAAGATAACTAAAATGCACCCTAAATGTGTCATACAAATAAATTAAATTTGAGATAAGCTGTCTTTAGCTATTATTTTTCTTTCTTTGGGGATCCCAGTATGAACCCAAAATGACAATTTATGAAGTTGTTAAGCCACAATTCACATCCACTAATTGCTTTATATGGCTATACATGATGATGCATGTTTGAAGTTTATATCATTTATGTAAATTCCTAGATCTAGTACACATTATAGAGAAAAATCTGTATCTTACCCATAGGAACTTCTCTAGAGCCCCTCCTTTTATCATGCTATTTAAACTCACACCTGGAGTAGCCACCTCGCCTCTCCCTTTGTTATTCCATGAAGAGTCATTTTGAGTCTCACTGAAACTATGATAATGGAGTGGGAATGGAATAGGACTAAAGATTCTGGAATCAGAATGTCTGGGTTCAACTCCTGTCTCTGACTCCTAGCTGAGTGACCTTAAATAAGGTGCTTAACCTCAGCTATAAAATGGGAACAAGAGGCCGGGCGTGGTGGCTCACGCCTGTAATCCCAGCACTTTGGGAGGCCAAGGTGGGCGGATCACCTGAGGTTGGGAGTTCAAGACCAGCCTGACCAACATGGAGAAACCCTGTCTGTACTAGAAATGCAAGATTGGCTGGGCATGGTGGCACACGCCTGTAATCCCAGCTACTCAGGAGGCTGAGGCAGGAGAATCGCTTGAACCCGGGAGGCGGAGGTTGCTGTGAGCTGAGATCATGGCGTTGCACTCCAACCTGGGCAGCAAGAACAAAACTCCATCTCAAAAAAAAAAAAAAAGGGAACAAGAAAGTACCTCATCACAACTTTGCGGATTAATTGAGATAATGCGTTGGAAACATTTAGTATAGTACCGCGCATACAGTTGGTTCTCAATAACTGTTAGCTCTTAATTCCAGTTGCTAATAGAGAGCTGGGACAAGGAGGTATAAATGCAGCGGCTATGTTAGAAGCATCTTATAGCATGGCTCATTGAGAAAAGGTGAAGTAGTATATGGAAAAAAAGGAGTCTGGCCCTTCATCCCTGCCAGAATCTTTATGACCTCAGATGAATATAGGAGTATCGTAAAATGATTTGGAGCTACCAGGTAAGATGTTGTGGCCTACTGATAAATAACTGTCTACAGGTTGAGGCGTGTGTTACATAGGGTAGAAATTTTTGTGGTTTTTTTTTTTTTAAACAGAGTTTTGGTGTGTCGCCAGGCTGGAGTGCAGTGGCACCATCTCGGCTCACTGCAACCTCCACCTCCCAGGTTCAAGTGATTCTCCTGCCTCAGCTACTCAGCCTCCCAAGTAGCTGGGACTACAGGTGCATGCCACCACGCCCAGCTAATTTTTGTATTTTTAGTAGAAACAGGGTTTCACCCTGTTGGCCAGGATGGTCTTGATCTCTTGACCTCATGATCCATCTGCCTTGGCCTCCCAAAGTGCTGGGATTACAGACGTTAGCCACTGCGCCCGGCCTAGGGTAGAAAATTTTAAGTAACCTTCTAGGCGAGGAAGTGGCAGAAGTCTTCCTTTGTAAATTCTAGTCCAAGTTCTAAAGAAAGTTGTCATGATACTGTCTTTGTTTTAAGCTCAAATGAGAAATTGTATGAGAAACATAATGTCAAGTATCAAATCTGTACAAAGCATTGTCTTTTAAAGCAATGGCAAGCCAAAGCCTACTTCCCACCATATCAGACATCTCCTCCTTGCCCTGTTTGCTACATGTATCTTCTTCCCTCCTCCCACTTGCATGCTCTGTTAGTTAAGGTTTCATGCCTTTTGCTTCATAGTTCTTTTTCTTCATTTATGGATATCCCCTCTTCTTCCCAATTAAACCCAAAAGGATAAAATATAGCCATTTTTTTGAGTAATACCTTTACACTATTTGTTTCAGCTATGCCACCAGAAGCTATAGATTGTAAAGTATTAATTAGCTCTCTTTCTAGAGATTTTACACAGCGCAAAAGGAAGGGAGAGTGGAGTGACCTATGTCAGATCATCAGTAGCAGTGACAGTAGCAGCTGTGGTTTGGCACATAAGACCATACTCCACACCCCATCATCTTTCTTCCACAATGGAAGCAGAGGCAGCTGGGGAAGAAGATACATTGTGCAGTCTGAGATGGCAGCAAGAGTTAAAGATGGGAGTGTGATGGTAGGGTGACCGTTGAAGCTACTGGTACTTTTTAGATTGGTGGAATTTATGATACTAGGGAGATTTGCTGCTCCAGTTCCTGTTTTAGTAGGCTAAGATGTACGTCTGTTTTATCAGCAATTTGTACAGCACTTTAGCTATGCAATACTAAATTAAGCTATACAGTGTTACACTAACTGCCCTCTTTCCTCATATTCCATAGAAATCTTAAGTGTTTTGTTTTTGCTTCCTTTAACATGACTCTGCGTTTTCATTTTCTTCTCTTACGATGTGGCCAGAATTTCTACTTAATAATTCTTATATCTTAGGGTATTGACCTTTACGTATAATGAAGAAACCCAATAGGTCTCCCTGATTTAACATAATTGGATGATAATTTAGCAGAAAAATTACAAATAGCCTTAAAGCCATTGTGAAACATCTCATTCGTAACTCCTCAAGTATGCTAATTACAGAGGCAGCTGTAAAATTCACCCAGAGCAAAAAGGAATCCAGTGTGCTGACTGACAGCTTCATCCTGCGAGATCCTGATGGCATACCTGCTTATTCTAGTCGTTTCTTTCAAGGGGGCATGACATGTAGTGAAGGAATAAGGGGAACTTAAGAGTGGAATTGTGATTTTTTTTTTTAAATAGGGCAATGGAGGAAAGTGAGGCTGGAATTTAGCTCTTGGGTAAATTTGATGAAATTAAGCCTTGCCTTCCTACTGCTTTCTGTTCCTATATTCTTGTTTCTTGCCAATGAAGAGAAGCTGTTCTAGTATCTTTGTGATCCTTTGAGCCGGAAGGAGGTTCTAAGTTAGGAGAAAGTACTAACTTATTTAAAAAAAATAGAACAAACAAAAAAACTCCCTCAAACGTCTAGCCATGGACTCATAGGGTCTTATGAATCATCAAAGAGACTGTTGGCAGTATCCCCTTTATTAGCAAGCTGTCTGTAGTCTGCAACTTCTTGGCAAAGCAACTTTTATATGTTTATAAGTTAAATGGCTAAATTTGTTTTAGAAATATTAAGAGTGACTTCAGGGAGCCTTCTGTTTAGTGGCATGAAGCAAACAAATCTCTTTTGTCTTTTTTCTTTTGACACTGTCCTGCCTGCCTTATCCTGAACTGCATAACTCACTAAGATATTACCTGTTTTCCATTAGCCATTCTTTTAGTCCCCAACCCAGAGTTAAGTCTGTCAGAATATCATTGAGATCAGTTAACCATAAGTTTAGCTGCCTTTGCAAGGCATGTCTGTTGCTATTAAAAGCAGCAGGCACCTCATGAGAATGCTGCCCAGTCATTCCCAGAGTGTGATATGCTAATTCTTAAGAATGTTGCTAACACTGCACTATGTTTCATATGATTCAATTTAGAACTTTTTATTCAATTGGTTGGAGGCTTCAAGTTGACAGTAATAATAGTCTTTCAAGTTGTTGACTAAGTAGAGCAGTGATAGAATTCATATGACATAGAATTCATATGACAGGCCATAGTTGCTCATTCAAGTCCAAGAAGAGATCTCTACAGGCCACAGTGGCTGAAAAACAACAGGAAAGTAGCCTAGATGTTCACTTTTTAATAGTATAACATATCTTTCCTCCCTATTTTAAGTGAAAACAGATCTCTGTCATTAAATGAGGATATAAATATTTATGTCATCATTGTTGAAATCCCAAAGAATAGACCTTACACATTTCTGTGTTCATTTTAAATGGCCGTCTTTTGTGTCCAAGTTAAATTTAAAAAGCTCCCTCATCCCTCTAAAGGTCTCACCATAGCTAGTTAGCTTTCAGCCTTGATCTCCTTTTACTCTTGCCTCCTCTAAAAACTTTTTGATAGTTCTCTAAGAACCTAATCGGAGTCATACTTGGCAATACACTGTTAAAGAAAATGTGTATCCTAGAAGTCCAGATAGTCTTTGTAGATATAAATTAAACATACAAATCCCTTGCTGTAATATGAGCAGAAAGTGTTACTGTTTTAGACAAGTAGCTGCTATTCTGTGTTTCAGTACAGAACAGGGTTTTGGTCAAATCAAGGTAGTGATGACAGAATGTCAGAACTTCACGGTAGCTAGGAGTCCCTACTCTTCATTGTAGTCATTTATTGAATATTTTGAAAAGGTAAAAACTGCTCATTGTTTTATTGTCTGTGGTAAACAGCATGAATTAGATATACTTTGGGCATAAAGTGCTCACTGAAATGGGGTCCTTTCATATATTTTTCAGATAATATGATATTTTGGCAAATAATCTCTTCCTAGATCAAACTATAGCTGGCTTATTGAGAATTGTTCAGCAGAATCGTCCCCAAAATAAAGAACTAACATTTTCTGAGAATTACTTTGTGTCAGCCATTGTGCTAAGCTTTCTACATGTAACATTTTATTTCATCCTTAAAATAACTTAATGAGTAAGATACTATTATCAGTCCCATTTTATAGATGAGTATGGTGCTAATATTAATGCCATTTTCCAGATGAAGAAACTGGGATGAAGTTAAATATAACTTCTTCAAGGTCACACAACTGGTAAGTGATAGAGGATTTGGACACCAGTTTTTGTGATTCCAAAGCCCATACTCTCAGCCACTACATGCTACAGTCAAAGACTGCATGCATAGGCATTTGCCTTAGTATATTTTGCTTGATGTGCCTCTCTGCTCCAGCCTCCAGCAAGACTATGGGTTTCAGCGATCTCCCCTTTGCTAAGGGCAGATAAGAGTGTTACCTGTCCTTAGTAAAGAGAATGAATGACCTTATAAAACAGGATTATTAACCAGAGGAGTGTCAGTCCGTTTGGGCTGCTATAACAAAATACTATAAACTGGGTGGCCTATAAACAACAGCAATTTATTTCTTGCAGTTCTAAAGACTGTTGGCACCAACAGATTCAGTGTCTGATGAGGGCCTGCTTCCTTATGGGTGATACTTTTTTGCTGTATCCTCACATGGTAGAAGGGGCAAACAAGTTCTCTGGGGTCTCCTTTAAAAAGTTATTAATCCCATTCATGAGGGTTTTGCCTGCTCTTATGACTTAATTACCTCACAGAGACCTCCTAATACCATCACCTTGGGAAGTAGGGATTTCAGCATATGAATTTGGGGGGAAAATAAAAATTCAGACCATAGCATGGAGACAGACTTGAAAATGTTCCTGAAATAATCAGTAATAACCATATTAATTCATGTTGAACGGGGCTAGTTTGTACTGATTCTTTATAAATGTATAGTGCTAACTTATGTGTGATTTTTACATATGAAACGTTTTCTTGCTGGAAGGTTGGTATGGTGTATTCTTTTAGAGCCTTAAAGTCTTGATGGAATGGCAGGGCTCTCTTGATTAAACTGGCCATACTTAAATTATTTTTTAAAAAATATAGATTCCAAAATGGCTGAACTAATTTACATTCCCACCAATGGTGTACAAGGGTTCCCTTTCCTGCACATCCTCGCCACCACTTATTATTGTCTTTTTGGTAATAGCTATTCTAACAGGTGTGAGGTGATAACTCATTGCAGTTTTAATTTGCATTTCTCTCATGATTAAAGAGCATTTTTTTCCATCTATCTGTTGACCGTTAGTATCTCTTCTTTTGAGAAATATCTGTTCAGATCCTTTGCCCATTTTTAAATTGGATTATTTGCTTTCTTGCTATTGTTGTTTGAGTTGCTTATTATTATAGATATTAGCCCTTTGTTGGGTGTATGGCTTGCAATTTTTTTTTCCAATTCATGGATTATCTCTTCACTCTCGTTTTCTTTGCTGTACAGAACGTTTTATTTTGATTCAGTTCCATTTGTCTATTTTTGCTTTTGCTGCCTGTGCTTTTAGAGTTCTTTCCAAGAAATTGTTGCCCACACCACTGTCATGAAGCTTTTCCCGTTTTCTTCCTATAGTTGTATAGTTTCAGATCTTAAAGTCTTATAACCATTTTGAGTTGATTTTTATATATAGTATAAAAGTTCAGTTTCATTCCTCTGCATATCCAGTTTTCCCAATACTGTTTATTGAAGAGATGAGCCTTTTTGCATTGTGTGTTGGCACCTTTGTCAAAACTCAATTGACCATAAATACTTGGGTTTATTTCTGGGCTTTCAGTTCTGTTCCATTGGTCGATATGTCTGTTTTTATGCCAGTACCATCCTGTTTTGATTACAGTAGCTTTATATTTTCAAATCAAGTGGGTCTGGTGCCTCCAGCTTTGTTCTTTTTGCTCAAGATTGCCTTGACTATTTGGGTTTTTTAGTGAATTCATACATATGTTAGGATTGTTTTTTCTATTTCTGTGAAAAATGACATTGGAATTTTGATAGGGATTGTATTGAATCTGTAGATTGCTTTGGATAGTGATACGGTTATGCTTTACATCCCCACCCAAATCTCATCTTGAATTGTAATTCCCATAATCCCCACATGTCAAGAGACCTGGTGGATGTAATTGAATCATGGGGGTGGTTTCCCCCATGCTGTTCTAATGATAGTGAGTTATCACAAGACCTGATGGTTTTATCAGGGGCTCTTCCCTCTTCACTTGGCACTTCTCCTTCCTGCTACCTTGTGTAGAAGGTGCCTTACTTTCCCTTCGCCTTCTTCCAGGATTATAGGTTTCCTGACGCCTCCCCAGCCATGCTGAACTGTGAGTCAATTAAACCTTTTTTCTTTATAAATTACCGAATCTCAGGCAGTTCTTTATAGCAGTATGAAAATGGACTAATACAGATAATGTGGACATTTTAATAATATTAGTTCTTCCAATCCATGAACATGGTACATCTTTTTTTACTTATTTGTCTTTTTAATATCTTTTGTCAATATTTTATAAGTTTTCAGTGTATGGATTTTCACCTCCTTGGTTAAATTTCCTCCTGTTTTATTTTTTGATGCTATTGTAAATGGGATTGTTTCCTTAATTTCCTTTTGGAATAGTTTGTTGTTAGTGTAGGGAAACACTATTGATTTTTGTATATTGATTTTGTAACGTGCAACTTTACTGAATTTGTTCATTAGTTCTGACAGTTAAATAAGCCAGTCACAGAAAGACAAACACTGTATAATCTCACATGTGATATCTAAAAACGTTGATCTCATAGGAAGAGTAGAAAGGTGATAATCAGTGCCTGCTGCGGTCGGGGGATGGTGTGGGAGGGGATGGGGAAAGGAGAGATGTTGATGAAAGGGTACAAAGTTTCAGTTAAACTGTAGGAATAAGTTTTAGTGGTCTGTGGTACTGCATGGTGACCACAGTTAATAATAATGTATATTTCAAAATTGCTAAAAGAATTTATTTCTAATGTTCTGATTACAAAAGAAGGATACGTTGGTGAAATAATGGGTATGTTAATTAGCTTGATGTAATCTTTCTACAACGTATATAAATATCAAAACACCACATTGAACCCCATAAAAATACATATACAATTATTAATTTTCAATTCAAAATAAATTAAAACAAAACAAATATGTAGGTTTCATAAAGTAGGATGTAGTATAAGTAATGAGTAAACACTAGGGTCTGATCTTGGCCGTTTTATTAACAATATTACCTTTGAGAATTTCTTTTAATCTCTCTTAGTCTATTTCCTCTGTAAAATGAAAGTTTGAATAAACCTTTGTTTCCCAAACTCTGAAAGATTACTAGAGATGATTTTAGGTGGCATATGAGATTACTTTAGGCAGTGCCTTGATAAAACATTAAAATAAACATTGAATCACATAGTAAGAAAGTTACTCCTTTTTCAATCTTTCTGATTACATCAAAAAGAAAGTCTCAGTTTGGTATTAAGATATCTTTAATAGTTCTCTAACACTGGATAATTGTTTGGTTGTGGGGGTAGGGTAGGGGTGAGAGTGAACAGGTACTGTGAATTTTATACTCCTCAAGAGTTTCCACATGAGAGTCACACAGAACAATGAAAGTAAGAAGAAAAAAAGTTTCTACAGAAGCGAAATTAATTCCCTTAGAATGAAAAAGTACAGAAATGCTTTTTTGCTCTTTCTGTTGACCTCATTTCCCTTGCACTTGGAACAAAATCAATGTGTTATCCAACTGGCACGTTTGGCAGGAGGAACCAAACGTGTGAGGCACAGCCGTTTCTGACTTCTCTCATGGTGTGGCCCATACTCAAGGCACTTCTCTTCTACCATGTAATAGGCTTTGGTTGACAAACTTTGCTTAGGACAGGATGGCAACTGTGAGAAAGTCCACGAAGCCATAAATCCAAACCACAAAATCACATTCTGCAATTCATCGACATTGGTTATCAAGCTGATATTTTGATTGTCATTTTATTTCTCTCTCTTTTTCAGTTGGTTTCAAACTCTTAGGAAATGTAAGAGGAAAAGCAGTTATTACCCTTTAAAACCTCACTAATAATCTCCCTTTTTAACCGAACTTCAGCTTAGAGTTTTCCATAAGCAATGGTATTCATATAGAATTTAATAACATGTTTTTTTCAGTGAATTTATATTTATGGTTAACATCTATAAAAGAAACTCATTTAAGTTTTAAAAGATGAATTGGCTTTTAAAATATTAAATAATACATATGGTACATGGATATAAAAATCATAAAGATGGTACACAAATGACTAAAATTTAGAAAATACTGAACAAGATTATTTGTGAGATTTCTTTTAGATTAAAATTCTTTTGCATGTATATTTGAATAGAATATATAATGTTATATGGTAAATCAAGTAAAAGAAGGGCTTTCTAACATAGCATGTACTATGTTATTTTCTTTCATTTTGAAATATGTTGTTATTGAGGAAATTAAGCTTTTGTTCTATGCCAATTTTCTTCTATAAGTGTAAATATCTTTTAGTAGTTTACTAGACAGTAGCGTGTATCTTTTTGATAGCATATTTGTTGGTGATGATTTTTTTTTAATCTATTTTTCTTTCATTGAATGCAGTCTAGTCTGGATGAGGGTTTTGAACTGGAAATCTTGAGTAGTTATTATTTAGAGGTGAAGAATCATGTCATCACTGTATACCCTTTCTAGCACAGTGTTCACGTAGTAGTTGTTTTAGCTCGTTTTGCATTGCTATAAAGTAATACTCAAGGCTGAGTAATTTATAACAAAAAAAGATTTATTTGGCTCATGGCTCTGCGGGCTGTGTAAGAAGTATGGTGCCAGCATCTGCCTCTGGTGAGGGCTTCAGAAAGCTTGCACTCATGGCAGATGGTGAAGGGACATGGCAAGAGAGGAGGGAAGAGAGAGAGGGGTGAGGAAGATGCTGGGCTCTTTTTAACAATCAGTTCTGCTGAGAACTAGTAGAGCAGGAACTCACTCATTACCTCTAGAACAGTACCAAGTCTTTCATGAGGGATCTGCCCCTATAACCCAAACACCTCCCACCAGGACCAGGCCCCACCTCCAGCACTCCAACACTGGGAATCTAATTTCGACATGAGATTAGGAGGGGGCAAATGCCCAAACTGTAACAGTAATGATCACTAAATATTTAAACAAGTGAATGAATAAATGAATGAATAAAGAATAAAAAACTGAGTTCTCTGTCTTAAATATGTGGGCAGTTTTTATTTCTTTCTTAAAGCTGTTAATGGAGCAATCTGTAAGGAAACTGAGGCCTTGGGTTAATCAGAAGATAACACTTTCATATAAGTAAAATTTGGAGCTAGTTACACTGAACATTTAGAATAACCTTGCTAGGAAGAAGTTGTTAAAGGAAGGCAGCCCTACTAATTTTGCTTTTACTTACAGGAAGCTGAATTTATGGTCATATATGAGACTAGGGTTTTCCTTCCTTTCTCTCTTTTTTATAACAAAAAAATTCTCCTTCTTGCTCTTTCATTCTTCTTTTTCTTACATGCATGTACTATATTTCTGATCATCTTCACCTCAAGGAAAGCACCCCAGTTTTCCTTACATTAGGGGAGACTATTACAGCTTAATTTAAAATGCAGCTAATTATTTACTCTTATACTCTTAATTATAGTTTCTTGTCTGATAAAGGTGCCCACCTCTTAACTGGCACCCTAGATGAACTGCAGTACTGATGGTGAATTATTTTACTGCCATTTATTCAGGCAACAAATGTCATGTTTCAAAGATTTTGTTCTAAGAATCCTAAAAGGAGTTTTATATATCAGAGGGAGAGAATATGAAGAAGTTATTAGCCAAACTGACTTTCTAATAACCATGTAGTTGGCTTGATTGACTATATTATATTCCTAGATCATTTCATTTATTTTAAAACATTTTGCATATATACAGGAAAACAATTTGAAGACTGTGTTTTGTTCTGGTGAATACATTTTAAACATATTCTAGGTTTATTCTTTACAAGTACATTATTTCTTTAATGGTACAGTGATTTTTATTCTAATTCATTATAGTCAGAGACATCTTAACTGGAGTTATTTTGTATGTTCAGGTTAATATTTTTTGTTATCAAAAATTTAACTTAGTACATTTTATGGTAGTGAAATATTTCTGGTATCTTTGGGTCTCGTAGTTACTACTATGTGGTCGTGAATATGTAAAATAAACTCGGTGCTGGCTATCACATTTTGGATTATACTTATCATTGGATTATAAAGGTGATAGAACATCAGTAACATTCATGATTTATGGAAATTTAATTCTGAAAGTAATCATAATCTGTAAAAATTAGCATCTAGTCTCTGAACTTTAGAGTTCAAGGTAAAAAGCAATACACATTCTATTATCATATTTGAAAATACAGTTTTTTTGTTGTGATGGTGGTGGTGGTAGTTGCGTTTTTGAGACGAAGTTTCGCTCTATTGCCCAGTCTGGAGTGCAAATGGCATGATGTCGGCTCACTGCAACCTCTGCCTCCTGGGTTCAAGCGATTCTCCTGCCTCAGCCTCCTGAGTAGCTGGGATTACAGGCATGTGCCACCACACCCGGCTAATTTTTGTATTTTTAGTAGAGATGGAGTTTCTCCATGTTGGTCAGGCTGATCTCAAACTTCTGACCTCAGGTGATCCTCCTGCCTCAGTCTCCCAAAGTGCTGGGATTACAGGCGCGAGTCACTGCGCCTGGTGAAAATATAGTTTTTTCTTTTTAATTTTTGAAAAAATTCTGTGGGTACATAGTAGGTATATATATGAGGTAATGAGATATTTTGATACAGGCATACAATGCATAATAATCACATCAGGGTAAATGGGGTATCCATCACCTCAAGCATTTATCCTTTATGTTACAAACAATCCAATTATATGTTTTTACTTATTTTAAAATGTACAGTTAAATTATCATTGACTGTAGTCACCCTGCTGTGCTGTGAAATACTAGGTCTTATTTTTTCGACTTTTTGTACCCATTAGCCATCCTCCCTTACCCCCCACCTCCCACTACCTTTTCCAGCCTCTGGTCACTGTCATTCTACACTCTATCTCCAAGATTTCAATTGTGTTAATTTTTAGCTCCCACAAATAAGTGAGAACATGCCAAGTTTGTCTTTCTGTGCCTGGCTTATTTTATTTAACACAGTGACCTCCAGTTCCATCCATGTTGTTGCAAATGACAGGGTCTCATTCTTTTTTATGGCTGAATAGTACTACATTGTGTATATTTACCATATTTTCTTTGTTTATTCATCTGGACACTTAGGTTGCTTTCAAATCTTGGCTATTGTGAACAGTGCTGCAGTAAACATGGGAGTTCAGGTATCTCTTTGATATACTGATTTCCTTTCTTTTGAGCATATACCCAGCAGTGGGATTGCTGGATCATATGGTAGCTCAATTTTTAGTTTTTTTGAGGAATGTCTAAACTGTTCTCTGTAGTGGTTGTACTAATTTACATTCCCACCAACAGTGTATGAGGGTTCCCTTTTCTGCACATACTTGCCAGCATTTGTTATTGCCTGAATTTTGACATTTTTTCTGGGGTTAAATGATACCTTGTTGTAGTTTTTGATGATCATTGATGCTGAGCACCTCTTCATATACCTGTTTCCCATTTGTACATCTTCTTTTGAGAAATGTCTAATCGGATCTTTTGCCCATTTTTGATTGGATTATTACTTTTATCCTGTAGAGTTGTTTGAGCTTCTTTTATATTCTCGTTATTTATCTCTTGTCACATGGGTAGTTTGCAAATATTTTCTCCCATTCTGCAGGTTGTCTCTTCATTTTGTTTATTGTTTTCTTTGCTGTGCAGACTTGAGTCGGTCCCATTTGTCCATTTTTGCTTTGGTTGCCTGTGTTTATGTGGTATTACTCAAGAAATCTTTACCCACTCCAGTGTCCTGGAGAGCTTCCCCAATGTTTTCTCTTAGTAGTTTCATAGTTTGAGGTCTTAGATTTAAGTCTTTAATCCATTTTGATTTGATTTGTGTATATGGTGAGAGATAGGGGCCTAGTTTCATTCCTGAGCATATGGATATCCAGTTTTCCCAGCACCATTTATTGAAGAGAGTTTCCTTTCCTCAGTGTATATTCTTGGCACCTTTGTTGAAAATGAGTCAGTGTCAATGTATAGATTTGTTTCTGGGCTCTCAATTTTATTCCATTGGTCTATGTGTCTTTTTCTATGCTAGAGCCATGCTGTTTTGGTTACTATAGCTCCACGTTTTTATGCTAGTGCCATGCTGTTTTGGTTACTGTAGCTCCATAGTATAATTTGAAGTCAGATAATGTGATTCTTCTGGTTTTGTGCTTTCTGCTTAGGACAGCTTTGGTTATCCTGTGTCTTTTGTGGTTCCATATAAATTTTATTTATTTATTTATTTATTTATTTATTTATTTATTTATTTAGTAGCCACAGAGTCTCATTGTCTTTGCAAGGTTGGTCTCAAACCCTTGGCCTCAAGCCATCCTCCCGGTTTGGCCTTCCAAAGTGTTAGGATTATAGGCATAAGCCACCACATCCCCATTTAAGTTTTAGGATTTTTTTTTTCTATTTCTATGAAAAAGTCATTGGTATTTTCATAGGGATTGCATTGAATCTGTAGATTGCTTTGGATAGTATGGGCATTTTAACAATATTGATTCTTCCAATCTATGAACATGGAATACCTTTCCTTTTTTTGGTGTCCTCTTCCATTTCTTTCATCAGTGTTTTATAGTTTTCATTGTAGAGATCTTTCACATCTTTGGTTAAGTTAATTCCTAGGTATTTAACTTTATTTGTAACTATTGTAAATTGGATTATGTTTTGGATTTCTTTTTCAGGTTGTTCACTGTTGACATATAGAAATGCACTGATTTTTGTATGTTGATTTTGTGTCCTGCAACTTTACTGAATTTATCAGTTCTAAATTTTTTTTTGTAGAATCTTTAGGTTTTTACAAATGTAGTGTCATATCATGTGCAAACAACAAGAATTTGATTTCTTTCTTTCCATTTTGGACACCCTTTATTTCTTTCTGTTGTCTGATTGCTCTAGCTAGAACTTCCAGTACTGTGTTGAATAACAGTGGTGACAGAGAGCATCTTTGTTGTGTTCCAGATCTTAGAGAAGTGGTTTTCAGCTTTTCCCCACTCAGTAGGATATTAGCTGTGGATCTATGTATATGGCTTTTATTATGTTGAGATACGTTGCTTTTATACTCAGTTTTTTAAGGGTTTTTATCATGAAGAGATCTTGAATTTTATCACATGCTTTTTCTGCATCAATTGAAATGATCATGTGGCTTTTGTTCTTCATTCTGTTGATATGATATGTCTCATTGATTGATTTGCATATGCCCAACCATCCTTGCATCTCTGGGATAAATCCCATTTGGTCAAGAATGATTGTTTCAGTTTCATTTATTTCTGCTCTGATCTTTATTCTTCTCTTTTACTAATTTTGGGTTTGATTTGCTCTAGTTTTGTGGTTCTTTAAGATGCATCATTAGGTCATTTATTTGAAGTTTTTCTACTTTTTTGATGTAGACACTTACTGCTATAAACTTCTCTGTCAGTACTGCTTTCACTGTATCCCATAGGTTTTGGTATGTTGTGTTTCCATGATCGTTTGTTTCAAGAAATTTTTTTAATTTCCTTCTTAATTTCTTCATTGATCCATTGGTATTTAAGGAACATATTATTTAATTTCCATGTGTTTGTATAGTTTCTAAAATTTATCTTGTTACTGATTTCTTGTTTTATTTCATTGTGGTCTGAGAAGATACTTGAGGCTGAGTACAGTGGCACATACCTTGTGGTCCTAGCTACTCAGGAGGCTGAGGTGGGAGGATCACTTGAGCCTGGGAGGCAGAGTCTGCAGTGAGCTGAGGTCACACCACTGCACTCCAGCCTGGACAAGAGTGAGACCCTCTCTCAAAAAAAAAAAAAAACAACTTGATAGTATTTCAATTTCGTGAATGTTTTAAGACTTGTTTTGTGACCTAATTTATGGTCTGTCCTTGTAATACTATCCATGTGCTGAGGAGAAGAATGTGTATTCTGCAGCCATTGGATGAAATGTTCTATAAGTATTTATTAGGTCCATTTGGTTTCTGATGCAGATTAAGTCTGATGTTCCTTTGTTGATTTTCTGTCTGTCCAATTCTGAAAGTGAGGTGTTGAAATCTCCAGCTATTATTATATTGGGGTCTACCTCTCTCGTTAGCTGTAATATTTGCTTTATGTATCTGGGTGCTCCAGTGTTGAGTGCATATATATTTATAATTATTATATCTTCTTGATGAATTGATCCCTTTATCATTATATAGTGACCTTCTTTGTCCCTTTTTTTTTTTTTTGGAAAATAATGGAATTTATTCTAGACAGGATTTCTTTTTTTTTTTTTCCTGCCTTCAAGCATCTGTTTAACAAAGCACATCTTGCACCGCCCTTAATCCATTTAACCCTGAGTTGACACAGCACATGTTTCAGAGAGCACACGGTTGGGGGTAAGGTTATAGATTAACAGCATCCCAAGGCAGAAGAATTTTTCTTAGTACAGAACAAAATGGAGTCTCCTATGTCTACTTCTTTCTACACAGACACAGTAACAATCTGATTTCTCTTTCTTTTCCCCACATTTCCCCCTTTTCTTTTTGACAAAACCACCATCATCATCATGGCCTGTTCTCGATGGTCGCTGTCTCTTTGGAGCTGTTGGGTACACCTCCCAGATGGGGCAGCCAGGCAGAGGCACTCCTCACTTCCCAGACGGGGCGGCCGGGCAGAGGCGCTCCTCACTTCCCAGACGGGGCGGCCGGGCAGAGGCGCTCCTCACCTCCCAGACGGGGCGGCCGGGCAGAGGCGCTCCCCACTTCCCAGATGGGGCGGCCGGGCAGAGGCACTCCCCACTTCCCAGACGGGGCGGCCGGGCAGAGGTGCTCCACACTTCCCAGACGGGGTGGCCGGGCAGAGGCGCTCCACACTTCCCAGACGGGGTGGCCGGGCAGAGGTGCTCCCCACTTCCCAGATGGGGCGGCCGGGCAGAGGCGTTCCCCACTTCCCAGACGACGGGCAGCCGGGCAGAGGCGCTCCTCATTTCCCAGATGGGGCGGCCGGGCAGAGGCGCTTCTCACCTCCCAGACGGGGCGGCCGGGCAGAGGCGCTCCTCACCTCCCAGACGGGGCGGCCGGGCAGAGGCGCTCCTCACCTCCCAGACGGGGCGGCCGGGCAGAGGCGCTCCTCACTTCCCAGACGATGGGCGGCCGGGCAGAGGCACTCCTCACCTCCCAGACAGGGCAGCCGGGCAGAGACGCTCCTCACTTCCCAGACGGGGCGGCCAGGCAGAGACTCTCCTCACCTCCCAGATGGGGCAGCTGGGCAGAGGTGGCTCCTCACATCCCAGACAGGGCAGCTGGGCAGAGGCGCTCCTCACTTCCTAGACGGGGCGGCCGGGCAGAGGCGCTCCTCACCTCCCAGACGAAGGGCGGCCGGGCAGAGGCGCTCCTCACATCCCAGACGATGGGCGGCCGGGCAGAGACGCTCCTCACCTCCCAGACGGGGCGGCCGGGCAGAGGCGCTCCCCACTTCCCAGACGGGGCAGCCGGGCAGAGGCGCTCCCCATTTCCCAGACGGGGCGGCTGGGCAGAGATGCTCCTCACTTCCCAGACGGGGCAGCTGCCAGGCAGAGGCGCTCCTCACCTCTCAGACGGGGCGGCCTGGCAGAGGCACTCCTCAGTTCCCAGACGGGGCGGCCAGGCAGAGGCGCTCCTCACCTCCTTCTTTGTCCCTTTTTATAGTTTTTTTTTCTTGAAATCTATTTTGTCTATTACAGGTATAGCTACTCCTGCTCTTTTTTGGTTTTCATTGGCATGAAATATCTTTTTCCATCCCTTTATTTTTAGTCTGTGTGTCTTTATAGGTGAAGTATGTTTCTTGTAGGTAACAGATCATTGAATTTTGTGTTTCTTAGCTATTCAGCCACTCTATGTCTTTTGATTGGAGAATTCAGTTTGTTTACATTTAGTGTTATTAATAATAAGTAAGATCTTACTCCTGCCATTTTGTTATTTGTTTTCTGGTTATTTTGTGGTCTTCTCTTCCTTCTTTCCTTCCTTTCTATTTTCCTTTTAGTGAAGGTGATTTTCTCTGGTGGTTTGTTTTAATTTCTTGCTTTTTATTTTTTGTGTATTCATTGTATGTTTTTTGATTTGAGATTATCATGAGGCTTGCAAATAACTTATAGCTCGTTATTTTAAACTGATGACAATTTGGCACCGATTGCATAAACAAACATGCAATCAAAAAGAAGTCTAATAAATACTCTGTACTTTGTCCCCCCAACTTTTTAACTTTCTGTTATTTCTATTTATATCTTATGGTACCAAGTATGTCTTGAAAAGTTGTAGTTATTTTTGATCGGTTCATCTTTTAGTCTTTTACTTAAGATATCAATAGGTTACATACCACAATTACAGTGTTATAAAATTATGTGGTTTTTTGTATGCTTAGTATGACCAGTGAGGTACCTTCAGATCATTTTTTAATTGCCCATTAACACCTTTTTTCCTTCAAATTGAAGGATTCCCCTTAGCATTTCTTGTAGAACAGGTCTGATGTTGATGAAATCTCTCAGCTTTTGTTTGTCTGGGAAAGTCTTTATTTCTTCTTTAAGCTTGAAGGATGTTTTCACTGGATATACTATTCTAGGGTAAAAGTTTTTTTTCCCTCAGTAGTTTATGTCATACCACTCTCTTTTGGCCTGTAATGTTTCCACTGAAAAGTCTGCTGTCAGACATATTGGAGCTCCATGGTATGTTATTTATTTTTTCTTTTGCTGCTTTTAGGATCCTTTCTTTATCCTTGACCTTTGGAAGTTTGGTTATTAAATGCCTTGAATGGTAGTCTTCTTTGGGTTAAATCTGGTTGATGTATAACTTTCTTGTACTTGAATATTGATATCTTTGTCTAGAATTCGGATGTTCTCTGTTTCATCCCTTTGAATAAACGTTCTGTTCCTATCTCTCTCTGCCTCCTTCTTAAGGCCAATAACTGTTAGATTTGCCCTTTTGAAACTATTATTTAGATCTTATAGGCATGCTTCATTGTTTTTCATTCTTTTTTCTTTTGTCTCTGTTGACAGTGTATTTTCAAATAGCCTGTCTTTAAGCTTACCAATTCTTTCTTCTGCTTGATGACTTCTATTAAGAGACTCAGTATGTCAGCTGCATTTTTCAACCCCAGAATTTCTGCTTGATTCCTTTTAATTGTTTCAACCTCTTTGTTAACTTTATCTGATAGGATTCTGAATTCCTTCTTTGTGTTATCTTGAACTTCTTTGCATTTCCTCAAAATAGCTCTTTTGAATTCCCTCTCTGAAAGGTCACATATCTATGTTTCTTCAGGATTTGGTCCCTGGTGCCTTATTTAGTTTGTTTTTCAAGGCCATGTTTTCCTGGATGGTCTTGATGCTTGTGGGTGTTCATTGGTGTCTGGGCATTGAAGGTATTTATCGTAGTCTTCACAATCTGAACTCTTTTGTACCTGTCTTAGAAAGGCTTTCCAGATATTTGAAGGGAGTTGGCTGTTGTGATCCAGTTTTGGTCATTGCAGCCATATCTACATTAGGGGGCACCCCAAGCCCGATAATGCTGTGGTTCTTACAGACTTGCAGAGGTACTACCTTTGTGGTCTTAGATAAGGTCTAGAAGAATTCTCTGGATTACCAAGCAGAGACTCTTGTTCTCTTCCCTTACTTTGTCCCAAACAAACGAGTCTCTGATTCTGTGCTCCAAGCCTCTTGTAGTTGGGGGAGTGGTGACACAAGCACTTTTGTGGCTACCACCACTGGAACTACACTAGACCAGACCTGAAACCAGCATAGCACTGGATCTCACCCAAGGCCCAGTGTAACCCCTACCTGGCTACCTCCTGTGTTGGCTCAAAGTTCTAGGGCTCTATAATGAGCAGGTGGCAAAGCCAGTCAGGCTTTTATCCATCCCTTCAGGACAGCAAGCAAGTTCCCCTGGGCCCCAGGCAGGTCCAGAGATGCCATCTGGGAGCCAGCATCTGGAGTTGGAAACCTTAGAACCCTATCTGGTCCTCTATTCTCCTGCAGCTGAGCTGGCATCCAAACCATAAGGCAAAGTGCTTCCCACTTTTCACTCCTCTTTTCATAGGCAAAAGAGTCTCTCCCTATGGCCACCACCACTACAAGCCCACAGGGATTATTGCCAGGCTACGGTTCATGTTCACTTAAGGCCCAAGGGCTCTTCAGTCAGCTTGTGGTGAATGTTGCCAGGCCTGGGACTTGCCCTTCAGGGCACTGGGCTCCCTTCTGGCCCAGGCAGGTCCAGGAGTGCCATACAAGAGCCAAGGTCTGGAATCAGGAACCCCAAGAGCCCACTTGGTGCTCTGTTCCACTGTGGCTGAGCTGTTATCCAAGTTGCAAGATAAAGTCCTCTTTACTCTTCCCTCTCTACTGCTCAAGTGGAAGGAAGGAGTCTCTTTTGGAGCTGTGAACTGCACTGCCTTAGATTAGGGAAAGGGTGGCATAAGCACTGCCTTAGCCACCTCAGCTGGTGGCTCACTAGGTTACGTGCCCCCTAGGTCCAATGACTCTCGAACCCAGCACAGCACTAAAACTTGCCTAGAAATTACAGTTCTTGTGGCCTAGACTGCCTTTCAAGTTCATTTAGGGCCCCAGGACACTTCAGCCTATAGTGGTGCGGCTTGTTGAAACTCAGGCTCCAACCGCTGGGATGGACATTTCCCCTCTGGCTAGGGCACATCTAAGTTCTCCCTCCATGGGCATTGGCTGAGTTCTTTGCTAATGGCCCGGGTGTTGCTTGCCAGTTGGCCTGGTGTTGCTTTCTGCTGTGACATGGTAACACTGAGTTCCAGTGCAAAGTCCCACAATCACTGTGCTCCCCCTCCCCCAAGCACACAGATTCTTTGCACCACACGGCCACTGCATGGGGGTGGAAGGGGTAGTAGACAATCGAAAACTGTCTTTCCTACTCTCTTCAGTGTCTCTTTCAGCAATATGAAGTTAAAATCAGGTACTGTGATCACTTACCTGATTTTTGGTTCTTGTGAAGGTGCTTTTTTGTGTAGATAGTTGTTAAATTTGGTGTTCCTGTGGTGGGGGCAGCGATTGGTTGAGGCTTCTATTCAGCCATCTTGCTTCATCTCCCTCCAATAGATTAAAAAAAAAAAAGATTTTAGAATTATCTAATTTTTTTCTTTAAAAGATGTAGATGATTGGCTTATAATTATAATCTTCAGGTGTTTCCAGAGTCATTGTGTTCTGTCATGAAAGTAATGCAAGAGCAATTTTGCTGTAATGAAAAGCTAGAAGTTTCGAGAACACTTTATTTTCTAATTCCAAAACAACAACAAAAAATAGAACTTTGCTAGCTGGCTGTGTCTACTGTCATTCTTTGATTAGATACTTTGAGTTCTGCATACCATGAGGTGTTGGTATGATAGCATGTTATGATAGAAACTTTTAGAAAAGACCAGAGACTTGAGAGATAGACTAACCTGCATGTGAAATTCACCTCCGTCACTTTTGCTCTGGTATTTCGAGCAAGTTATTTAACTTCCTTTGTAAAGTGAAGATTATACTTCTTTAGAGTTGCTGTGAGGATGAAAGCACTCAGAATAAGTTCTTGTTGAATGGTGGATGTATAAGGAATACCATGTGGTAATGATTATATGTTTCAATATTGTCAGGTGAAGTGAAGGACAAAAATGTTCAAGTGGTCGAGCTTCCCATTGTAGACAGTCTTCATCCCCGTCCTCCATATTTACCCTTGGCTGTACCAGAAGACCTCGCAGATCGACTTGTACGAGTGCATGGTGACCCTGCAGTGTGGTGGGTGTCTCAGTTTGTCAAATACTTGATCCGCCCACAGCCTTGGCTAGAAAAAGAAATAGAAGAAGCCACCAAGAAGCTTGGCTTCAAACATCCAGTTATTGGGTAAGAATCTGATTTTTTCCCTCAAACTGTGATATGTAGTAGTTAGGGTTATGTATCTTTACAATATATTGTGAATTTTACAATATGTAGTTCAATTTTTATAGTCCCACCAAAGGACAGAGGTTCTAGAGCTATCCTAAGGTCACATGGAGACTATTTTTTTTTGTTTGTTTACTTAGAACAGCTAAGAAAGTTGCTTAGTAGTGCTCTATTACTGTCTCCAGTTCTCCTCTTCCTTTGCTTCTTTCTCCTCTTATCACAGCTCTCTTTTGGCTTTTGTTGTTGTTATTTTTGAGATAGGGTCTCACTCTGTCACCCAGGCTGAAGTGTAGTGGCTCACTGCAGCCTCAACCACCCTGGGCTCAAGTGATCCTCCTACCTCAGCCTCCCAAGTATAATAGCTGGGTCTAAAGGCATGTATCACCATGTCCAGCTTCTTTTTATTTTTATTTTCATATTTCCCACCCCACATCTTTCCTTGTGTCTTAGTCTTCATATGTAGAGGAGTTATTGACCCCATTCTAAGTGTTAGACGTAAAGAAGGTACATGTGAAGTCAGAATATCAAATCGTATTTCTTCTCATGTAACTTTTGATTGAAATTCAATGGAATCATTCGTTCTGCCCACTTCATCTCTATAGAGCCCACTGAACAATTCCAATTTCCCCAGAAAAAGAGTGATTATGAAGGATGTGGGAAGGAAAGATGATAGAATAGATGTTCATATGATTGTATCCACATCTGGGTTATAGTCTGGAATGCAAAGCAAAGAATAGCCGTGAAGATGGCAGAGTAACTCTGGTGAAATCAAACCTTCACTCCAGATTCATAATAAAAAACTGGCCTTAAGTTTGGCCCATATACTGTGACCTAAAGGCGTATAAGTCTACCTTTTTCTACATATAAATAGTGATTTAGTAATTTGGGGGGAGGGGAAGGCAAGATTTAAGGAGGGTGTTTTAATTTATGAAAATAAACTGTTATTTTTATTTCCATTAATATTGCTTTGGGGCCAGGCATAGTGGCTCATGCCTGTAATCACAACACTGGGAGGCTGAGGCAAGTGGATCACTTGAGCCCAGAAGTTTGAGAAAACTCAACATAGGCAACATGGTTGAAACCCCATCAATTAAAAAAAAAAAAAAAAGCAAAAATTAGCCAGGCTTGGTGACACATGCCTGTAGTACCAGCTGTTCGGGAGGCTGAGGTGAGAGGATCACTTGAGCCTGGGAGGCAGAGATTGGAGTGAACCATAATCACGCCACTGCACTCCAATGTGTGCAACAGAGCAAGACCTTGTCTTAAAAAAAAAAAAATTACTTTGGAAACACTAAGATGGGAGGAGAGAGGAGAAAACTGTGGAAGTCAGTGCCTTATTCAGTACAGGGAAGTGTGAATCTGTGTCCCCAATTTTACAATTTTGGGGCTTTTCTTAAATATGACAGGTGAAATTAATATCTGCTGTCATTTGATATGGTGAAAAACAGAGAAAGGAAATGCATTATGCCCACAACAGAAGGGCTGGAATCGGTTTCATTTACCTAAAATAGTAAAAACCGTTAAAAGGTTTGCTGGTCTTAACGGTGCTGTAAAAGTTTATCCAGGTCTATGTTTTCCTGGGACAACTTTTAAGTTCTACAAGCTGGCAGTTATGGTGACTCTCCAGGGTAAAATAAAGAGGAAAACCCTTGGTATCAGAACTTTACAAATAATATCTCTAATGTTCTTTAGTAACAACTGTGAATCCTGGTATCATCCTGGTAACAAAAATCTTAAGTTGTATTCAGTTTTTTTCCAGACAGCTGGTTGCTGCCTAGTATGAAATGCAGCTCTGAAATTTCCCATTTATTCCTAAGATGTGAATTATTTTCTCTATAAGAAATCATTCTTCAAAGGCTTTACTTACTTTCTAATTCCCCTTGTATTGTTTAGCCTGCAAATATATTTAGAATATGTATTTTTGAGTTTTTAAAATACTATGTGTTTTACTTTTTCTAATAGTGAAAATGAAAGAAAAATCAGTTAAAAATGCCTATAATGCCACCATAAGTAGGGGTATAAATTGAGTACCCTCAAAGCACCCAGTGTCAGTACATTACCAGTAGAATCTGAATTTCTCCCCCAGAGTCCATGTCAGACGCACAGACAAAGTGGGAACAGAAGCTGCCTTCCATCCCATTGAAGAGTACATGGTGCATGTTGAAGAACATTTTCAGCTTCTTGCACGCAGAATGCAAGTGGACAAAAAAAGAGTGTATTTGGCCACAGATGACCCTTCTTTATTAAAGGAGGCAAAAACAAAGTAAGTTAGACCAACTAGTGATTCTAGAGTGGGGTTGTCTCTTTCAGTTTAAAAGAATTCTTACTTCCCATGACTTGTGATTTTTGTATATTATTATTGCTAATTATTAGGGTTTTAAAAATTCAATGGACTATGTACTTGTGTAACTGTCAGTCTAATCAAAGTGTTTTTATTAGCCATATCCAATAATGCCTTATAAGAAGTCTAAAATGAACTGGACCACTGACTTACGCATTGTCACCAGCAATAATCATTATTATCATTAAAAGTATCACCCTACTTCTTGGTACTAAAATCTTCACTAGTCTGTTGGAGCTGCCATAACAAAATAACATAGACTGAGTGGTTTAAATTACAGAAATTTGTTTCTCCCAGGTCTGAGGCTGGGAAATTCAAGATCAAGATGCTAGCAAGGTAGATTTCATTTTCTCTTGGCTTGTAAGCAGCCACTATTTCACTCTGTGCTCTTGTGACCTCTTCTTTGTGTGTGCAGGGAACAGGAGAGGAAGTGTTCTGATGTCTCCACATATAAGGACACTAATCTCATCATGAGGGCCCCATTCTCATGACCTCATCTAAGCCTAATTATTTCTCAGTGGTCCTATTTCCAAACACCATCACATTGGGGTTAGGGATTCAACATAGGAATTTGTGCGAATGTAAACGTTCAGTCGATAACACTAGCCAGCCATACAGACTGTTAGCAATAAAACCAGGTGCTTATCGTTTTGATTTCACTGTCTTCATTAACAGTTACAGACAACTGAACACATATGTAGAGTTTTGTCTTATAATAATTTGTGGAATTTGAAAGTTATACTAAAGAAAGGTAAGGAATCAAAAAGTAAGTTTTGTAAGTTGAGGAATAAAGACTACTACTGTGTATGGAACAGTAACAATTATTTTTTGAGCTTGCCTGTATTTCAGGCACTGTGCTGGTGCTGGGGATTTCATGATAAACAAGATACTCCCTGCTGTCAAGGAATTCCCAAATCTAATAGGGCAATAAACAATTACCCTACAGTTGAGTAACACTATTATAGGGTTAACATGGGGTATTATGAAAACACATAGATAAAGCACAAATCCTGATTGGACACTTCTTATAGGATCTGAGTAAACCTGGAGTTAGTCTTTATTTACTATCAATAAATGAAGGATGTATTAAATGTATGTAAAAGTAGGAAATTAAGGAGAAGAAAATTCTAGTCTTAGTTCTGCTCAGATACTATCTCCTCCAGAAGTCATCCCTGAACCCTTGACTGGCCTGTGTTCCCCACTCTGTACAGTTCTCTGTTGTAGTGTTTAGCACTTGCTTACTTCTGTCTCCTTCACTAGATTATAAGTACTTTGGACATAATACCTAGCTGTAGTTAAATGCCCAGTAAATATTAAATGGTATTGATTTCAATCCCATCAGTTTGAAAACATTAACACTTAATCATTTAAGCTTTTTGGCTATTTAATTAATGTATTTGTTGTCCCCCATGTTTCAAATGGGGATGAGGAAAATAAATAAATTTAGAATGAGGACTATAATGCAGGTATTAATCTAAGTCATTAGATAATAATTTAAATCCTCTTTCTACCTCTGAAGAATCCAAATGAACCTGAAGCAAATTGCCTTTTTTATTCAAGGCTCCCTCTCTTGAGCATATGCACACACTACCATATACATGCGCGCATGCGTGCACACACACACACACTGAGATGTGTATATATATAAACAAAGGGCAAATAATTCATCAGCCAAGTATAAGAATGAGTTAATGTAAGAGGGATTAAATGAACATTTGGGCACAAAACACAATAAAAAAATGTATAGTTTACCATGTTTCTTCAATTTAAAACACCAAACTGAATTTGTAGCTTGGTTGAAGAAAAAGATACTAATTTTGTCTACTCTTTCACTTGTTCTGGAACGCATCACAAGCTTTTTTCCTTGTTTTCTTGATGAGCAAATTAATTCATGCTCACTTAAAAATATGCAAGTTGGTAAATACCCTATTAGTTCATTTTCACACTGCTGATAGACATACCCCAGACTGGGCAATTTACAAAAGTAAGAGGTTTAATAGACTTACAGTTCCACATCCCTGGTGGGGCTCACAATCTTGGTAGAAGGTGAAAGGCAATTCTCACATGGCAGCGGACTAGAGAAGAGAGCTTGTGCAGGGAAACTCCCATTTTTCAAACCATTAGATCTTGTGAGACTATTCGCTATCACGAGAACACCAGGGGAAAGATTTGCCCCCGTGATTCAATTACCTTCCACTGGGTCCCTCCCACAACACCTGAGAATTCAAGATGAGATTTGGGTGGAGACACAGCCAAACCATATCATTCCACCCCTGGCCACTCCCAAATCTCATGTCTTCACATTTCAAAACCAGTCATACTTTCCCAACAGTCCCCCCGGAGTCTTAACTCATTTAAGCATTAACTCAAAAGTCCAGAGTCCAAAGTCTCATCGAAGACAAGGCAAGTCCCTTCCACCTATGAGCCTATAAAATCAAAAGCAAGTTAGTTGCTTCCTAGATACAGTGGGGGTACAGGCATTGGATAAATACAGCCATTACAAATGAGAGAAATTGGCCAAAACAAAGGGGCTACAGGCCCCATGCAAGTCCGAAATCCAGTGGGGCAGTCGAATGTTAAAGCTTCAAAATGATCTCCTTTGACTCCACGCCTCACAGCCAGGTCACAGTGATGCAAGAGGTGAGCTCCTTTGGCCTTGGGCAGCTCCACCCCTATGGCTTTGCAGTGTATAGCCCCCCTCCTGGCTGCTTTCACGGGCTGTCATTAAGTGTCTGCGGCTTTTCCAGGTGCATGGTGCAAGCTGTTGGTGGATGTACCATTCTGGAGTCTGGAGGATGGTGGCCCTCTTCTAACAGCTCCACTAGGCGGTGTCCCAGTAGGGACTCTGTGTGGGGGCTCTGACCCCACATTTTGCTTCTCTACTGCCCTAGCAGAGGTTTTCCATGACAGCCCCATTCCTGCAGCAAACTTCTGCCTGGGCATCCAGGTGTTTTTATACATCCTCTGAAATCCAGGCAGAGGTTCCCAAACCTCAGTTCCTGACTTCTGTGCGCTCACAGGCCCAACACCATGTGGAAGCTGCCAAGGCTTGGGGCTTCCACCCTCTGAAGCAATAGTCTGAGCTGTATACTTTAGCCCCTTTTTGTCATGACGGAAGCAGCTGGGATGCAGGGCACCAAGTCCCTAGACTGAACACAGCAGAGGAACCCTGAGCCCAGTCCACAATATCATTTTTTCCTCCTAAACCTCTGGGCCTCTGATGTGAGGGGCTGCCACAAAGGTCTCTGACATACCCTGGAGACATTTTCCCCATTGTATTGGTGATTAACACTCGGCTCCTCATGACTTACACAAGTTTTCTGCAGCTGGCTTGAATTTCTCCTCAGAAAATGGGATTTTCTTTTCTGTCACATTGTCAGGCTGCAAATTTTCCAAACTTTTATGCTCTGCTCCCCTTATAAAACTGAATGCCTTTAGCAGCAACCAAGTCACCTCTTGAAATCTTTGCTGCTTAGAAATTTCTTCCGCCAGATACCCTAAATCATCTCTCTCAAGTTCAAAGTTCCACAAATCTCTAGGGCAGAGACAAAATGCTGCCAGTCTCTTTGCTAAAACATAACAAGAGTCACCTTTGCTCTAGTTCCCAACAAGTTCCTCATCTCCATCTGAGACCACCTCAGCCCATACTTTATTGTCCATATCACTGTCAGCATTTTGGGCAAAGCCATTCAACAAGTCTCTAGGAAGTTCGAAACTCCCACATTTTCCTGTCTTCTTCTGAGCCCTCCAAACTGTTCCACCCTCTGCCTGTTACCCAATTCCAAAGTCACTTCCACATTTTCAGGTATCTTTTCAGCAGCACTCCACTTCTTGTACCAATTTACTGTATTAGTCCATTTTCACACTGCTAATAAAGACATACTCAGGACTGGGCAATTTACAAAAGAAAGAGGTTTAATGGACTTACAGTTCCACATAGCTGGGGTGGCCTCACAATCATGATGGAAGGCGAAAGGCGTGACTTATGTGGTGGCAGACAAGAGAAGAGAGCTTGTGCAGGGAAACTCCTGTTTTTAAAACCATCGAATCTCATGAGACTTATTCACTATCATGAGAACAGCACGGGAAAGGTTTGGGGACCCAGCCAAACCATATCATTACCGAATCAAGGAAAAAGTATTATCCTCAATCCCATTTATGTAGTCTCATTTTCTAATACAGTCATGTACCACATAACATTTCAGTCAGCGATGAAACACCTGTATGATGGTAGTCCCATAGATTATAAAACTATACTTTTACTGTACCTTTTCTATGTTTAGATAACACAAATAGTTACCATTGTGTTACAACTACCTTCAGTATTCAATACAATAGCTTGCTGTACAGGTTTGTAGCCTGGGAGCAATAAGCTATTCCATATAGCCTAGGTGGATATATATGTATAGCCTAGGTGTGGTATAGTTGGCTATGCCATCTAGGTTTTTGTAAATACACCCTATGATGTTTGCATGATGATAACATGCCTAATGATGTATTTCTCAGAACATATCCTCGTTGTTAACTGGAGCATGACTGTAGTTGATCGAATTCTATATAATTTAAACTCTTTTCACTTAATACAGCAATAGATCCATTCCCCTAGGTTGCTAAAATAGTCATTGTAAACATGTTTTTTTTTTTTTTTTTTTTTTGCTTTGTCACCCAGGCTGGAATGCGTTGGTGCAAGCATGGCTCACTGCAGCCTCAACCTCCTGGGCTCAAGAAATCCTCCTTCCTCAGCTTCCTGAGTAGCTGGGACCATTGGCATGCAGCATCATGCCCAGCTAATTTTTTATGGTAGAGACGGGATTGCATGTTGCTCAGGCTGGTCTCGAACTCCTGGGCTCAAGCAGTCCTCCTGCCTTGTCCTCCAAAGTGCCGGGATTACTGTCGTGAGCCACCATGCCCAGCCTAAACATCTTTTTTAATGACTACATACATATACGCTGTACAGATATGCCGTTGCTTATTTGACCAACCATTCTTCTAATATTAGGCAGTCAGCTTATTTCCAATGTTTCATTCTTATAAGTAATGCTATGACGTATGCCTAAAATTATCCACATTATTTCCTTAGGCTAGATTTCTGGACTTGGAAGTATTTAGATGCAAGGATATAAACTTTTTTTTTTTTTTTTTTTAAATACAGGGTCCAGGCTGGAGTGCAGTAGCACAATCTCAGCTCACGGTAGCCTCGACCTCCTGGGCTCAATGATCCTCCCACCTCAGCCATCTGAGTAGCTGGGACTACAGGCACATGCCACCACACTCAGCTAGATATAAACATTTTACAGCTTTGATCCATAGCACAGCATGACAGTTTTATACCAAACAACCCTTATAGTACAGTTGGCAGTATCTACTTGGACTGCAAGAATAGTAAAACCAGAATTTCCTCCTTGTAGCCAACAGCTATAACTCCCCTGCCAGTGGTAGTCCAGGCAGCAATTTTCTCCATATTCTGTTATAAATATAGTAGTAGCCTTTTATGCATAATTTTTTCTCTTTGTAAATCCTTTTATTTTTATTTTCGACTTGAGTCGTTTCTCGGGGATTTAAATGATGGGTTTTTTTTCTTTACTCTTTTACTGAAATGTTTTTCTACTCTGATTTAATTCTGCTTTAAAATACTCAGGATTGGTTTTGATACCTAAGCAAATCATAAAAATCTCTGCCATTGTTTTAAGAGACCAAAAGCATGAATTAATCTATTATCAAAGTATATAGTATCCAAGGTAATCATTGTAAGACTTTTCTGCTTCAAGAGGGTGAAGAGATGAAAAATTAAACTTAAATGATGTATAGTGTTCACACAGTCAGAGGTATAGTGTTGACACAGTCAGAGGAGAATCTATTTTCTGTGTTGCTCATTCTTTGAAAAGGGGTTAAAATTAGCTTTATACACATAGCTTCTGTGTGAAGATGATTGGTTAATGCTTTGTGGCTTGGTATTGCACTTCAGATTTCTGCATGTTAAGATTGAGTCCGACCGGACGCAGTGGCTCACGATTGTAATCCCAGCACTTTGGGAGGCCGAGGTGGGCGGATCACTAGGTCAGGAGATTGAGACCATCCTGGCTAACATGGTAAAACCCTGTCTCTACTAAAAATACAAAAAATTAGCTGTTTATGGTGGTGGGCGCCTGTGGTCCCAGCCACTCAGGAGGCTGAGGCAGGAGATGATGTGAACCCGGGAGGCGGAGGTTGCAGTGAGCCAAGATCGCACCACTGCACTCCAGCCTGGGCGACAGAGCGAGACTCAATCTCAAAAAAAAAAATTGAGTTCATCCACAAGATTTTACCACCAGCATCCCAGTGACTGTGGCAGCCATTGCTATTGTGGCGATCTCTTAAGTAGTTCAGTATTACAGTGTTTGAATCACAGAATCATTGACAGTCAAAGAAATAAGAACTATTAAAGTTGGCTATCCAACATTGCATTCTAAGATTGTGGAGATTAGGGATGGGGTTAAAATAGGAAGAAAAACAAGTCTTTAAAAGTTTCCCAGGTAAAATATTTACAAATTGAGTTTATTCTTTATTTTTAAAATGCTGAATGAGTTCTTTCTAAAAGTAGGTACATTGAAATGAATAGAGACAAGAACAATTTGTTAAAAGTTTTTTGTAAAGTATTTGGTTGCCCTGTGAAACAAAGAATCAGCAATGAGTGGTGTATTTGTTCACTATTTTATTGAACTCCTATAATATGCTGGACACAGCACAGAGCACTAGGAATACAAAGTCAAAATATAATGTGTGGCTCCTTATCTCAGGGAGTAACCAACAGGTAGACAATATACATGTAACACATATTACAGTAAATTTAGATACGTCTCCTGAAGGAGTTTATGTACCAGGTACAGTGAAGTCACAAAGAGAAGTATCTCCCTCAGTCAAGAGAAGGACTTCAGAAAAGAACACCAGATATTAGTTTATAACTGCAAGCTAGTCCTTTGTGGATGATATAAAAATAAATTTTTATAAAGTGGAAAAAAAAATTATTATTCCCAGTATCTGAAACCTCAAGGTAGAAGAATTCCTCCACTGACATACTTGAGGGCAAAAGACAAGAAGCATGTTTGTGCAAAAAGTTTCATGCTCATTATGAAAGGTGTACAATTTCCTTCTTCCATTATTTACTTTGTTTTGTTTGTGTGTGTTTTGTTTTGTTTTACACTTAGGTATCCTTTATGAAGCCATAGAGATAGGCCTGAGAGCTCTTTTGCATGTAGAGATGGGCCTGAGGAACTTAGGTACCTTTTTTTAAAAAAATAATGGTAGGGTTTCACTGTGTTGCCCAGGCTGGTCTCGAACTCTTGAGCTCAAGCAGTCTGCCTGCCTCAGCCTCCCAAAGTGCTGGGATTATAGGGATGAGCCACCGCACCCAGCCTTAGGTACCCTTTTGATTTGGTTCCAGAGAGGGCTCTTTTAGTTAGGAAGGCCATTAATGTTAGTGTTACTTCTTGGTAAATTGATCACTCCTTTGTTTCACTGAGCATCCAAATCATGCTGACAAAGTTAGTCTTTATTCAAGGATAAAACCTATGCTGGTTTTATCAGTTCCCCCCTTTCTTTCTCCCTCTAGCATTTCGTATTTCTTTGTTGTTGTTTCTGCTCCATGCCTGGGTATGCAGCTTCCCAAGAATCACATTAAAACTATTTCTGGTTGTTTTCTTTTCCGAACAAATGTGACATTTTCTTCATCTCCTTGATTTTGAGCTGAAGAAGGCAAACTGTCAAAAATAATGAGGCCAGATGGATTTGAACACTGAATAGCAGTCTGAAACAGTGCTCAGAGACTTTGCCTTTACAATCATTATTACAGAGGCAATGAGGGAAAGCTCCTTGGTGGCCATGAAATGAAGAGAAACTGAAACAGCTCTTAGGGGATTAGGGAAAGTCCCAGGCATAGGTAGCACTGACTTGTTCATGTATTTATTCACTCAGCATTGTGTGGAGTGCTAGATGCTGTGATGCAAAGAAAAATAAGTCATGGTCCTAACCTTTTTTGGAATACTGTTTGGAAGACAAACATGTAAACTGACTCCTGATGCTTCAGGGTTTCTATATAAGAACTATTATTCCTTCAGCAAATATTTATTCCTCCTCTATTATATTCCAGATTCTTTTCAAAAGACATCCTGTATGAATACTTTTAAACACACACTATCTCTAGCAAGACTACCAAAATATTACTTGGTGGACATCTATGGAATTTGCTTCCATAAATATTAGAATGGGCTTTCTATTACTGTTATTAGGTAAGAGTAGATGGTTCTTCAAGAAGGATGCAGGTTAAGGGAGACTGTTAGTTCTCACAAATTTTTAAAATATTCATCTCTTAACTTCTTTTTATTATTAACTTGTAATGTCAATGAAGAAGACATTTACAAAGTCTAACCCAAATCTGAATTATCAGAAATTCTAAATTAAAAATTTTAATGAGGTTTTATCACAGTATTTGTATTCTAAAGGAAAAGCTCAGTGACCAAATATGAAAGCAGTTTGAATAAACTCTTAAAAGTCACTCATTACAAAAGGAAAAAGGAGACTTCAATTTTCAGCTATTTCATGAATTGATAAAGGACATTTTGATGTGTGTATGTGTGTTTTATATGATATGCCAATAAAATTTAATATACAGGGCATTCCAGAATGGTTTCTGCCCCACTGATGGACTTCAAATATGTCTCATCAACTACAGTATTAAATGCCATAATTAAAGGTCTCCTTTCTGTGAGAAGCTCTTAGTCAAAGGAGAAAGTCTGCCTTCTGATAGGATACTGTGATATCTATGACCATCTATAAATTAATTTATTTTTTCAGGTACCCCAATTATGAATTTATTAGTGATAACTCTATTTCCTGGTCAGCTGGACTGCACAATCGATACACAGAAAATTCACTTCGTGGAGTGATCCTGGATATACATTTTCTCTCTCAGGCAGACTTCCTAGTGTGTACTTTTTCATCCCAGGTAAGTGTCAGTAGGGCATTTTAAAATAACCAATACTTTTTGGTTGTATAGGAGTCAGAAAAATTATTTGTGTGTCTATGTGTTGTTAATGTTCATTATTGTGACTCAGGTGCAATTTTTCTGATACTCAGTAATGATCCCTTTTGTGAAAGAATGGAAAGATCCCATAACATAGCCATTCACATGCACTAATATTTAGTTGTTTGCAAGTAATGGTTGACTACATCTCCACTGAAGCCAGTTACTGGAGTTGTTTAAAGTACTTGGCTTGTTCACAGCATTTAACAGAAACAACAAGTAATTAAGCTTACTTAATACTTTCTAATTTTGCATATAGTCAATATGTAACCAGAATCCATCCATTTCTACACATCATCGCACTGATACTGAGAGGCTTAAATGCCCTAAATTTTGCCTCAGTTGATTGCTTTATAGAAAAGAGAGTAAATGTAATTCCCTTTCAAGTTCTATTACATTTCTACCAAGTGAGAAACTGTATGTTAAATTTAAGCAATATAATATCACAATCTTTGTTTGAATTTAATTGTTGCAGATGATTATATTTTATGGGTTTGGTGTATGTGTTTTTATGAGGGTCCAGCCAGCTTTGTATGCCCTGTGGAATATCAGGATAACAATATTTATTGTGGATTTTATTCTGTTCTCTCGTTTATGCACATATTATTGGTTAGTTCATTCAACCAGCTGTTAAATGCACTCAAAATTATACTAGGTGCAGAGGAGATTTCAAAGGAGATTGAAGATACAGTTCTTGCCCTGGTCCAGAATCTAATAAGCAAAATACACACATGAAATAACTAGAGAATAATTACCAGAACATATAAATTGGTATAAGATAAATGTATGCTTAAATGCTGAGAAGAAGCGGAGAAAAGAAAATGTGAAAAAAAGGAAAGCCACATCATTTTTACAAGAGTATACTTCGGAGAGTAAAAGGAAATGGAGACTTTCTTATTATATGACAATACACATTGTCATGATGGGATGGCGATATGATTTTTGGAAAGATACCTTGCCAGGCAAAGGTTACAGATTCCTTTAATATGGAATAAGAATACAACTTACTACCCAAAGATAGCTGCACAGAACACGTAGCAGCAATCTTAATCAGAAGGGAAAATGTCTTCAAGTTCCCATGAAGGCATCCACTATTTATGTTTCTCCCTAATTGGGGTGTGGATCCTATCTTTAAGAAACTCATTTCCATTCTTATTGCAAGAAAGGGGCAAGGTTTATAACTACTTGGTTCCTTGCAACTGTTTTTGAGAGTCTGACTATGCATCTGCCTGATCAACAGGTACATGTAACTGGTAACAACCTCCAAACATTCTTGATGCTTATTGTTACAATGAGTGAATCAAGAGTCACTTCCCCAGCTATGCCACCTTCTCTGTAGGCCTGGATTTTAGGCCTGCCTGAAGTCAACTCCTCTAGTCCAGGTTTCTCAACCAAAGCACTATTTTAGACCAGAGAATTCTTTGTTGTGAGGAGCCGTATTCTGCATGTAGGATATTTAGCAGCATCCCTGGCCAGTAAGACCCTCACTTAAAATTGTGACAACCAAAGATGTCTCCAGACATTGCCAGATGCCAGATGCCCCTGTGGAGCAAAATTGCCCTGGTTGAGAACTACAGTTCTAGTCACAAGATTCTAAAGTTAAATAAACATACACATGTCTAAATGTTTACCAACCTCACATGTAGGTAGGCACTGAGACTTACAGGGTTGTACTCATGTTTTGCTTTTCTTCTCCCAATCCTCCTTAGTAATACCATTAGGCTTATTCTGGAATAGAAAGAAAATTTTTTGCTTTACTATTTTTTTTTTCCTTTTTGAAGTTGTACTTTAGAATTTTGGATCCTCATAACTCCAATTTTGACCTACAAATCAGGATCTCTGTCACTTCATGATGGTAGAATTCTGTCTAGGCTTGAGGAGAATATTGTTCTATTACTTTGTTTGGTTTTATGCATAATGTCAACTTCAGTGTATTCAGAACTTGGGTCCAGAGAAGCAATTCATATGAAGAAAGAGTGGTGCTGAGAAGACTTTCTGTATCCAAAGGAATAAGGCTCATACTTATATTTCACATTGTTCCTAAAAACTCCTGGCAGTCAAAGTTTGCCCAAAATAATTTCACTCATTTGAACCTAAGCAAAATTAAAACAGTATTTCATAACCCAAAATAGACTTGAATACCTCAAAATATTTTATGTTAGGATTCACAATAAAAGTTTAACAGTAGAAATACCTTACATTTATATAGTGAGTAGCAGTTTGCCTAATGTGATTACCTCCTTATCATGTACCTTATTTGATGACTAACCGCTGTAGCATTTGAAATTGTAGAGTAATTCCATATTCAGTGATAAATCTTTGAGCTTACTTGCACCTCATTATTTTTCTCAAATATTTTTAGTAAAGAAGTATTTAGTAAAGTTTAATGTTTTTGTAGTGTGAATGAAATTGTTTGCAGGATTATTATGTAGATTCCTTTACATAAACCAAAATTGGAATTGTTTGAAAATGCCCTAGAAATATCTTGCCATCATTGCCAATAGAGCGTGAGAAAAAGTCACTGATGGGATAAAATGCCAAACCATTGACCACTGATCACAGAACAAGAAAGAGGCAACCTGTGCTGTAGAGTCAGGATATCTGTATTTGCATCCAACTTTGACCAATTACTGGCTGTGTGTCCTTGAACAAATTGCTTAGCCTATTTCTTAACTGGTTTATTTTTCTACATGTGAAAAAATAATAGTACCTATAGTATAGAGTCTTTTTGAGGATTAAGGAGTTATGAAAAGTAAAGCACTGCGAATAGTACCTAGCAATACAGTGTTAAACACATTAGCTGCTATTATTATATATATGAATAGTTATAGGAATATCTCTGCCTGTTAGAGACACTCTATAGTATTTATTTTGCAGCTCTTTTTCACATGGCTTCATTTCAGACTGTATGCGCTCACATTTTAGAAGGAGCATGAAACGAGCTAGTCAAGGCCTCCATTAGCTCTGCTTGTGGTTACGGGTAATGCTTAGGGTCCGTAAAGAAGAGGAACTGTTAACATTCAGCATGTACAATTTCTCTGGGCCAATGTACCACCTCAACTTCATTTTGTTTAGCTTATTGAAAGAGAATATTGCCATATGATGCGATTTTTCAGAAACAAAAGTTCTTCATTCCCAAAAGGTGAGTGAAGACTTAGTATTTGAAGTAAATGTGTGTGTGTTGACTTTAGTGAAATTAATCTTCAGACTTTCCTATATATGTCATAAGCATTCTAGAAAATGGAGGAAGACTAAAGCCATACATCCAGAAGAGTGACAGAAGATAAACACTGAGAATAAGTTCAGCCCAGAATAAAAACATGGATAACCAACTCTCAACTTTCTTAGATGATAATTTCATGTGCCAAGAGATGTTAGGAAGTGATCCAAGTTTAATATCTCCTTCATAATTCTTTGACAATCTTTAAGTTTTATTCATGTAAACTTTCTGTCTCCTATACACTATCCTTTCAGGAATTTTATACCATATAACAATAGTGAGAAAGAGTTGACCTGTTGACCATGAGCTATTGTAGACAATACTGCAGGAATGAAATGCCATGCTAGAAGGAAAAATACAAGGCTAGATGTTTGGAAAACTGCAGGCAAAAATGTCATGGGACCTTAATCGGGATTTCTCATAAATTTTTAGACCTATCTCCCTCAGTCTCAGGACTTCTCATCTTTCTTGGTTTTATATCCATAAGTGAGGTCTGGGAATTCTCTCTTCTTCAATGAAAAGGTTTTAAAAGCCAACACTGTGGCTCTGCTCTCTAATTTTGTTACTATTATTGCTGTTAACTTTCATCAGATCTGTTTCTCAAAGCCAAGTTTGTCCTAAAAGCCTCATAAATTGAATAGCACAGTCCTCAGGATTTAATATGAAAATTGGAGGCAATATTAGCATTTTTTTCAAGTACGTCAAGTGAATTTTGAAAGCTATGCAACTACATTCTAAAACGTTCTACCAAATACATTAATCCTATTCTGTGTTACTGGAAATCGCCTATGTGCAAAGCATCTCCTTTGTCACCTATTTTCTTATTTGAATCTTAAATCTAAAGCAAAGAATTTATAGTTGGAGAATAACAGCAGTTGACAGCCCAGTTGTAGATAGGCACAGTATCAGAAAGGTTTTCTGAAAATATTGCTTATCAGGTTCTGGGATCAATTTTTATTTTTCTGAAATCTGACTTAAAAAATGGTTGCAGATGCTCACTTTAAAGACTAACATTGTTAAAGACATTGTTTAAAGAGCAGTTAATGTTACTCTGTAGTTTCAGCCATTAAAAGTTATCATAATACAAAATCCTTTTTTTCCCCCTATGACACCTCCCTTTATGGCAGTTATTACAATACTCTCATGAGCCTCTCTTGGTCTAATTCCAAATCCGCACGCAATTCTACTCCCCTTATTACACTTTGAATCAGATTTTGGAAGCCCAGAGGGCAAAACCAAAAACTACGTTAACTATTCCAGACAGATGGCTCTGGACAGGAATTTCCATTGAGATGTGGCTCATGAAACAACAGTGGATACCTGTTGAGAGTACCATGGAGGAAAGCACAGGGTGAAATCCCAAGGTGTGAACTCTGTGATTACTTCCCAGAGCAGAAGACAAGAAAAGTATTTGCATCCACAGAGGCTCTATCTAGCTTACAATGCTGAGTGCTGTACAGTGCAGCTGTTACTGCATTAATCCTTCTGGTGTTTCTCACAACAAAGAAAAGACCTGGGTCTTATTCTCTTATTGTATAGTAAAACAAAGCAGATTACAGGAAAAGTGCACAGATCTCTCAGCCACTTCCAACTTCTCACACTAGGATATCCTCCTGCCCCTATCTATCTATTTTGACAAAAATAAGATCCCATCTACTCTGAGAAAGCTTTGGAGGCTTATGTAAACTCAGGCTACTTCTAAGGGATGAAATTCAGACTAATGGATTCCTCCCCCTTTTTAAAATTTTTTTTAATACAGTCATATCTGTTTTATCCTTTGGCAGGATTTTTGCTGTTACCCATTACTGTGTGCTTTACGATGTACTAAAAATGATACAGTGCCATGTCAACACAGAATAAAGTTAAACATACTACATGTAGCCAACCACTGCTTTGCAAACCATGGACTGCTCTCAGTCATGCCACCTGTCAAGCATCAAACCTGAGTATGGACGTCAGCTGCAAGCCTTCATTTACCTGCCATGTGATTTGAACTTTTAAACCACGTGGTAGGTAAGGAAAGAAGAGAGGAAGCATAGAGTGACTAAATGCGAACATTAACACTATAGTAATCTTTTTAGCCTTTTGCAGTAAATTGTCCCATGGTTGATATAGACAGTTTTAAAATTACTTCCTCTTAATGTTATATATGGATCTTAAGGGTTAAATATCACCCATGGACTTGTGTCTCCATTACTGGGCTGGTATTATGCCTGGAGCAATATTCATTCAACAGATACTTATTGAGCACGTACTTTGTGGCAGGCATTGTTCTAGGTGTTTATCCTAAGGGAATATATACTCAAGAGCCTGAAAGAGTTCTGACTGTGGCTCTGCCATTAACTAGTTCCTTTTTGGATTTTTATTTTTATTTTTTGAAATTTACTTAATCTTTCTGTGGCTTAGCTTCTTCATCTGTAAAATATGAATAATAATAGTACCTCACAGGTTTGTCATAATAGTTAAATGAGTTGAGACAAGGTGAGGGAAGAGCACACTATTATAACACTGCCTGGGACATAATCGGTGCTCATTAAGTTCAGCTGCTATCTTTAATGGTCATTCTTATGAGAAAAATAAAGGGCCACACCTGTGTAGCACTGGTATGCTTGCAGAGGCCTACAGTCACATTTGTCATTTTTATAATGGGCCACCTCAGTGTCTGAAATCTCTACTATTATTATAATAGTTATTTCTTTGGTTTAAGAAAACAGTTCTGTTATCCACCAAGGTTAACACATGAACAACTCTTGATAGCAAAACATACACTAATTATTAGGATTATCCCCAGAAGAAACAGGTCTCTAAGGGTGTGGGACAGGGTGCGATGTTGTTTTTATGAGAGTAAGACGTTTAAGAGTGGAGAGGAGGAAACACATCACGGTTCATTGTCACAGTAGAGATTGTGGTCATCCTAAGAGTAACACAAGGTCCTGCATTCCTGGCTAGGGATGACTGAAGAGTGGGTGAAGACACCCTGAAAAGAAGACTGTCAGGTTTACCCAAGACTGTCTTTGGTCTTATGCTATATCTTTCTGGTGTTACAATATGAACATGGAGAATAAGATTTACAAGAGAAAATATATATAGCAGTTTCAAGCATATGCAGACTGCCTGGGTTCCAACCTGAATTTACCACTTATTAGTATAACCTTGAGCAATGCCTTAACTTCCCTTTGACATTTGTAAAACAAACATAATGATAGAATTTTATGGGGATGCTGAAAGGAATCTAATTACATTAGATAATGTCTAAAAACAATGTCTGACAGTTAGCAAAAGCTCAGTAAATATTAGCCTCTGTCATTGTTATTGTAGTTTGCTATTATTGGAGCTGCTTTAATTATTTAGTTTCTTCTTTTCCTGAGTCCCACTTAATTTTGCTTGCCTTCTATGAGCCTTTGGCTGAATTTGAAATTCAAAAGTTCCAAATCTTTTTGATCCCTATTTTATTATAGTCTCGGTATTCTACCAATGATCTCAATTGTAAAATGACATTGCCAATATAATCGTTGTTGAACTAATAAATCTGAAAGCAAGGTTTCTATTATTTTGGTTCTATATCTAGTTGAAATTCTATCACTAAAATTTGCATAAATCACTTAATCTCCTTGTGTTTTAGTTGCCTATCTGCAAAATTAAAAATATTGGGGCAAATGTAGTTTCATTTGCAAATTATATATAGCATTTGAGAATTGCCCCTCAAGTTTTCTGAAATTCAGATTCTCTAAGTTGAGGTGATGATTAACCTAGTCAGATTTTATTTGATAAGAGTTAAGAATAGGCATCTCCATTTGTATTAGTCTGTTTTCGCATTGCTAAAAAGAAATACCTGAGACTGGGCAATTTATAAAGAAAAGAGGTTTAACTGGCTCATGGTTCTGCAGGCTATACAGGAAGCATGATGCTGGGGAGGTCTCAGGCAACTTACAATCATGGCAGAAGGCAAACGGGGAGCCAGCACTTCACATGACTGGAGCAGGAGGAAGAGAATTGGGAGGTGCCACATATTTTTAAACAATCAGATCTCACGAGAACTCACTACTGTGACCACAGCATCAAGGGGTGATGGTTTTAACCATGAGAAACCGCCCCCATGATCCAATCACCTCCCACCAGGCCCCATCTCCAACATTGGGGATTACAGTTCACCATGAGATTTGGGCAGGTAACACAAATCTAAACCATATCACCATTCAAGTTTTTAATCTTCATAAATGCCAAGGTTTTAAAAGACTGCCGGGTAGTCCTAAATTGCTCCACTGAGCAGATAAGCAATTACTATGAGTAGCGTCATTTTAAATACATGCAAAACTATTGGTATAGTGACAATAAAGCATTAACTAAGATTACCATAACTGGAGATTTAGGAAAATTTCATCTGAGTTGCATTGTTCTCTTTTCACAATGTATAAATTGCTTAAATTGGGTGATAGTTTAGTTTAACTTTATTACTAAGCATTAACCTCAAGGATTGAAGCTCAGATTGTGGAATTTCACCTGCTATCCAGTGAGCAGAGAGGGTATTCTTTGGACATAGGGACCTTTTAAGTAGCCTTAAAACTATAGTAATCAGGGTGATGCATTTCCTCAAAGGCTTGCCCAGTTTATGTCATCCAAGCATGCCACTCTCTACACAGCACACTTAAAACTTTTTAGAACAGAAATTGCCGATGTGTTTTAGCTCACTTGCCAGTGCTTGTTGATTGTCAGTAATTACATGAATCTCTCTTGAAAACAGTTCTGGGAGCGGGGAGGGATAGCATTTGGAGATATACCTAATGTTAAATGACGAGTTACTGGGTGCAGCACACCAACATGGCACATGTATACATATGTAACTAACCTGCACGTTGTGCACGTGTACCCTAAAACTTAAAGTATAATTTAAAAAAAAAGAAAACAGTTCTGACACCAAGTTATAAATTAGCAGATGAGAATGTGTGATTGATTAACAGTGTATGAAGGAAAGGGACCATCAGCATTTATTTGTGTTAAGTTTTTTTATCCTAATCCTAAACTTCAAATTCTTTAAGGGCACAAACTATGTCTTACTCATTTTGGTATCATGAGTGCCTAGCTTGGACCACTGTGTATGTAGCTCTTAATAAATGTTTGTTAAAATTAACTAATTCATATTCTTAAATTCTTTTGTACTATATAGAGATAGAGAGATTTTAATTGTAATAATCTTTCGTGAGTTTTTCTTCTTTATTTGAAAAAGGATCCAGACACAGAGATGAAGAATGACTTGTACCATCTTCTGAGAACAAATGGACTGAAAGCTTGTGACTAGAATCCACTACTTTTCAACCTCTTACTCCTAGAGCCCATCCTTTTGGCCAAGGGCTTTTAGATTGCTGTGAAGGAGAGTGTTTATATACTAACAATTTCTTTTAAATTCTTTCCCAAGGTCTGTCGAGTTGCTTATGAAATTATGCAAACACTACATCCTGATGCCTCTGCAAACTTCCATTCTTTAGATGACATCTACTATTTTGGGGGCCAGAATGCCCACAATCAAATTGCCATTTATGCTCACCAACCCCGAACTGCAGATGAAATTCCCATGGAACCTGGAGATATCATTGGTGTGGCTGGAAATCATTGGGATGGCTATTCTAAAGGTGTCAACAGGAAATTGGGAAGGACGGGCCTATATCCCTCCTACAAAGTTCGAGAGAAGATAGAAACGGTCAAGTACCCCACATATCCTGAGGCTGAGAAATAAAGCTCAGATGGAAGAGATAAACGACCAAACTCAGTTCGACCAAACTCAGTTCAAACCATTTCAGCCAAACTGTAGATGAAGAGGGCTCTGATCTAACAAAATAAGGTTATATGAGTAGATACTCTCAGCACCAAGAGCAGCTGGGAACTGACATAGGCTTCAATTGGTGGAATTCCTCTTTAACAAGGGCTGCAATGCCCTCATACCCATGCACAGTACAATAATGTACTCACATATAACATGCAAACAGGTTGTTTTCTACTTTGCCCCTTTCAGTATGTCCCCATAAGACAAACACTGCCATATTGTGTAATTTAAGTGACACAGACATTTTGTGTGAGACTTAAAACATGGTGCCTATATCTGAGAGACCTGTGTGAACTATTGAGAAGATCGGAACAGCTCCTTACTCTGAGGAAGTTGATTCTTATTTGATGGTGGTATTGTGACCACTGAATTCACTCCAGTCAACAGATTCAGAATGAGAATGGACGTTTGGTTTTTTTTTGTTTTTGTTTTTGTTTTTTCCTTTATAAGGTTGTCTGTTTTTTTTTTTTTAAATAATTGCATCAGTTCATTGACCTCATCATTAATAAGTGAAGAATACATCAGAAAATAAAATATTCACTCTCCATTAGAAAATTTTGTAAAACAATGCCATGAACAAATTCTTTAGTACTCAATGTTTCTGGACATTCTCTTTGATAACAAAAAATAAATTTTAAAAAGGAATTTTGTAAAGTTTCTAGAATTTTATATCATTGGATGATATGTTGATCAGCCTTATGTGGAAGAACTGTGATAAAAAGAGGAGCTTTTTAGTTTTTCAGCTTATTTACTTTGTTTTTTTTCCTGTTTCTGATATAGTAACTAATTCTTAACTCAGAGACATTGGTCCATTTTAATACTGAAAACCAATTTTCATTGGTACACATTACAAAATTGCTAAGAACACTGTTTGGGAGCTTTCATTCTCATATTTTGGACATTGTTTTAATTGAGTGAAATAATCATAACTCCTTGCTCCCAGAGAAGCTATCACCTCCATTTCTAAAACCATTTCAGGTTTGTTTGGTAGTCTTTCTTAATGTATTTATTATCGCTTTTTGTGAGTAGGGTCCTGTTTTATCCAGGAACCAATTTCTGCCCTAGCCTATCATGCCCTGCTTTTGAGAGTACCAGGTATCTTTGGGATTGGGAAGCTGGCTGTTTCAGAAGTATATGTCTCATAGTGTGCAGAACTTGGTGACCAAGTGAGAAGCGGGACCAATGGGAGACTCACAATGGACTGAGTCTTGGGATTATCTTTTCCAAATTCTTCCATGTTAGAATCACTTCAGAAAATAAGACTTTGATGCTTTGTCTCTGAGCATCATTTTTCTCCTCATAAAAACACTTCCTTATTGTATGTAGCCTGCCTCCTACAGAGGCCTGGTAGGTGTTACTGCATTCTAAAAGAAAAATGTCATCTCTGTAGGAGCGACTATCAGGCCTAGTGTGAAATATTAGGGATCCTAGGCAGAAGAGCTATTAGTCCTGGCCTTCATATCTTCACCAAATGAAAATACTGTATATAAAATTTCACCACCAAACTTAACTAAATTCTTTTTCTCAAGTCAAGCCTCCCAAAGAAAAAAGAAATTAACTTCCTACAGTGTCAGCAAGCAATTTTCCATTTAGTTTTGGTACAAATAAAAGTCATTTGAAACAATCTCCAACTGAGCGGAGGTAATTTTGATTATGAGTTATTTTGCAACTCGCATCTCACATGTCATTGGAACATCAGTAACTGTGGATCTGATTTGTGCCCTTATAGAAGATCCAAAGGTAAATTAAGTTAGTCTCTTTTCCTTCTAAATTGACCGAGTTCCAGGGGTGAAAGGACCAAAGAACAGAGATACGAAGGAAATAAATTAAGGAGTATTTCCCAAAGGGAGTCTTCAACTGAAGAGTTAATTTTTGACATTTTATCATTTGGTTCTAGAATTTCTCCCTAATTCTTTATATTTCTCTACTGAGATTTTTTTATTCACTACATGCATGTTTTCATTGAACATAACTATGTAGTGAATAAAACTATGAACCTTGAACATAACAGATGAACATAACTATGAACATAACCGAACAAAACATTGAACATAACTATATAGTGAATAAAAAAATTATTTGTTCTCAGTAGAGAACACATAAATAAAAAAATTATGTGTTCTCAGTAGAGAACACATAACTATGTTCAATGAGTTTAAATTATGCTTTAAAATTCTTTTCTGGTAAATTTGACATCTGGATAATCTTAGAATTGGTCTCCATTGTTCCTCTTTACAGAATGGTCAGATTTTGGGGGGAGGTCCCTCATATATTGAGTGATTTAGATTGTGTCCTGAACATTGTAATGTTTATGTTGTAGATTCTGTTATATTGCTCTGAAAAGTGCTGTGATATATACATATACACACATAAATATACATATACACAAAAATATATATATACAACATTTGTGTATTACATTTGTGTGTATATATAGACACACAAATATATATATACAAATATATACACACACAAATATATATATATTGTGTATGTGTGTGTGTATATATATATATTGCTTGTGTTAGCAGGCATTTAACTTTATTGGACTCAAACTGTAAACTCTCTTGGGCAGCAGCTGAAAATCTCAATTCAGTTAGCTGGAGTCTATGCTGCACATAGTTCAGGGCTTAGCCAGAGAGATGGATAGAATTTATGCACAGAATTTGTGGTGCTTTTTCTTTGGCTCTCTTTCTTCTGAGATTTCCCCCCTCATTTTCCAGCAGCTGTGGTTGCTCTGATTCTTAGACCAGAAAAACTGCAGTTTTCTTTCAGCCCAAAAGCTGTACAATGGGAAACTCACCTTGTGCCATTCCCTTCTTTAAAATTTCAATCTCTTTTCAGAACTTGCCTGTTTTTATTGTCTCCTACCCTCATGTATTTTTTGTATTTTTTTGAGAGTTTATGGTTGTTATTCGTTGGAATATTGGTTCAGTGGGTGCTTACTCCACCATTAACTTAAAATGAAAAAACAGCAGGGGAGAGGACAGGTTTAGTCTTGTGAAACCCCTGTTGAGACTTTGGCCTCAATAGCCAAGTAGCCAGTAGCCTTACGTAAGAAGATGAAGAAGTAACCAAACTGTTAAACCTGCTCTTGTGAAGGGCTAATGAATACTGTTGACCACATCTTTCTAAATCGCCTTTGTAATCATCACATACATGATGGTGATTCATTCAATACATGTTGCCGTGTTGAGAAGGCTGACATTTTTCTTACCACTATTGTAATTTCTCCATAAAGCCCTGGTACTTAAAAAATCCTGCATGATTTTGAATTGAGTGGCCAGTGCTAGGTTAGGATTTGGGTCTTTTCCTTGTTGAAAGACCTATTTCTGAGAGACTTGCCTGGAATTAAATTATTATCGTGGGCTCATTGAATGTGGGTAACAAAATCCTGCTTATTAATGACAAAGCAATTACGAAAGATCTCACCAAGGCTTTCCTAGTTCTTCCACTCAAGTCTGATTTAGTGCTCAGCTGGGCGCTTAACGAATTCATGCCTGTTGTGAAAGCCCTAATCCAGGATTTCATTGTACCTAAATGAGTAAGAGACTAGTTCCTTTTCTGTTCAAGCTTTAGGTTTTTGTTGTTGTTGTTATATAGAGGCAATCCTGTTTACTGGGTTCCCTCTTTGTAAAGTTGAGAAGATGAACAGCCCCAGCTTCTAAGGGAGTTGAGAGTTAAAAGAGAAAAAAAAGCACATTTTAAAAGCTACCTCATACAATGATTATTGTCATTATTATTTGGTTCTGAGAGGATACAGTCACTGTGTATTCGGTGAGCAGGAAAAGTGTTGGGGTCTAAACGGTGCATCTAGAAGAGTCTCTTCTGCCTCAGTGAGAGCAAATCTCTCAGGGGAAAAAGACAAGTCTCCTTTGGCCATAGCCAATTGCCCGATACTTCATTTATGCTCTCAGGAGACTGTGCATTAGGTTCCATAGACCTGCACAGAATAGACATGTGGCTTGAGGATTGGTGAAATTGACAACTTGGCTACAATACCCTAATTTATGTCAGATACAGACTGTATGGAATTTTTAAAGTGTGCTGCTCAGAAAGGAGCACAAAAAATTTGCCTCTATACTTACTGGTTCCTAGCACCAGTCTCTCTCATGGACACATGGAAGAGCTGTTCCAGGATCACAGGCCTTGGAAAGTTTGGGCTTTGAGTTCCTGGCTAGTCTTACCTCCCTATTAATTTGCATAAGAATTTCTGGCCCAGTAAGGAGATAGAACATAGTGAGTGCAGGGACAGAAGACCTAGTTTTCAGTTTTGTTTTTCCTCCTCATAGTGCCTACAAGCACGTAATATCCCTGTATTTCGGGTTCTTTAGGGAAAAAGCAACAGTTCTCATTGAAGATCACTGACTGAAATTCAGAATATCTGGCTTCTGATTTTGATATTGTCATTAAATGGGGACAGGCCAAACGGTTTTCTCAGAACTTTGTTTTCTTCATAAGTGAAATGAATTGGTTGGATTTATTCAGGGTTTGCAAATTTGGTTGACTGGTTCAGTTTCACATGTCTCAAGGAAGTAGCTTCTACTCAGCCTCAGCTGATTGTTGTTCTAAGGACATAATGTGGACAGATATTTCTGTTTTTCCAGACAAGCAAAATGTGGATCTTTCTGTGCAAGATCTTCAGATTTTGAAGTATCAGCAACTAATTAAAAAATATGTAAAACACTAAGGAGTCCAAATAAATATCTGTGGCTCCTTTGGGCCCATGGCCCATTAGTTTATAACCTCTGGACTAGATTGGGAAAGCTCTTTTCTAACTTCAAGATTATATCTCTAGCTAAAAGTAGATCTACCATTCGATCCAGCAATCCCACTACTGGGTATCTGCCCAAAGGAAAAGAAGTCATTATATGAAAAACACACTTGTACACGTACGTTTATAGCAGTTCACAATTGCAAAGATGTGGAACCAACTTAAGTGCCCATCGACTAATGAGTGGATAAAGAAATTGTGGTATGTATACACCATGGAATATTACTTAGCCATTAAAAAGAACAAAATAATGTCTTTTGCAGCAACTTGGATGGAGCTGGAGGCCATTATTCTAAGTGAAGTAACACAGGAGTGGAAAACCAAAAACGATATAGTCTCACTTAATAGTGGGAGCTAAGTTATTCCCCTACATTGAAAGTTATTCCCCTACGGGGAATAACTTTCATCTCCTGATTCTTCAAGTTGTCGATTAGTATGGAAGGGCATACAGAGTGATATAATGGACTTTAGAGACTCAGAAAGAGGAGGGTGGGAGGGGAGTTGGGATAAAAAACTGCATATTAGGTACAATGTACACTACTTTGGTGATGAATCCACTAAAATCTCAGAATTCACCACTATATAATTCATCCATGTAACAATAAACCACTGGACCCTAAAAGCTATTGAGATAAAAATTAAAGCAAATTGATATGTGCGGTAAATATAAATTATGCATCAGGTTGGTTAGTATAAAAGTATAAAGAAAAAATGTAAAGTATATTTTGGGTACATTGGGTTAAATAACATTATTAAAATTACCCATTAAAATTTTTTTTAAATAAAACTAAGATTATATCTCTGGAAAGGATTGGTAAGAGAGTAACAGCTGCATAATGCTTTCAAGTTCAGATGCTGCACGTGTCCCAATTCCTCAGAAATACCTGCTTAGCTGGCTGTCATCCTGGGCTCAGAATAGCCCATTCGTAGCATATTCATAGCATATTCATGACAATATGCTATGAAGCTCGTAGGCTGGGCCCCTCAGACTTGGCCTTGAAGACCTCAAGTATGTAACAAGGGTTAGATAACTTCTAAGTTCTCTTCCAGCCCTAAATTTCTAAGAAGGTCATGGTAGAGCCTGAGATTGTAACAAGGTCATATGTGGTACCAGGGTGCACCTGCCTGGGTTAGGAACCTGGGTGGCTGGATCTGGTTGCAAGAGGAACAAGGGTCATTTTGTTAGAGCAGCTGACTATGTCTTTGCCTAGACCTCTGTTAAAATAGAGTAACTTAATTCCTGACTTAATTAACAGGCTGTTCAAACTCACCTGTTTATATTTAGAAACTCCTTTTGTTGTTGTTTTCTTTCCCACCTTTTGTTTCCTGGTAAAGTTTCATTCATAGAATCACAGCTTTGTTTCAGCTAAACTAAGAGAATAGGGATTTGTGGGCATAAAAGCCCAGAGAAATGAGGTGTCAGTGTCTCCTTGGAGGCCAAAGAGTGGAGATGATAACCCACTCTGGCTCAGGTCGGACTTCCCATACCGTTCAGGAAATCAAAAGAAGTGTGAATGAGTACCCACCATGATGAGTCCCATCTAGTCTATTTCATTATTTTTTAAGTGATATTCAAAAACACTGGAATTTGTTCGCAAACATACTGCACAATTGATTGCCACATAGTGGCAGGTCACACCACCAAGAATGAGAACATCTTACAGGTAAAGTTTAAAGAACAAGGGGTTTGAAATCGGCTCTAATTTCAAGTTCTGGCTTCACACCTTTTGAGCATCAACAGGTTCTAACAAGTTATGCTCTTTCCAGAAACTCCTGTTGGTAATTCAGATGACCAGAATTCTCTAAGTCAGTCATTGGGAAGCTGTGCCCACTGCTTGTTTTTGTAAGTTTTATTGAAACATAACCACACCCATTCACTTATATATTGACTGTGGCCACTTTGGGGGCTACAACAGCACACTTGAGTAGTTACCACAAAGCCTAAATGTATGGCCTACAAAGCCTAAAATATTTACTATCTGGCCTTTTGCAAAAGATGTTTAGTGACCCCTGCTATAAGTAGTCCTGTCTTTTAGATTCAAATTGATAATCCAAAAAGGCCCAACGTCACAAAACACTGACAGTCATCAGAGAAAAATTTGATAGTGGTGGTAGTATATTAGGGCCTCTGCTAATCTGTATGGTGCGTTTGTGAAAATTGGATAAAGATGCTCCTAAGACAGTTGTTGTAATCTATTGATTTTTAACAAAATCAATAAAACTTACTGCCATCCACCAGAAAATTGCTCAATAAATATACAAACCATCAACATCTACAATATGAATTGCACTCCCTGTGCAACCACATGTAGGAGTTTCACTACTGTAGTGTGATCTGGTAAAAAGAACACTAATTTTTTTAGACTTAAGTTCTGCTTCCGGCTCTGAAACTGACCTGCTGATACCTTGAGCAAACTACATAATGTGCCTAGGCCTCAGTTTTTCTTACCTTTAAAATGGAGGTAGCTTCTAGTTGTTGTTTTGGGAAATAACAGGCATAAAATTGCTTTGTAAAGTCTATCAGCTCTGCAAAAGAAATCTCCAATCATGTTTTGGAAAATTTCTGTAGTTCTGGAACTATAATAGGTCCTGAAGAGAATGAAATCAGTTTAAGGAGCTTACAGTCTAACTAGAAAGTTGTGCACATATGAACTGCACTAGAAAGTTAGAATCTAACATAAAAAGTTACACACATTTTAACTAATTGGAGCACTAGTCATACTGCTTCGCACTTACTGACCTACTTTGTGTCATACCTACTAAGCAATTAACAGGTGCTATCTCATGTATAATCTTCACACCAACCCTATCAGGTAGATATTATCCCCATCTTACAGATATGGAAAAAATAATAGCTGGCATTTATTCATTTACTATGTTCCAGACACTATTCTAAAGTTATTTACATATTTTAATTCATTTCATCTTCACAATACCCTATGAGATATGTACTATTATTCTCATTTTTCAGATGAGGAAATTTGTTCACAGAATTTAAATAAGTGCTTTCCCAACTTTTTTACATAGAAAATTCTATTTATTTGGCATTCTGGGATAAATGAGGGGATTTGGGAAATAGAGCTCAGTGAAAAATTCAGTACACCTCTATTGATAATTTGAGACGATTTAGTAGAGCATCAGGAAAGGTGTATGTGATGTGGTCACCTCAGGTTGCTCTCTGCCAATGGGTACTAAGTGTAAAGTATACAAAATAACAGTATATTCAAGCCTCAGGGAGTCACACAAATAGTGTTTCAATGTAATCTCAACCAGTGTAATGTTGAAGAGTTATGACAATTGCTTTAAATATTGTATCATTATAAAAAATTTACAACCAACTGCATTTTATGGTACACCTTCAACCTATTTGTTATTGGGAAGCTATGGGTTAAATTACAAGGCAAATTCAGGACTATGTGTCTCTGAAGTCTGTTCTTCCAGCCTGTAAACAGTCTTGCCCTTCTGCAGTGAAAAGCCAAACTGCATGACCCAGACTCCATTTATCCTTACAGTACTGATTCTTTGAAGTTTGATCATCCAGACTCACTTTAAGGGTAACTTTTTTGTTAACCATGGTCTTTAATCTTGTCCCCTTACCCCATTCTCAATCAGTTTTGAATCTAGCATCTCATACTTCTTTCTACTCACTCTCTACCCATATCCACAACAGGAAATAGGTGGGCAGGTGGGCCAAGTGAAAATTCTTTGAATTGATAGCAGACTGCCCCTGGGCTCTGGAGTCGTCTGCTTGGTCACACTCTCCCTGTGGACTTCTGCTTATCTGCATCCACTGGAAGGTGAGCCCTGAAAGAGTGTCTATTCCCAGCTCAGCCAGTTGTGTTTACACAGAGACACTAAATTATAGTAAGTGGCTACTTAAGCTATCATTTTCCCAGCCCCTAAGTGCAGGAGGAAATCCATGTGTGATTCTATGCACCTTCTGTGCTTAACAAGATACATCTCAGAGCAGAAACAGTTTCCCTGTCTGTGCTTCAGAGAACCCACTGTCTCATGCAGGTTAATATTCTGTGGCTGAATTTGACACTGGAATTATTGATGTACATGAGAGCACAGTGTTCTAATATGAAGTCTGGTATTGCTTGTGTTTTACCCAATTATGGCTTGTCTAATTCCAAGCCCACTTGCATCTGAATTTCACTCCAGGCTTCTGCAGGGTAGAGAATGCTGAAGGAAGTAGAAGGAATACACAGATGGTATTTTTTTCATTGCTTTGTCTGGCTAGCTGAATGGCTGGTGTGCCGGTGGTGATATGTGGCAGGACATCTGGGGCAAGGTTAGTGACCCATTAAGGTGTCCTGAGCTCTGATTAGAGAGAACTTGGAGCCAGCAGAGCTGTCAACAATCAGTTTCTTTTTGATTAAGATGCTGCCTCTTAACCCCCTGGAGGCCATTTTACCCACCTTCAGGAAAAGATAGAATTAAAGCCTTAGGTCATCGCTTAGTAGAAGCCCCAGGAGCTGACTAGACCAGAAAGGGCCTCTCAGCCTCTCTCAGCAGCTGTTCCATTATCAGGTTCCTCTACTGACAGGTAAGCTCATCCTCTGTCATACAGAGCTCCTAAGCTAAAATGGCTCTCCCAGGAGCCGCTACTCAAAGAAGAGTGAAGATACTTAAGAAAGCTCATTAGTGAATTAGGGAGGTCAGGAAAAATACGTTTATTTATTAGTATGGCCATTTTGGCTGTTGCAAGGATTGTGTGTGTGTGTGTGTGTGTGTGTGTGTGTGTGTGTGTAAGAAAAGAGTTCTCTTTTGTCGTTGAGATTCAGTCTGATGTATCTCAGTAAGCTTTAGTCTGTGAGCTCCTCAGCTGCATCTCCTTAAAGACAAAAAGCATACCTTATTGTATTCCTAGGGCATGCACAGTGACTGGCACATAGTAAGTGGTTGAGAATGTACTGTGCTGAAATAATTACAGATTTAAAGATGCAGTGTCTCAGATTTGCTTCAAAGTAATAGAGTGGGAGGAGGAATTGAGTGTAAGTATAGATGAAACAAGATGGATTATGAGATGACAACTTTTTAATCTGAGTGATATGTTGTAGGGATTTGTTACTATTTTTTCTAGTTTCGCGTTTGTTCAATGTTTTCCACAATAAAAAGTTTTTTTTATTAATATCTGTATTAAGTATAACAAAATGTTGAAGGATATGGCAAAGACTGGCCTAGTGCTCTCCAAACAGTCTCATCTTTTTGCTAAGCACATAGCTGGGTTGCATTTTGTAGTCAGGCCACGTAATTAAAGTTCTGGCCAATAGAATGTGGACAGAACTGATGTAAGCCTCTTCCAAGTGTGACCATTATTCTGAATGATCCTCTAAGCATTCTCTCTTCACTTGCCTCCGGTCTGGATGTAGGAAATCAGTGAAAAGCTTCAAGCTCCTAGGCAATGAAAGAGCCTAGATGCCTGAATGATTTCATGGAGCAGAACCATCACTCTCTTCTACTGATGAATCTATAATAGACTATAAGGTGACTGAAATAAGCCTTTGTTGTTGTTGTTGTTGTCGTAAGTACAGTATTGAATTGCCCATAATCTTGCAAACCAGGTTTTCAGCCTACATATTTCAGACATGGGAGGAGACTCTCAGTAGTTATTTGACGTTTTAGAGAATCCAGAGCTATAATTAAATACCTCTGAAGATGATGATAATAACAAAACTAGCATCTTTTGAATAGCCACTATATGTCAGGCACTGTTTTAAGTGCTTTCTATGTATTAACTAATTTCACTCTCACAACAACCCTATGAGGGAGAAACTAGTATTGTTCTAATTTTATAGAGGAAGAAACTGGGAGACTAAATAACTTGCCTAAGTCAAACAAATTGTAAGCGGCAAAGTCCAGATTCAGATCCAGGAAGTTTGCCTCCCAAGCTCTGCCTCCACCAGCCCACAATACTTCCTCAGTATTTTGGACTTTGCCATAGGAGTTGAGTCCTGGCATAAAGCAATATCTGAACACATAATGTCACCTACAGAAGCAGTGCTGGACTCCCATTCTAGGGAGGAGTACACAAAACCGGAAAAGGTCCAAAGTCTGCTGTTCCACTGCCCCCGTAAAGGGCATTCTAGTGAGCAGAGTTTAACAATGGTATGATCCGGGATAAAACTTAGTGTCAGTGCTTTGTCCACTCTGACTGATTCTTCTTTTATTCAATTTTCTTCCGCTCAACCTTGTCCTCTCCTGCATTTGCCACAGGGGGGAAATATTTGTCATCTGTTTTACCTGTATCTGCCACTCTTCTACACCCCCTTCCTCACCCACCCTTCATGACCCCCTCTCCCGGATCCCAACCCAGAGCCTATTTCTCTCCTTTTTCAAGCAACTCAGAGCACATATTAGGGCAGAGAGTCATATCAATGCTCATAAAACCTCCAAATGACAACAGTGATTAATTACTCCCTTGCTTTTTGACTTCACTTGCCTGCTGCAGACACTACCTATCTTCAACAGCCAAGAGAGCTGAGGAGGGGCCACCATCAAGCTTTTTGCCAGTGCACTACCTAGGACAGAATTTTTCAAACTGCATTCCATGGAGAGGCTACAAGAAGCATCTGAGAAGATGGGAGAAGATACATAAGCATTGAATGAATGGGGCTCTACATCCCCCAACTCCACTTCTGTCATGGCAGTTCCGCTTTATCTGCTTCACGTTAGATTGCATTTGGAGAATTGTTCCATCCTTGAAAGAGAGAGAGAAATAAACCCCTTATTTTGGAAGATCCTTTGGATCGCCAAACTTTTGGGCCCCTTAATTTCTTGAATCTCTCAGTTTCCACCATTCCTGCCCACCAGGAGCAGAGGTAGGAAAGACCAGCCCAGCAGACACTCCCAACTCCTAACAGCCCACTTTCTAGGTCCCAGAGCCAAGGAGAATTACAGCAAAACAGAACTCATGGATGGAGTAAGGGGCTGTGGGTTGTTGCTTCCCCCACAAGTCCTACAGTTCTGAATCTTACCTGTCCTTGCATAGAGTAGATTTTTAAATGAACATGGTATGACTGGATGGATGATCCAATCTCTATTACTTTAGATCATTCTGGGGGGAGTCGGGGGACGGGACTGGCCTTAGATCTCAGAATGGCCACAATATTCATTCTTCAATATGCAGAGAGGCAATTTGGCATAGACATTAAGAATATGAGATCTAGAATCAGACCCTTGCTTCAAATCCTGGCTCTGCCACTTCAAACTATGTGACCTTATTCTTGTAAATATGAATATGCTTGCAATGATAATGTTTCTGTCATGAGGATTAAATAAGTTAATACATGTAAAATACTTGGTTACTTGGTGCCTGGCATGTTAGTGTCAGTAAACATTAGCAAATGTTAGCCCTCATTATTGTTGTTATCCTGTTCAAACGCCTTCCTCTGACTCTTCCAAGCAGTATTCATTATTCTCCTCTGCACTTTTTAGCAGTTTGCTCAATAAAGCAGATTCTTTGAAATCAGGATACATAGATATCATAAATTCAGTCCTTACTCCCATCTTAGCACTTGTGGTTACATATCTGTCTCTCCCTCTTAACATCTGGCTCCTTGGGGAAATATTCCATATTTTATTCATCTTTCTATCCCAAGGACCTGGTATATTATAAGTGCTCACTGCAGTTTGATTGAATGAATGAGCAGCATTGGCATTTGTCTGGAGTTGGGAGACTCTTGACCATTTCCTCCTGGCCTTCCTATCTGCTTTGCATCCCAAAGCCTCAGCTCCTTTCTCTGCCCCAACATGAGGATGAGGTGAAGAGTCTGGGCTGGGTTCAGGGAATCTCTCCTAGGCTTGGCTGTGAGGCTATGGGAATTCAGGGCACACAGAAGAAAATAACATTTGCTGGGCTCTTTATCACACTTAATTCTCACAGCAGTTTAGTGGAGGTGTATTCTTGTTGGTCCCTTTTTTACACATGAAGAAACTGACTTTAACAATTTTCTCAAGGTCACATCTGCCTGAGGCAGAATTCAAACCTGAGTCTGCCTCCTCAGCTTGTGCTGTTTCCACTCGCTGGCTCCCACTGAAGCAAGCCAAGATCTGCACCCCATCCCACCTCCCTGTTCCACCCCACCTCTCTTCTCTCCTTGGTCTTATCTTTGTTCTTCCATATTAGCCTTCTAATATTATTTTCCTTCCTGAGTTGGCTTATTTATCACTTGGCCATGTCTTCTTATTAATATAACCAGAGCTTAAACATTATGCATCCCTACTGCCTCGTTTGCCAGCACGGTGCTGAGCACTTACGAGCTTTGCAATTAGACTGAGCTCAAAGGGGCCATAACATCTGCATCTTCATGGAGAAAGCTGCTTTCATAGGGAAATGGGGTGGAGAGGAAAGGATGCGAGATGGGCAGTACAAGACAGTGTGCGGCATATGCATGGTAAAGGTGGGACCGAGGTGGGGAGCAGAGTAAAAACACCACCAGGAGCTACTCCCTTGCTGCTCAGCCTTAATTCAACATTGCCCTGCTTGTGACTTGGAGCTATGAGCCTCCAGGAAAATCCTCGGGTTATTTCTAACAGAACCCTCTTCCATCTTATTCCTATGGCTAATATCAACAACAGCATCAATAGTAACCCTTCGCTTACTGAGCACCTACTATGTGCTTTACACACATTTAATCTCATTTAATCCATGCAACAATCCCATGAGCTAGATGCTAATATACTCCATTTTATAGATGAGGAAGCTATACTTCGGAGAGTTTAAGTAACTGTTCAAGCTCACACAACTAGTAAGTGACATAACAAAGAGAAATGGTAGAAAGGCCTGAAAAGGAAGAGGAGTGGAGTGAGGGGCAATTGACATCAGAGTAGGCCTCTTTAAGCTGCTCCTGTTTGAGCAGCTGCCCAAGTGAGCTGGCAGAGTATGGGAACAACTGAAAGCCCCCCTCCCAGCAGCTCACCTCATGGCCTACCTGGAAAAGAAGGATCCCTGGGCCCCAAAGGTTGACACTCTCATCTCTTCCAAGGAGACTTCCAAACTAGCAGAGGTTGTTCAGGGACCAGGGGCACTTTATCCTCAGGGAGAGGATAAAGACCATCATGCTTTATACTTCCTAGACCGAGACACTTTACCTTTCCAGTGGATACCACAAGAGCCCCTCTAAAACGATGTCTGCCCAGCTGATTGATTGTTCTCTCCCAAGACTGTTCTTTTTTATTGGCTTTCCTCCCTCTTTTCCTTCTTTAGCCTCTCATTTCAATCTCCTGGCTTCCTGGGCCCAAGTCTTTGACATCAATTTGGAGCCCCTCTAACAAGTGTTCCAAGACAGTTCCCTCTGAGTTGTGACGCAAGGCCAATTCTTAAGAAAACCAGGCTATCGGATTTTATTTGTTCATATTTTTTTTCGTTTTTAAATTTTAGCCTGTCTGAAATTTTGTCAGTTACCCTGGAGGTGGTCCCTCCTTCTAAGGGTCTCCCAGAACCCAAACACTGGTCTAATTCAGAGATTTGGGCTAAGCCATGTAGCTCAGGAAAGTCTATCCCAAGCATCTTGCGGAAGCAGCCCTCAATAAAAAAGTAAAAAGCATTGATAGAACAATTGGCCTTTTTTTTTCATGCTTAAAACCTTAATAGATTGATGTGGTTAAATAATGCAGAGCCAAGTATTAATAAGTCTGTAGGTGAGACAGGTTATGCTCAGTGGCTGAGAGCTTCCCCCACCGTTCCCCTCCTTTTCTTCTCTCTCTCCCTTGTTTCTCTTTCTTCCAATACAAACAAGTTGGTAATTGGCAATTCCCATTGCCAGTTTATATGCTCAGTGAGCAGCAAAGTAGTCCTCACTGGATTCTTTCTGTGATGTTACCAAGGAACACAGTGGTAGCTGGAAGGACCTTAGAGACTATTTATTCAGCAAATAGTGTGCACGTATTATTTTCCAGACACTGTTCTGAGTCTTAAAGCAGACCGAAAAAGTTTCTACCTTCATGGAGCTTATGATCAAGTAGGGAGACAGACAATGAATAAATCTATGAAATTTATAGTGTCTGAAACAATAAGAATTGCTAATGAGACAGAAGAGTATAAAGAGTGCTACCAAGGGTTAATATTTTAAATAGGGTGGTCAGAGAAGCCCTCACTTAGAAGGTGGCATGTTAGCAAAGAGCTGAAGGAGACGAGGGTGAGGAATATAGCTAACTAGGGGAAGAGCATTACATGCAGAGGGAACGGCAAACACAAAGGACCTGAGGCAGGAGCATGGCTGTTCGGAGAATAGCAAGGAGGCTGGCGTGACCAGAAAGGAGAGAAGCAGGAGACAAGGTGAGAGGTCATGAAGGTCTGGATAGTATAGAGCCTTGCAGACCATCATTAGGACTTAACCCAAATGAAATGAGAAGTTTTTGAATGGTTTGGAGCAATGGATTGACATAATCTGACTTATGTAATAAAAGTGATTATGCTGGTGACTGCCTTGAGAATAACTTGGAGGTAAACACAGGGGGACTAGTTAGGAGATACTGCACTCATCTGGAGGGGTGATAAAGCTTAGGTATTAAGAGCAGAGTCCCTGAAGCCAGACTGCCTGGATTCAAATCTCAGCCATGCCCTTACTAGCAGCATCACCTTGGGCAAACATCATAACCAGTCTCTCTGTGTCTGTTTCTTCTTCCGTTGAATGGAGAAAATAATTGTACCCACCTCATAGGGTTTTTGTAATGATTTAATGAGTTAATAAATGTGAAACACTTAGAACACAGAGTTGTGAGGAGTTGAAACACTTAGACTAGTACATAGCAAAGGCCGTTTGTGTGTTTGGTGTTATTATTATCGTTATTATTATTGTCTGAATAAGAGATGACAGTGAGTCAGGCCAGAGCAGTAACAGTGGGAGAAAAGTGGTCATATTTGAGGAATGTTTTGAAGGTAGAGCCAATAGGATTTGCTGACAGATTGGATGTGTGGAATGAAAAGAGAGGGGTGTAAATGCACCACGTTCATATTACAGTTGAGGAAACTGAGCACAGCTAAGGCCACCATTGTAACAAATAAGTCTTAAGGAGTACTTGTTGCTAAACGTGAACAGAAATCAAAATTAAAGAACAAGGCCACTCATGGTCTAACATACAAATCCCTATGTAATCCACTATTTTCATTTTAATGTATTCCCTTCAGTTCTTATCTTTATGCATGCATGATTTTTTAAAATCTACTTTATTTTTCAGCTTTATTGAGGTAGAATTAACGAATAAAAAATTGTATGTATTTAAGGCTGACTAATATTCCATTGTGTATGTATTTTTTATATATACCACATTTTCTTTTACCATTTACTTACGTTGATTCCATATCTTGGCTATTGTGAATAATGCTGCTGTGAATTTCTGCACAGCAAAGGAAACAATCAACAAAATGAACAAAATGAAAAGGCAACCTATGGAGTGGGAGAAAATATTTACAAACCATGAATCTGACAGAGAGCTAATATCCAAAATACATGAGAAACTCATATGACTCAATAGTCAAAAAACAAATAGCCTGATTTAAAAATGGACACAGGACGTTTTCCAAACAAGACATACAAATGGCCAACAGATATATGAAAAGGTGCTCAACATCACTAATCGTCGGGGAAATGCAAATCAAAACCACAATGAGATATCATCTCACACCTTTTAAGGGGACTGTGATCAAAAAAGTAAACCATAAGTGTTGGTGTGGATGTGGAGAAAAGGAAACCCTTGTACACTGGGAATGTAAATTGGTATAGCAATTATGGAAAACAGTATGGAGGTTCCTCAAAAAATTAAAAATAGAACCGCCATATGATCTAGCAATCCCATTTCTAGGTATATTTCCAAAGGAAATGAAATCAGTATCTTGAGATATCAGCATTCTTATGATCAATGCAGCATTATTCATATCATGCATGATTTGTAAGTAAATATAATTGCATCAACATAATGTTATATTCTACAAAATATAAATATGTGGCACTTCTTGACTCTAGCAAGGGCTCATTGGTTAAACGTTAAAGAAATTAATGTGATTAATACCATTTATACTCCAGGATATAAGCAGGGCACAGAATTCCCCATTTTGAGATGAAAAAGCATACAATCCTTTTATCAAGTGAGCCCATATAGATTGGCAAGTACATCACATCTTATTTCAAGGAGATCACAGTCTTATGGGGGCAGATCAAATCACTATAACTGAGGGTTATACTGGAGATATATATATATATATATGTACAAGTTACCTTGGAAGCACCATGGAACATACACTTAACTCTGCTTATAGAAATAGGGAGGCTTCCAAAGAGAAGAGACATCTAGACAGATGAAGCTTATTTTCCACACCTTTTATTTTATTTTATTTTATTTTTAAGTTCCAGGGTACATGTGCAGGATATGCAGGTTAGTTGAGTAGGTAAACGTGTGCCATAGTGGTTTGCTGTAGCTATCAACCCATCACTTAAATATTAAGCCTAGCGTGCATTAGCTATTTTTCCTGATACTCTCCCTCTCCCCACACCACTGCCCCACCAACAGGCCCCAGTGTATGTTGTTTCCCTCCCTGTGTCTGTGTGTTCTCATTGTTCAGCTCTTATAAGTAAGAACATGCAGTGTTTGTTTTTATGTTCCTGTGTTAGTTTGCTGAGGATAATGGCTTCCAGCTCCATCCATGTCCCTGCAAAGGACATGATCTCATTCCTTTTTATGGCTGCATAGTATTCCATGGTGTACATGTACCACATTTTCTTTATCCAGTCTATCACTATTGGGCATTTGGGTTGATTCCATGTCTTTGCTATTGTGAATAGTGCTACAATGAACATATGTGTGCATGTATCTTTATAATAGAATGATTGATATTCCTTTGGGTATATACCCAGTAATGGGATTGCTGGGTCAAATGGTATTTCTGGATCTAGGTCTCTGAGGAATCTCCACACTGTCTTCCACAGTAGTTGAACTAATTTACATTCCCAACAACAGTGTAAAAGCGTTCCTGTCTCTCCACAGCCTCTCCAGCATCTGTTGTTTCTTGACTTTTTAGTAATTGCCATTCTGATTGGCGTGAGATGGTATCTCATTGTGGTTTTGATTTGCATTTCTCTAATGATCAGTGATGTTGAGCTTTTTTTTTTTCATATGTTTGTTGGCCACATAAATGTCTCCTTTTGAGAAGTATCTGTTCATGTCCTTAGCGCACTTTTTAATGGGGTTGTTTTTTTTCTTGTAAACTTGTTTAAGTTCCTTATAGACTCTGGAAATTAGACCTTTGTCAGATGGATAGGTTGCAAAAATTTTCTCCCATTTTGTAAGTTGTCTCTTTGCTCTGATGACAGTTTCTTTTGCTGTGCAGAGCTTTTTAGTTTAACTAGATCCCATTGGTCAATTTTTGCTTTTGTTGCAATTGTTTTTGATATTTTCATCATTAAATCTTTGCCTGTGCCTATGTCCTCAGTGGTATTGCCTAGATTTTCTTCTAGGGTTTTTATAATTTTGGGTTTTACATTTAAGTCTTTAATCCATCTTGAGTTAATTTTTGTATAAGGTGTAAGAAAGGGGTCCAGTTTTTGTTTTCTGCATATGGCTAGCTAGTTCTCCCACCAACATTTATTAAATGGGGAATCCTTTCCCTATTGCTTGTTTTTGTCAGGTTTGTTGAAGATCAGATGGTTGTAGATGTGCGGTCTTATTTCTGAGTTCTCTATTCTGTTCCATTGGTCCATGTGTCTGTTTTTGTACCAGCACTAGCTGTTTTGTACCAGCACCATGATGTTTTGGCTGCTGTAGCCAAAACTACTACTACTGTAGCCAAATACTACTGTAGTTATAGTGTAGTTTGAAGTCAGATAGCATGATGCCTGCAGCTTTGTTGTTCTTCCTTAGGATTGTCTTGGCTCTATGGGCTCTTTTTTGGTTCCATGTGAAATTTAAAATAGCTTTTTCTAATTCTGTGAAGGATGTCAATAGTAGTTTGATGGGAATAGCATTGAATCTACAAATTACTTTGGGCAGTATGGCCATTTTCATGATATTGATTCTTCTATGCATGAGCAATTTTCCGTACCCTTTAGATAGGGCACAGATGAGACTTAGCTCAATTGGCTTTAACCACACTGGCCAATGTGTATTGCTGATTGTTCTGGCTGCTTTTCTTACTAGACTATGTGTGCATCTCTGATTCCAGCACTATCCAGATTCCTGACACATGGTATCTGCTCCTTTAATGTTTATTGAGTAAGTGCAGCATATCTGAAAAAAAGTGACCTGAACAGTGGCAGATGAAGAAACCACACAGCACACTGGCCTTGTAAATCATTTTTGGGGGTCAACAAATATTTTTACTGATTTTCAGAAAGACCATGTTTCTCATCTAAAATCTTGGTAATGGATGGTCAGAAAATGGAAGCCATTTTTGGTATTTCAAGTAGAAATAATTTAATATGGAGTCTGACTTAGACAAACATTGGATAAGCTGGGGGAGTGAAGGTCAGGAAGCCACTGCTAGGAGTTAAAAAATTGAAACATGCTGGGATCTCAAGCCACTTCAGTCTCAGCTGCTTGCACTACCAAAGCAGGTGATTTGCAGAATCTTACCCAAAAATCAATGCAAACCTCAGTTCTGCCATCTGCCTATATATTTGCCCCAGTTGCCACCAGAGAAATATGACATCTCTTCTGCCTTAAATCTCAAATGTGTGCTTCTTAATGGCAGAATATAACCCAGTACCATATAGGAAGAGAGATCCTCAGAAATGTAGTTCCAGACTTCTCTCCTGAAATGCAGAGATTTTAGGAGTGGGGTGGGGGGGTGATAATGCTAAATTAACAACAAATAGTCCAGCACAGATGACCTCCCCCAAGTCTCATCTGTGAGAAGAAAGGCTTGCACAGCTCTGGTAACACTGAGCTTTACTTACTCCACCTCTAGGAAGCTGTCATATTCACTTGAAACATCTTCCTGCAGGAGCAGTGCAACAAAACTTAGAACATTTCCATTCAACCACATCTTAAAAACCCACCATTTAGAAAGCAGGCCCAGGTAATGTGGGGTAGTGGAAAGAACTCCAGTTTTGGGGGCAGACATACTGAGTGCTAATCTCAGCTGTACTCCTTATTAGCCATGTGAACTTAAGCAGTTATTTAATCCTTCTGGGAAAAAGTGATTATAAAATAATCAGAGCTATATAAAATATGTATAAAAGAATGTTCATAACAGTATTTTAAAATACCAAGTTCATTTAAAAATTGTGATGCATCCATATGAAACAGTATCATGCACCCTCTTAAAATTACCTTGTGGAAGAATAGCGTTAACATGGGAAGATGTTCATGATATGGGGAGAAATGAGAAAAACAAGTTAAAAGACAGTATGAACACTGCAATTCAGTTTTTATAAAAACAACTATAAAACTATAAAAAGACTACACCAAAATGTTGACAATAGTTATTTCTGAGGGTAATGGGAATTAAAAGTGGTTTTTTGCAAATGTGTGTGATTTGCTGCATTATGTGTTACTTTTGTGAGTTTAAAAAAATTATATACAAATAAAAGCACCAGATAAGATTATTAAGAGAAGTTAACTAGACAACATATGTGAAGTACCTAATACACTTTCAATAAATGATAGTTCCTTTCCCCACTTAAAAATAATTTTACTTCATTTTATATTTTGAATACATAATAGTCACATTCAATTTTTTTTTGAGATGGAGTCTCGCTCTTGTCGCTCAGGCTGGAGTGCAGTGACACGATCTCGGCTCACTGCAACTTCCGCCTCCCGGGTTCAAGTGATTCTCCTGCCTTAGCCTCCCGAGTACCTGGGACTACAGGCACGTGCCACCATGCCCGGCTAATTTTTTGTATTTTTAGTAGAGACAGCGTTTCACTGTGTTAGCCAGGATGATCTGGATCTCCTGACCTCATGATCCGCCAGCCTCGGCCTCCGAAAGTGCTGGGATTACAGGCATGAGCCACCATGCCCAGCCACATTCAAAATTTTTTAAATATAAAAGTGAAAGTTCTCCCTCCTGCCTCAGACCTCCAGCCACTCACTTCATTTTCCCCCAGGCAACCAATGTTATTAGCTTCTTACATATCTTTTAGAGAAAATGTGTGTATATATAAGCAAACATATAGTTATGTATTCTTTTACTCCTTTTTTGCATAGATGGTAGTACAGCATATTATACTACCTTTTATGCCCCTTTGTATTTTTCTTTTATACTCCTTTTTTGATGATCTTTCTGTATTGGTATATACAGAATTAGAATAAATAGCTGAACCATCATTTACTTAACCAGCCCCCTATTAGTGGACATTTAAGCCCAGTCATAGTGAAGGTAGCCTCAGATACAAGGATGACTTGTACTTTAGGAATGACTTCTCTGTCCCTGATCTCTTCTGGACCTGCAATCATCACTCTGTCCATAGGCTCCAGTCATATCTAGGCCTCAGCTTCTGAGGCTGAGGGGCTCCAAGAGACCAAGGCTGAGCTCAAACCCATACCTATTTATTTTTACTAATTTTGTTGGCAGTGACTGGGTCTGCCATGGTTCCAAAGATATCCTTGTGAAAGCTCTAAGAGCTGATAAGCCGTGTGCCACGTGTTTAATGATGTTCCCTCTGTGAGGCTCTCTTTCTCTATCACTGTTCACTTCTGCACTGTTTTCTGCCCCCAGTCTTTTCTCTGGAGAAGTCAGTGCCCTGTGAATCCTCTCCTGCCTGAATCCTTTCCTCATCCTCTTTCCCATCTTGGAAGACCTGGAAGCATAAGGACCACGTTGTTGTCCTCTAATCTCACCTGGGTGACAAATGGAGTGTGGTGACAATGAGAAACCAGACCTGAAGGTGCAATGGTGACACGGATGGGGTGGTAGTTGGATCTTCTGGGTGCTGACAGATGATTAGGAATACGGATGTGGGGATTAGCTGAGGAGAGCTTACCCTACAGTAAGTCTTCTGGATGGAGAATCTCTTTGGTGGTAGTTAAGGGAAAGTAGTTAGGACCTAAGCCAATAAGAATGACTTAATTTCTATCCTTATATTAAGGCTGTAAAGAAAGACTCTTTTGAGTAATTGGTTAATTTCTTAATTAAACTGATATGGATTGAATACCTATTACATGCAAAGCATTCTATTGGATGGTTCTGCAGTCTCTGTTTTATCGTTTTACACATTGTGGTTTTGCCTCTCTTGCTGGGGTTACTATTTCATGCAGACCCTTTCATTGCTATTGCCACAAACTTTTGTGGTCTTTCAAGGTCTGTGAGTTTTTTTCCCTAGGGTTCAGCCTGTCAGCCAGAGAGCAAGTTCTTAAAAGTCACAGTTTAAATCAGGTAGTCACAGAAGTTGACATCTGATTAGGATGACACATAGTATGTACTTAATCAATGCTGTCTAACTTAAACCAATCAGGGTCAATGAAAGCCCTTCTGTAAAACCACAAAGCGTGCCATGTGCCCTTACTCACTGGAGATAATGGCATTGGGAACAATTATTAGCCTAATTTCTTTTTACATCAATGTAGATTTGATGTCTGGTAATATATGTGTTGTACCTTTAATGGCCTTTTAATGATGAAGAGGATCAAAAGCATTTTAGATGTGAACCTGCACCATTAGTCTCCATTTCAGAAATTCACAGTAATTACTGCAGCTGCTTCTCCAAGCCCTGCAAGAGCACTGAGTTCCTGTGAGTGTATCTGCACAGTTAATCACAATCAACACAGAACCAAGTCGATGTAGGTTCCAGGGGGTGGTTGCTGAAGGTGGAGAAGGACAGCGGGAGTGACATTGGAAAGGAGTGGAGGGCTGTGATTCAGGGCCTAGGGTGTCAAGATCTCTCAGAACAGGGGTCCTTTCAGCCCTGGACCTCTCCTCATAGAGAGTTCCAGATTTAGAGTGAAATATGAGTTGCTATAATACCCTGTTGGATTCTACAAGTCATATTGGAAAAAACTAAAGATTCATAATTCTGCATACTACCGTATCACGTTTACGAACATTTGGTAGGGGCAGGGAAGAGTTTGGGGCATGTGACACAGGGTACACAGCTAGGGTAAGTAAGTGAATCTGGATAGGCAGAGTTTAGGGAAGGGAGCACACAGGGAAAGACCCAAAGGACAATGATGCTTCCCAGGGAGGGGAGGTTAGATGGAATGGTTCAGTGTGCTGTTTATTCTTTGACTGTCCATCCCCAAGATTCATTGTCTGCCATTCTCTGTGCCACAGAGGCTGACCATTGTGGACTGCATCACCCAGGCTCTCTTACTCTGTGGCTTCCAGTTGGCTTTAACCATAGGGAGGCATTGGCAGGAGACTAGGAGAGAGAGGTCAGGGTATTTCTTCCTCCACTCCCTTTCTGCTTAAGTGTTGCAGTGCTGACAGTGAGTGTATCCCTCTACAGCCTTTGTTCCTATCAGAAGGCCCTTCTTCCATGGCTCCAGCTCTTACTGGGCTCTGATAGCATGGTTCCCTCTACTTGTCCCAAGACTAGCAGTGGTATAAACTTCCTGTTTTTCTAGTCCTTGGATGCCTCAACATCTTTAATAGGTTCCAACCCTAACCCTATTCACATGGCTGTAAATAGTACCTCCATTAAATTCAAAATCCCTGCTAGACATGCCTGCTGTTTCTGGGAGAACCCTGGTTGATACAATGGGTATATCAGGGACTGATGAATGTTTACCAACTCTAATTCCTTTTCCTGGACACACAGGAAGATTACATTTTCCATTCTCCCTTGCAGTAGGTTGAGGCTGTATTACTCAGTCATAGCTAATGAGATGATAACACATCCAAACCTGATCATGAAACCCCCTGTGCACTTGAGCCCACCCTCTTCCTCTTCCATGGTAACAGTGGAAGCCGTATGTTTAAGGTTGCAATATCTCCAGCTGGAAGAAGCTTGGATGCCTAAGTTGCTACTTGGAGGAGAATTGCCCAACTGTGTCCAACTATGATATGAGTGAAAAATGAGCCTTTATTGTGTTTGCCACTAAGATTCTGAGGGTGATTTGTTACAGCAATTAGGGTTAATTACCTTGACTAATACAGTGGAGGTGCTAAAGAAGAGGCCACCAAGAACAATGGAGCATCCAAGGCATAAACATAAGGAAGCACATAATCTAACTTGGGTGACACTGCAATGAGAATTAACAAAGAGTATAACGTTATTGCTTTGTGCAAAGAGCAGGGATTTGGATGTCAGAGTTGAGTTTAAATCCAGGCTTCACCACTTCTAGCTATGTGATCTTGAGCAATTACTTTATCTTTTTTAGTTTTCTCATGTAAAATGGGGAAAGTAATACCTATCTCACAAAATTCTTTTGTGGATAGATGATTTATTTATATAACATCATAACTGGTACTTGATGATATTTTCCCCATTTTCCTCTCAGCTGTGAATTCTAAACTCAGTGCCTCCGGTGACTGGTAAGTAATTTCAATTTTGGAGGGCATTTCGCCTCTTGAGTGGCATGTTCTAATTTCTAATGGCCAAGGACAATTCATATTGTCATAAGTATCCTGATGAATGAATTTGAATGTGACCAGGAGAGAGGGATTTCCTTTGGGGCTTGTACTTGGGCTTTCCCTCTTTCACTTCTCTGCCTTCTCAGGCACCATCTTGAAATTTGGAGGTCATCTAACACGTTTGTCAAGTCAAGCAAAATTAGGGCTTTAGAGTCCCAGTTCCATCCCCTACTTCATGAGTGAATGTGGATCCTGGGACAAAAATGTCTTCGATAAAGTAAGAAGAAAGATTCCCCATGGAAACTTTGTTCAGCATCAAGCAGGCTTATCTGTCCACTCATCCATCTATCCAGAAAATAGTTGTTTAGTGCCTAGCATTTGTGAGGAACACTTCTAGATCCTGTAGTAGACACAAAGATAGATTACACACAACTTGCCCTGAAGGGCTTACATTCTTGCAGAAGAGAAGGTAATTTATCTTCCTAAATAATTTTAAGACAGACCAGAATGTGATGATAAGCAGGGTAGGTACAAAGTGCTATGAAATTCAGAGGAAGGGAAATCCCTTCTAGCTGCAGGGATCAAGGAGCATTTGAGTAAATCTTGAAGGTGGGGCATAATTTGAACATATGGAGATGAGGGACAGATCAAACATGGAGAAGTAGGAGATATCCATAGTGGGGAAGTGGTGGTGAGAGCACAGCTACTGAAAGTGGAGGGAAACAGTTTTAGAAGTGCCACCTGAGAACAGATTATACAGAGCCTGAATTCTAGGCCAGGACCCTTATGATGAGGGCAAGTCATCAAAGGTTTCTGAGCACTGGAGTGCCATGTGCCCTGGGAAGGCTATTTGGGAGGCCGTGTGCAGCCTGCGTAAGATTCAACAGGGGATGGAGAGGAGGAGGCCAGTTAGAAGAGCTGCCACCATCTAGGTAAACCTTAATGTGGGATTAAGCAAGGCCGGAGGCTGACAAGTGTAAGGAGTGTGTGGGAGAGTCATTCAACAGGCATTTATTATGTATCTGTTCTATTCCCCAGTTGTGTCAGTCACTATGGGGGTGAAAACTCAAAAGCAACACAATTCTTGCCTACTAGGTGCTTGGAATATGACATGAGGGGTGAATCAGGCAAGGGAAAACTTGTCCTTCCTGAGCACTTGCCCTTATGGCCTCATGGCATAAGAACGAGCTAGTTTACCCCCCACTCATCCCCCACTCAGCACCTGTGAACAGTCCCCACTTCCACCCAATACCACCAAGGATAGAGGTTTAAAGTTTTAAGGTAAGATGTAGTCTGCTGTCCATCCTTTGTTGTTTTTGTTTTCTTTCCAACTTTTATTTTAGGTTCAAGGGGTACATGTACAAGTTTGTTACATGGATAAATTGTGTGTCCTGGGAGTTTGTCGTACAGATAATTTTGTCACCCAGGTAATCAGTATAATACCTGATAGGTAGTTTTTCAATCCTCACTCTCCTTCCACCCTTCACCCTCAAGTAAGACCCAGTGTCTATTTTTCCCTTCTTTATGTCCCTGTGCACTCAATGTTTACCTCCCACTTGTAAGTGAGAACATGCGGTTTTTGGTTTTCTGTTCCTGTGTTAGTTTGCTTAGGATAATGGCCTCTAGCTCCATCCGTGGTGCTGCAAACAACATGATCTTATTCTTTTTTCTGTGGCTGTGTAGTATTCCATGGTGTATATGTACCACATTTTCTTTATCCAGTCCACCACTGGTGGGCAACTAGGTTAATTCCATGTCTTCGCTATTCTGAATAGTGCTGCAATGAAAATACACATGTATGTGTCTTTATGGTAGAACAATTTATATTCCTTTGGATATATACCCAGTAGTGGGATTGTTGGGTCAAATGGTAGTTCTATTTTAAGTTCTTTGAAAAATCTCCAGACTACTTTCCATGATGACTGAACTAATTTACATTTCCACCAGCAGTGTGGAATTCCCTTTCCTTTGCAGCCTCACCAGCATCTGTTATTTTTTGACTTTTGTATAATAGCCATTCTGACTTGTGTGAGATGGTATCTCTTGATACTTTTGATTTGCATTTCCCTAATGATTAATGATATTGAGGATTTTTTCATATGCTTGTTGGCTGCATGTGTGTCTTCTTTTGAGAAGTGTCTGTTCATGTCCTTTGCCCATTTTTAAATGGGGTCATTTGTTTTTTGCTTATTGATTTAAATCACTTATAAATTCTGGATATTAGACCTTTGTCAGATGCATACATTTTCTTCCATTCTGTAGGTTGTCTGTTCATTCTGTTAACAGTTTCTCTTTCTGTCCTCCTGTTAATCCTTATTTAACAAACATTGTATAGCACTTAATGTATTCCAGATATGATTTTAAAAGCTTTATAAATACAACATCATTTTATCCTTGTAAAAATCTTAATGAGATACATATTTTTATCATTCCCATGTTATAAATGAGAAAACAGAAGCATAAAGAGATTATATAATTTTCCCAAGGTCATACAGCTAGTAAGTAGAGAATCCTGGGTTTAGAACCCAAGGCATCTGGCTCCAGAATCCTTGCACTTTTCCACCACATTATACCACCTCCCTGCCTCGCTGCTTTCTCTTCCACCCACCTGCAATGAATCACAGCCAAAAGGGATTATTCTTGGACTCTGCTCATCCCTGCTGAATCAGTTCTGTCTTCTTGGCTCATGATGCTGTCCAAGGTCACAGTCATGGCTAGAATGAGACTCACCGATATAGTTGATGCTAAACTTCACTGTCCCTCCTGTTGTGTAACCAATGAGAAAGTGGATGGAACAAATCAATGAATTGGAGAGGGGCAGCAGTCTTACGAAAGATGGTTCTGGGCTGGGCGCGGTGGCTTACACCTGTAATCCCAGCACTTTGGGAGGCCAAGGTGGGTGGATCACCTGAGGTCAGGAGTTCGAGACCAGCCTGGCCAATGTGGTGAAACCCTGTCTGTACTAAAAATACAAAAAATTAGCTAGGAATGGTGGCAGGCGCCTGTAATCCAGCCACTTGGGAGGCTGATGCTGGAGAATTGCTTGAACCCGGGAGGTGGAGGTTGCAGTGAGCCGAGATTGCATGGCACTCCAGCCTGGGCAACAAGAGCAAAACTCTGTCTCAAACAAAAAAAGAAGAAGAAAAAAAAAGACGGTTCTGAAACTGTGGGACTTTTCACCCTCCCTGCCGAGCTGCCAGGCTTATGCCACCACTCAGCATGCTGCTCAGGAAGAGGCAGAACGATGGCCGTGCTTACAGCATGGGCTATGACTCTCACTGCCTGTGGACTCTGGGACAAGTTATTTAACTTCCCTAAGAATCAGTTAGGGTAGTTTCCCAGCCATAAAATGGGGGTATTACATAGTATTTCCCTCATAATATTGTGATATCATTTCCTTATCTGTGAAATACCTTCATCTCAACACTCAATACAATGGATGGTCTCTAAGTAACATCCACCCAGCTCTATGATCCCATTAAGTGTTGGAACGATAATTCCATTAGGAGTTCAAAGGGGGAACAAATCAATGGAGATTGAAGTAATCAGAGAGAGTTTCATAGAAGAGGTGAACCTGGGAGGATCTGTGTGGGCTGAAGGGAGGAAGAAGTCACCTTCTAGCTCCTGTGTCCCATAAACTCCAATCTGACAGCTGGTGACCGTTCTGGGTCCACTCAGGCCAGACGAACATCTCTCCAGGGAGTCCCAGCCTTCCTTCTCACTCCAAGACACCATCAGCCACACCAAGGGGGACCAGCAAAGCCTCAAGCTGTGTTGTGCCCTGTGTGAAATGTCAACTGCCTCAAGACCCAGCTACCCGACACAGTCTGTTTTCTGGTCAGAGGATTGCTTTCCATTTGTCATTATCAACTAAGCACTGTCCAGGTCAATGGAACCGATGTCTCTCAGACTGGAGAGATTGTCTTAAAAACAGGACCGAGGTTTTAACCAGGGTTGGGTCCCATAGTTCTCTCTGAAGGATGATGCCCATTTGTGGGTGAAGGATACTCAAAGCACTTGAATCCCTACTGCTTATCCTCATCCCCACAAAGTCCCACCAAGGAAGCTGTCCTGGTCACCTGCTTGGAGAGAAACCTACCCCTTTGGATCCCATCCCTTAAAATGGCATCACCTGGTAAGTGCTGCCAGCCTCCTTGCCAAGTCCAATTTAGTGACACACAAGGCCCTGGCTGTTTTTCTAAGCCGGTGAGATTTCCAAAAATGGTTGGAAGGAAAGGAGAGAAATCAGACCGCGAGAAAATGGGACTTATGGGATCGTCGTGGGGAGCCTATGGGAGGAGTTAAACTTTATGCTGTGTGGCTTTGCTGTGGCCTCAATTTTTCATTCCCAGCTCTTCTTTAGAGCCTTTCTCTACCTCCTTGAAAAGCTGTACAGTGAAGTTATTCTTCATCACAGAGGCCATCTACCTATCACTTGTGCTAGGAAGGTGACATTTTTCCCTTTTTTCCTAAAGGTCAAACTAAATTTATTCCCATATGAGGGAGCCCTGCATGCTGGTCATGCACGGCAGCTGGGCTCTGAGGGATACCAAGTGGCTGCAGTAGCTCCCAGGCAGGAACCTGCCTCTTCTAGGTGAGCAGCCAAGGGGGCCGCAGCTGCTTCAAGCTGAGAAATTGAGTCAGGGTGGAGGTTCAGAGGCCCCTCCATAAACCCCCTAATTATCAGTTTACTGCACCCCCATCCTTTCAGTCCTCAGTTCTTCCATTAGCCTCCAGAGTCACTTGGGAGCAGCCCAGGATCATTAGTGGCAGTTCGCTGGAGCTGCACTCAGATTTTCCTGGCTAGTGGCATTTCAGGTGTGACAAGCAAAGGGTATACGTGCATCTTTGCTTCCATTGCTACCAGAACAGACTGCAGCAGAGAATGAAGGTCTCCTTCTGTGAGTTATTTTTATATTTATTTATTTAAAAACAGGGTCTTGCTCTTTCACCCAGGCTGGAGTGCAGTAGCTCAATCAAAGCTCACTACAGCCTTGACCTCCTGGGCTCAAGTGATCTTCCCACCTCTGCCTCCTCCTGAGTGTCTGGGGTCATAGGTGCACACTGCCACATTCCCTGCTAATTTAATTTTTTTTTTTTTTTTTTGGTAGAGACAGGGTTTTGTTTTGTTGCCCAGGGTGGTCTTGAGCTCCTGGTTCCCCAAGTGATCCTCCTACCTCAGCCTCCCAAAGTGCTGAGATTACAGGTATGAGCCACCACGCCTGCCCTATTTTATTTTTTTAATATACCTCACAGTTAAGGTCTTGGTTCCTTCTATCACACATTATTTTCTAAAAATAAGAGGTGGTTAATGCTGACAACATTGTACCACAGCAGAAAGTAATGAGGCCCGCTTTCTAGGATAAGACTTGCTTCTCACTTGCTTATTTTTACAACACTTCCTTTAAGGAAAAAGGCCACAATCACAGAATGACCCAGCTGGAAGGGACCTTAGAAATGATTTAATTCAGCCCCTTTACATCTTTCCCTCAGTTTCTAGGTGAGGGAGTGAGGTTCAGAGAGGTGAGGGGACTTGGGCCCTCATGACATCCAGAAAACATGGTCTGAGAAACACAGTTCCGGGTGACCTGCTGCTCCTCCTCTGTGGCCTGGGAAGAGTTGCATGCTCTTTACATTTCTACTTTTTGTATCTGACTCCATCATCTTGGAAAAACATACACAAAACAAGGAGATGATGTAAAAAAACGAGTAATATGTCCACTTTAGAGTCTCATAATCAGGAAATGCCCTCGTATGCTCTCTCTGACTCCACAGACCCTCCACCCTTAGTTTCTTAGGCTGTCTGGGTATCCGTTTGAGTATGTACTGGATCTCGGCTGTTTGACTAGGCGTATCTGGTATCCGCTCTCTGCCCGCACTGATTGAGACCCCAAATATAGCTGATTGCAGCAGAGAGCAACATCTGACCCTGGGGATCCCCATTCAGAGGTTGATTATCTGCCAACAACATGGCCTAGTTCCTGGCTGAACTCAGGGACACAGAAATTGTGGTTTGTCGGTTAAGAGCTAGATGGAAGTAGGTGTCACATAGATCCAGGTACTAGGCTGGTCACACTGGGCCTTGCGCAGGAATAGTAAGCAGAAAAGGCTGTTTTTTTGTTTTTTGTTTTTTGTTGTTCTTTTTGAAGAAGCAGGAGGGTGGAATACATACAGAGAAATATGGGCCTAAAAGACCATGTTCCCCTGAGGCGGAAAGAAGGGCTTCAGCTCCTGGCAATTTCTGGTATCATGAGGCTCTGCTAAATTTCCTTTCTTACCCTTGGCCGGCATGGATTTTTACAATCTCCTATCTCCTACCCTTTATTTGTATTGGCTTTAGTCCCTTACAACCACAACTTCCCTAATCAGAACATTATCTTGTACAGTCTGCATGTGTTAAGTCTTGTTCCTCAAACCAGGAACAAACTCTCAAAGTACAGAGATTAACGTCTTAGTCTTTTGAAAAATCTTTCCAGGTAACTTGTAGATATGACAGCTGTTGAAAGGTTAGGCTGAAAGGCTTTCTGGAAATCCAGTTCTATAAACCTGTTTAAACATTTACATCAATTGGCCCTGAGAAAGCCTTTTTGAGGTTTCCAACATAAAGCAGCTCAGTATTAACTGTCATTGGAAGTTTAAGAGAAATGAATGCCAATATGTCTGATATAGCCTTAACTTTCCCAGGCCTCTTCAGCTGTCAGGCTGAGAAGGGATTCCAGGCACTGTAGTAACACAGAAGTCACCGGCTCATGTAGCACCATGGCTCCTAAAAGCATCCCTCTACTACTTTTGTGAGTTTCAAGGGGTGTCTCACTTGGGTGCATGGAGAACTTTGCTTATCTGGGGCCACTAATGCTGCACCATCTCCCCTTACCTACTTTTAATCTGCCTTTCCATCTACCCTCTGTCACCTCTTTATTGCCTCCTTCAGTCCTTCTTCCATGTTGCTAGCAGGGATGTCTTCCAAGTGCAGATCTCACCACATATTCTCCTGCTCAAAGCCCATCTGTAGCATATACTATTAGTTGCTTGTTCTCAGCAATCCCCAGTGCTAACCTATCCAGCTCTGTTGATAGAGCTGGTCCCCCATGAAAGATGCTGAAAGTGCCAAATATGTGCCCTTTCAGATTCCCTTACAGCTAGGACATGGGGACATGACCTGATTCTGACCAACTGGATCTGAGGGGAAGAATTTTGAGGGTTTCAGAGAAATATATCCCTTCTTCATATAAAACACACATCAAAAGAAACATCCGTTTTCCTTGTTTAGGGCTTTGTGTGCTTAAGCCTTGATGCTTAGACTTGGACTCCCATATTGTGGTCATGGGGAGACAGTGACCCAGAGCCCTATATTGATGAGTTCCTGAAGCTTTCTACCACTAGACTTTTTATTATGTAAGAAAATATAGTGTTCTTATCATGTAAGCAATGTTTACTTGGGCCTTCTGGTGTTACTTGCAGGCAAAAGCAACCCAAGATATTTTCCACAGATCCCTATTGGAAAAAGTTCAAACTCCTTATCATGGGTACATGAGGCCTTTGCTGTGAGAGCTTCCCGGAGGGAAAGGGCAGAGATGCTATGTGCCAACTGAAATTACAGAAAAGACTGGATGAAATCAAACAGAGAGTTAATCTAAATAATGATTGCAAACATGGATGCAAACAGTGTAGATGCCATGATAATAAAGATATGATAGACAATATGTAAGCTGTAATGTAAAAAAAAAAGTTGAGAACCGAAATCTTGTACTTGCACACAGCCAACTGTGTATATTAGCATGACTTTCCTATTCCATTGTCTTTATTAGCATAACTTTACTGCTCCAGAGGACTCATGTTCAGGAAGATAAAAACTGCAAACAGCTTTATTGTCTATGTGATAATAAATTTTAAGTTTCAGTGTGGCTATGTTATGGTACCTTGTTTTTGGGTCAAACACGAGTCTAGATGTTGCAGTGAAGGCACTTTTTAGATGGGATTAACTTTTAATAGACTGGATTAAGAAAATGTGGCACATATACACCATGGAATACTATGCAGCCATAAAAAATGATGAGTTCATGTCCTTTGTAGGGACATGGATGAAATTGGAAATCATCATTCTCAGTAAACTATCGCAAGGACAAAAAACCAAACACCGCATGTTCTCACTCATAGGTGGGAATTGAACAATGAGAACACATGGACACAGGAAGGGGAACATCACACTCTGGGGACTGTTGTGGAGTGGGGGGAGTGGGGAGGGATAGCATTAGGAGATATACCTAATGCTAAATGACAAGTTAATGGGTGCAGCACACCAGCATGGCACATGTATACATATGTAACTAACCTGCACATTGTGCACATGTACCCTAAAACTTAAAGTATAATAATAATAAAATTAAATTTAAAAAGTAAAGCAAAAAAAAATCTGTAGATTTTGAGAAAAGTAGATTACTCTCCATAGTGTGTTTGTGCCTCATCTCATTCATTGAAGGCCTAAGGGAAAAAGGACTGAGGTTCTGAAGAGAAATAAATGCCTCCAGACTGCATGCAGACTCGAGGCTTTAACATGAACGCCTGCCGAAATTTCCATCCTCCCAGCCTGCTCTGTAGATTATGGACTTCCAAGCCTCCACAATGGCATGAGACAGTTCCTTAAAAAGAAATCCCTCTCTGGTTCTGTTTCCCTGGAGAAGCATGACCAATACAGTTTATTACAGGAACTTCTGAGAAGACCTTTCAACTCTTAAACAGAAAACATCAACAGATATCCCAAGATGTCCCTTCCCTCAACATCCTCATCTTGCTGTGTCCACCAAACATTATCCTCATCTAATCTTCTTTTACCTTTCCTCCCCATTGAAAGACAGGCTTTATGCCAAATTTCACAGCAAGGTCTCAACAAATCAGACTTTACTTTCCCCTGCAAGATGCTATCAGACTCTGTAAGTTGTAGATAACTGATAGCAATGCAAGATAACTTGTCTACAGATATACAAATAAATTCCATCAGGTGGATATTTACTTAATTTCTCAAATGTGAAGGAAGCCAGTTTTGCCTCCATTTGAAAATTTCAATATTCCTGATGTCTCTATGTCTGTTTTTTACATTTTCCTTTGAACTAATTGTACCTTCTACCTGGTTCCTGCATTAGTAATAAGTTAAATAAGTTCTTTAATGTGTGTGTTTTTTATCTTTATGAGTCATGATTTTACCCTTTTAAAAAATCATTCTTCAACATCAATTTAGCTTTTCATTTTGGAGGGATGACCTATTAACCAAGGACAGGAAGCTGAAGTTGGCAAGAAGAGAGGGAAACTGGGGCATTCTCTTAGGCAGTAAGCCTATTTCCTTCCCTGTTTCTCTGTTGAATAAGGACATGAAGAGATTGAGGACAAATGAGGGAAATCTAACCATCTACCTCTGGGAGTCTATGAAGATGTGGACCCCTGAGTCCACACCCAGGAGTCAGGCAGCATAGGAGTGCAGCTGCTTTGGAAAAACATGTGTTACACACTCTTAAAATTCTTTTTATGCTTGGAGTGATGGCATTGAGTCCCTCTGACACCTTTACATCTGGAGTCCCTCCTTTGGTTAATTCACTGCACCCTTGCAGCTTGTATGCTCTTCTTTAGTGCTTATCATCCCATATTACGATGTTTCTATTACTCTGTCTTGCATCATATTGTAAACTACATGAGAGCAGGGTGCGTCTTGTTCATTAGTATGCTAGTGCCTGGCACACAGCAGTCATTCAGTATGTTTTGTTAATGAAGGAATAGGTTAATATATCTTACTAAGTAATTTGAAAAGTTATCTTTTCCTTTTATGAACAGGTCATAGGACAATTTCCCAAGTGTATTTGGGGCTAGATTTTTCCTTTATCTAGAGGCAACACAAAGTGAAGTCCTTGCATAGCAGTTCCCGGGGATCCCCTATGAAGGATCATCCTGGCGGCCACAGTTCTCAGGCTTTCTGGCTCTTCAGTCCCAAGGTAGCAAGTCTTTGTCTAAAGCACAAGGATGTGTATGATACCATGTATTAAAAGATTTTCCACTAGGTCTGAGGATGAAGAATATTCTGGCAGGTGCTCTTTGTCTTCTCAGAATTCTCTCAGACCCTTGGATTAGATAGAGGGCAACAATAGCCACAAAAAAATTGGAGTCTCCTGAGAAACCTATATGACTTCTGAGAGAGAAAGGCCCTGGAAGAAAGCTGAAGAAGAACTTTTGGAGAAACAGGAAAGTGATGATAAACCTGGAGAATGGGAGTTTTATTCACCTTATTTTTACATGATCTGAGGACCTGGTAGAGGCCTGATATGAGGCGAGAGTAGGCGCTTGGGTCCCCTGCTTTCTTCTCACTTTGGAAGAAATGGTCCCTACTTTTGTTTTTTCTTTTTTTTTGAGACAGAGTCTCACTCTGTTGCCTAGGCTGGAGTGCAGTGGCACGATCTTGGCTCGCTGCAACCTTGGCCTCCTGGGTTCAAGTGATTCTCATGTGTCAGCCTCCTGAGTAGCTGGGATTACAGGCATGTACCACCATGCCCAGCTAATTTTTGTATTTTTAATAGAGACAGGGTTTCACCATGTTGGCCAGGCTGGTCTCGAACTCCTGACCTCAGGTAATCCACCTGCCTCAGCCTCCCAAAGTACTGGGACTACAGGCATGAGCCACCGTGCCCAGCCAGGCTCTACTTTTGAATGACCTATGGATACAGAGTCCAGGAGGTGGAACAGAGAGTTCAGAACATTTGCCAACATCACTAGCATGCACAAACTGAATGAAAATGATTTGGAAAAATTGGTATTGTAAATCGTTCATTGCCATATTTAGGAGCTGGACTTATCCTTATGCCATCTCCAGTTTTCTTCTTTGGGGAAAATTTCTTAAAGGGACAGCAGATTGAGTTGTTGGCATTGAGGCTTGTCATATGAAAAGGAAAAAGGAAATCAGGGTCCCATTTCTCTCTTTATTATTGTGCTCCCATTTGAGGCATTTAAAAATTTTGCTTATTGAAGAGGGCTTTCATCTATGCCTGCAGAAAATTACAGGGCTAAGTTACTTTATAATTCTACTGTGCTATCTTTTCCTTTCCTCTGTTTCAAAATGGTTTGCTCAGAAGAAAGAGGAATATTTCTGCATTTGTCACAGCATACAGAAGAATTTCTGAAGCTCTAAGAAAACCCTGACCCGGGCCACTTCTATTTTATTTTTATTTTTTTAAGTTTTATTTTATTTTCAATTGATAGATAATAATTGCATATATTTTATGAGATTCAATATGATTTTTGATACATGTATACATTGTGGAATGATTAAATTAGGGTAATTAACGTATCCATCTCTTAAAATATTTATCACTTCTTTGTGGTGAAAATATTTGAAATACTCTCTTTTAGTTATTATTATTATTATTATTTGAAACAGGGTCTCACTCTGTCACCCAGGGTGGAGTGCAGTGGTGCAATCATGGTTCACTGCAGCCTTGAACTCCTGGGTTCAAGTGACCCTCCCACCTCAGCCTCCCAAGTTGCTAGGATTATAGGTGCGTGCCACCAGACCCAGCTATTTCAAAATTTTTTTGTAGAGAGAGGGTCTCACTGTGTTGCCCAGGCTGTTCTCAAACTCCTGGGCTCAAGCAATCCTCCTGCCTTAGCCTCCCAAAATACTGGGATTACAGGCATTAGCCATCATGCCTGGCTGTTCTTTAGCTATTTTGAGATATAAATTATTATTAACTTTAGTTATCATGTTGTGTAAGAGATCACCAGAACTTATTCTTCCTAATGGAAACTTTATACCCTTTAAGCAATAATCTCCCCTTGCCTCATCTACCCCTGCCCCAGCCTCTATTAACCATTCTTTTGTCTACTTCTATGGGTTTGACTCTTTTAGATTCCACATTTAAGTGAGATCATGTGGTATTTGTTTCTCTGTGCCTGGCTCATTTTGTTTAGCATAATGTCCTCCTCTAAGTTCATTCATGTTGTTGCAAATGACAGAATTTCCTGCTTTTTAAAAATGGAGAAATATTTCATCATGTATAAGTACCACTTTAAAAAATCTATTTATCCATTGATGGACACTTTAGTTGTTTCTATTTCTTGGCTATTGTGAATAACACTGCAGTGAATGTGAGTACAAACATCTCTTTGACGTGCTAATTTTAATTTCTTTGAATATGTACTCAAAAGTGGGATTGCTAGATCATACGGTAATTCTATTTGTAGTTTTTTGAGGAACCTCCATTCCTTTTTCCATAATAGCTGTGCTAATTTACAATCCCACCAACAGTACACAAGAGTTCCTTTTTCTCCACATCCTCGCCCATACTTGTTATCTTTTATCTTTTTGATAGTAGCCAATCCAACAGGTGTGAGGTGAAATCTTACTGTGGTTTTACTTTGCATTTCTCTGATGATTAGAAGTGTTGGGCATTTTTTCATATATCTGTTTGGCCAACTTTTAGAAATAGTAGAAATGGTGCATGGAAGACCACAGGGAACTGCCAAATTATTTAAATCGGATAACTTGGCAGTGTAAAATCTCCAAGAAGTGTCCCTTCCTTGGTTTTGGTGTCTGCTTCTTCCTACACCTCTACATTTTGAGAAAGAGTCAGAATATGGAAACGAGAGTACCTGTATCAATGAGGAAAACACTGAGCTGCTAGTAAAAGGAAATCTAACAAAAATGGTCTAAATAAATAGGAATCGTTTTTCTCTCAAACAAGATGTCTCAAGATAGGCCATTGCCAGTCTTTGTTCAGAGGTTAAATGATAGAAGGGCTGAGGCCCTAGGGACCTTGGCATTTCTCTCAGGGTTGCCACATGACTGCTGGAGCTCCAGCTATCATGTCTTAATTCAAGGAAAAAAGAAGGCAGAAGGAACAAAAGAGTAGTACTTTTATATTGGGAAGAACAAAAACCTGCCTGGAGGCCCCAGCAGGCATCATTGGCAAGATGGTGTCATTTGGCCATTCCTAAAAACAGGGGAGACTGGGAAAACAAGAATTTTGCCTTCCCCACCTTGTAGGAGAACTTGTCAAAAATGGAGCTGGGAATGTGCCCTGTCTCCAACCACCTTCAGTCTCCACTCACCTTCAGTCTCCACCAAGGTCCACAACCTTGGGTCTGAGACATCCTCTGCTGACCATCGGCTATGGGGCATTGTTCTCCTTGCCAGTTCACTTTAGTCAGCACAAACAGCTCGGTTTTTAGACCCTGTGCATTTTCTCCAATAGACTTAACCTTTTGCAAAATGAGAGAAGTGCCCAGTTATGTAGGGGACAGGAGTGTGCAAAGAAGGCTGAGCAAGAAAAAGCTTTGGAGGAGGATGCCATCAGAGTGCCATCAGACTTGGGACTACATCAGCTAAAATACATTATTGTCACTCCCAAACTGCTGGAAGCCAGTCCTTCCAGCAAGCTCAGAAGCTTATAGGTTTAGGGGCACAGAGGGAAAGGCCATTTCCCAAGTATTCATCAGTGGAGAAATTGGGCTTCTCTTAGCATCATCTGGACTTGGAGCCTTCAGAGCAAATTGCTTACTCCTTCAGTACTTTGTTGTAGAGCCCATTAGAGTGTAGTGGAAAAAGAACTCCACAAGAGCACACCAGGAGTGTGAGAAGGGCCAGATAGTGATTAATCTGTGTGTGAAGTGGCTGCCTTTCCATCAGAAAGACTTTGCTGGAGTATGCAGAGTGAGCTGGACAAGCCAGTCATTTTCTCAAACTGGGAGGCACTCTGGGGCTCTCTCTGCACCCATCCATCTGTAACTCTGTAACCCAATGATTTCCTCAGCACCAGTGGCTCCTGCACCCTGATAGTTAAAATTGTCCATCACCATAGCAACCTCAAGAATGGCTTCAAATGGGATCTGTGATCCTTGAGGATGCAGGTGTGCTTTTCTTTCTTTCTTTTTTCCTCTGTAAGTCAGGGCAAAGCAGTGGTGGAAGGATGATAAAAGAGAGGGCTTGAATCAGCAGTGGAAGTTGTCCACTCCAACAAGAAATGGCACATGCCTCGAGGCAGAGGATGAACAGATGGCATGTAACTTGGACTATCAGCCTGTTGAGGCAGCTGCCCTCACGCAGGTCCTCAGATCCTCATACAGGGAAAAGGGGATTTGCATTATGGCTCCAGGAAGTAAGAGAAATGGGATTGCTCTCCTAGGTAGAATTTTGATACATAAACAAGAAAATAAGGAGAATGTTTTTCTGTTATTGCTCTCTCTTGTGCTTACTCATTTTTCAGAAGCAGTCAGTTTATGTGGAAAGATTTGACAATTCAATAAATTCAGCAAACTTTTATGGAGTGTCTCTCTTTATTTTTATTTTATTGTTTATATCCCACCTTTTCCAACAGGAATTTCAGGCAGCTTACAACCAAGGACATAAAAGACAAGAGCAATAAAATAGAAGATCAGGACCAAGGAGAGAAAAAAGAAAATATTCTAAACACAAGAGTTAACATAGTGGCAACTGAAGATTAAAACTTAACTTTGAGAATCTTGCACACAGGGAAAAAATATATATATTCTCATCAGTTTCCCTTGGAGAAAACATTTTTTTCTCTTACTAAATGCTAAAAGACTGTTCTCTTGAGGGATTTGGCTTTAGCTGACTTTGAATGACATATCCTTCCTCCTCCTCCTCCCCTTCTTCATTGTCCTCATCACTGACATTTATTGAGTGCTATTTATTGAGATGTATTTGTTGACATTAATTGAATGTGCTAGACACTGTTCTAAGCACTGTAGATATACTCATTTCATTGAATCCTTGAACTACTCCTCTGAGGTGGGTGTCATTATTATCCTCATTGTGTAGATGGAAAAATTAAAACATAGTGGAGTCTTCCAGTCTTCTATGTGGTAGACTTGGTTCCTGGGCTTCGCTTCTTCCAAGAAGGCATGTTCTTTTGCTGAGCCTAACAGTGTGGGTGTCCTTAAGGACCAGGACTGACTTGTCTCAGGAATCGTCTAGGCCATTCCCATGCCCCAGGAGAGCCCATGGGCTGTCTTAGGCAGAGGAACAGGGGGCTTTTCCTCAGTCAAGGTGACCTTGACTTCAGCTTGATCGACATATAGACCATCAACCTCTTCAGCTGTTTCCCTATCTCTTGGACCAGTTTTTTGGTCTTCACAAAGCTGGACCTTGTAAATACCTAATATTCTACCATCCTAAAGGGGTTCAGAAAGGAGATCAATGAACATCGGTCTTCCACATATGCCCTGTGAAACTGTTGAGGCTGAGAAATGCCCTGGCCATTTTCAGGATCTAATGGGCAGAACATGCATGACCTGGACATTCTATTCCTCAGTTGCCTGAAAAACAGTGACCCATACTGTGAGCTGACATTTTCTGATTTAATTTCAAATAGTGCCACCCCTGGGCCAGCATGAAGATTTGCATTTTTGAAGCCAAATGGTGAGACTCTGGTCTGAGAACTCTCTAACCAAGATATCCACCTGATTCCAAAGCATTCGGAGGCCCTGAGAAAAGCAATTCCCAGAATCCACTGATGCTTAGCAATGCTTCAACTCCACCTTTGGGTTTCATATCCCCAGTGTCAAAGCTTCTCCTCAAAAGGGTCCCTTTGGCCCTCATTCTGGCAGAGCCCCCTTGATGGTAAGTGGGTCAGATCAGGCGTTATTCTTGAGTCCTTCAGGATGGATGCATAATCTGGGCTGATATTGCTTAGTGAGTAGGAGGAGGGTTGAAGTCTGGGTCCCTCTTAGCAGAGGAGATTTAAAAAATCTTGGATCTATCATAAAATCAATTTTCTTTTTCCCTTTCTGGCTTTATATTTGATTTCAGGTTTCCTTTAGTTTTTTCCCCCCATTTAAACTCATTTTACACATTTCTTTCTGCTTTTTACTTGAGGCCTTTACCTCTGATTATAGTCCTCCACCAGAATGTTTGCTTAAGCCAAAGTGCCAGCTCAGTTATGGCTTATTCAAAATACCAACCATGGTGCCCAGGGCTGTTTAGTGTCCCCCAGTGGACACAGTATACTCTAGAACACAAATATTAGGGCACCAGTAAAAAGCTGGAGTGGTCTGAGCAACGACTTCTACCCTGTTTCTCTCTCTCACTTTTACACGATTAGAGTCTTCTCCATAGGTCTATGGTTGTGTCTTTCAAAGAATTCAGCAGCCTGTCTCTCTAACTCTACTGAATGGCTCCTTCTTCTAACTTAATAGTCATCTTTATCTTTCATCTCCTACCTTTCCTGGGTGAAATATTCCCTTTTCCAATGGTGGAAGCGAAGCATAGCTGATGATCTTTCCCTCTAGAGTCTCCCTGCCCCCACTCTCCAGCCCTGTCATGGTTCACATGGGCATGTTTGAAATTTATAACATTCCTCTTCATGATAATTATTACTGTTTCTCAAGCGCTTATTTATGTAGCAGGTATGGAACTAAGATACTCATATAAATTACTTAAGCCTCCACTTTATAGAGTAGAGGGTGATCATTGCCATTTTACATATGAAAAACCAAGGTTCAGAAAGGCCACATTACCACCCAGCATCTCATAACTAACAAGTGGCAGAATTGGGATTTGATCCCAGGAAGCTGGACTGACTCCAAAGCCTGGATTCACACCGCTACACTAAGCCACCTTCACCTCACACCATTCATTATACAACTGTGATGCAAAGTTTCAACAAAAGGCACACAGAAGCTATTTTCCACATACCACTACACGTTGCTTACACACACCAAAAAGGAAATTTTAAAAATCAACATTTAACTCAATTTAATGATAAGTATTAGGTTGTATTTATATATGTTGCCTTTTGACTGTTTATGAATGGATAGCTGCTCCAGAACATAAATCTCTTAAGACTCAACATGAAAAAAATCCTTGTTAAATATTTTGTTAAAAGTCATTTTGTTTTGCTGCCAAATCAACAGAAAATAATTAAATTCCTTTCTATTTTATGATGTAATTTACATAAGCAGTCATGCTCTTCCTATCTGTAAATGTCAAGTGTCCTAGTTTGGGCCCCCTATGGTAACCTGTGTCAGTGTAATTATGATTTCAGTGTTGTGAGCCAAGGCTAGGTGGTGACTTGGCAGTTCAGTCTACACATGGAAGTCTGTGACTAATTCTTGGAAACTGACTGTGTGGACCTGGACTGGGAAAAGGTCCTGTCAGCCCCAAGAATCCTGAGAAAATTAAAAGCCACGAAGATTCCCAGGCCAGCAGCTTGCATTGACTGCTCAAACTACTGCCTGCCCTGCAACAGCTGCTCTGAGAACATCACTGTCCACAGTGCTGCATACAACACAACTCTGGAAAAGACCAAGGGCCACACTCATTCTACTCCTGACTCTCAAATGTGACCTTGGGCTATCTTCTATCTGTGTCTTGGTTTTTCCATTTTTATAAGCAATTCTCCTGTATCAGGAAATGGCCATTTTGTAAAAGGCCTTGCATTCCTTGGGGGAGGGAAGTCTTCGAATAAACTATTGCATCCATGTCTATGTTCCTCTTTGGTTAGACACAATTGCTAATGTATATCAATGGGGTGTGTGGGGCAGGTGGGGTAGTGGGTGGGGGGAGTGGAGCAAGGGGAGTCTTCTCCATGAGGCACAAGGACAGAGAGCATAAAGTTTCTGTTTCCTCCTGCGGCAGTACTTTTAGTACAGCCAAATGGTCTGTCTTTGGGCTTTGCAAGGGGGCCCTGGGTCAGCCACACAGAACTGCAGGTGGCTTTTATGGCCTTCATCGACTATGTTAAAGTTAGCCATATTAATCAACACCTCATTGGTGTGTAGTGGGAGCTAGGCATTTTTAAATGTTCTGAAAATTTCACCCACCAGCTGATGATGGCTTGGCTGCTGTGGTCACACAGGTCACCATAAACACAGAATCTAGTAGCAGGACACTCGTAGGAGTTTAGCTACTGTTGGCTGCTGGGGGACCCATGGAGCATCCTAGAAGTTCTTGAATCACAAGGAAGAAAGAAAATGTTATGGCTTGGAAAGAAGACAAGGCAACCACTCTAAACCTGCTGCTTCCTATTAGGAAGGAAATGATTGGGGAGCCACAGGGAAGCTCCAGTGCCAATGGCCATAAACCGTGAGGGTTCAGCAGGAAAAGAAACAATTTTATGATCTCCAGCCCCAGGAGGGATTGGGGGAACAATGAAGGAAAGAAAATGAAAGAAACCTAAAACCAGAAGGAAAATTGGAAAAGGAAAGTTCCCTGGGTAATTCATTAAAGAGAGGAATTAATTTCAGGTCTTCTCTGATGAAATGAGGCAATTACTCTGGGCCCCATCCATTCCACATGTAATTCAGGAATGTGAGTCCATTCTGATGAGTTTCTGGGCCAAGGGCCCCATAGCCATGCCCTTCAGCTGTAGAGAGGTGCTGGGACTGAAGAGGAACTCACAGGGACAGGACAGCTTCTGAAAAGCCACAAGGGGATCTGGACAGAGGACACTGGAGACCTCCAAGACTTGGTGGGGTTGCCTGCAATCCAACCTCAGCTCAATTCTCTGACTTTGCAGATGATTACCCAGAAACTTGTGGGTCACAGAGAGGAAACATTGGCTAATCAAACATGGAATTCAGACTCCAAGAAGCAGCGAAGGAAAGCAAGCTGGAGTCCAACTGGGACAGGTGTCATTACTTAGACTGCTTCTTTATTTTGCATGCTGTGAGGACCAGAGACTAATTCATCTTTGTAGTCAAAAGATTTTATAAAACCCTTTCTGAGGTATTTTTTGGTACCTGGACACTTTTGGCCGCTATGCTACTGAGAACCTCTTTTGATAGTAGAGGGGGTTTCTACTTTCTCTTCTGTTTCTCTTGAAGGTGCTGGGATATGCCCAGCATGTGGAGGAGAGCAGGGCAAGAGTGTTCCAAAGCCTGGGTGTGTTCACATTAGAATGCAGGAAAAGATCACTTGGTTTAGTGTTTCTTCCCAAGAGAGCAATCCATGATGCTTTCTTAGCTCAAAGACAAGTTACAATGAGTTTAAGTGACTTACAATATATTAAAGTATGTGTGAGAATGTTTAAGCACATCAGTATATCCTAAGGCCACACGGCATAAAACAAAACCAAGATGTCTAATAAGATACAATTAAGGCAATAGAAAAAGAATGGTTATTACAGAGTAGATAAAAGAATATTTGAATAATCTGAACCTATGTAAACAAATAAATCATCTTGCATCCTTGGGTGATAATAAAATCAGACAAACCATGGGATTGGAGAACTTCTACGGTTGCAGAGGACTAAAGGGGGAAAATAGCTAGCTTGGCTTTGATCTTCAGTAAGTGCTATTAGTGATGCCTAAAAATCATAACTGAAGAACTCTACTACCGGCAGTTGGATAAATCAAGTAAATCCAGGGCAATGGGAAAAAAGCCTGGTATGAATTTTTAAAGGACAGTTCATATACCTTGCATAATATGGGGGGTCTGAGAAGCCAGCCTGCAGAGCCTAAAGATGTTATGTTGGCATGCTAGGGTGGGTGGTGCAAGATTGGAATGGCTCCCTCATGGCAACACAGGGAGAAATTTCTGACCCTATCCCTCACATGTTACTAGGTTCAGAAGGTATTTATTCACGGACGTGTTCATCCCGTGAATAAATAAAAAGTTGGTATATATGATCTATCAGGCTTTGCACTGGACACAGGGGGCATCAGGGTAAACAAGAGCAACAAGGTCGTTACTGTCAAGAGGCTGATGTTCTGTGGAGGCGAGGTAGATGGAAGGTAAACAAGTAAGCCCGGAGACAGATGAGATAAAATCAGAGGGTGATCACTGCTTGGAAGAAGGAAAATTATGTGATGGGACTGAGAATGATGGGAGGTGGGGATAAGGGCGGCTGTTGGATAAGGAGGTCAGGGAAGGTCTCTCTCGGGAGGTGAGTGGCATTTGAGCAGAGCTCTAAATAGATCTAAGGATTTGGTCATGTGGAAATCTTGGGGGAAGACTTTTTATGGGCAGCAGGAATGACACATGCAAAAGTCCTGAGAAGGACGCAAGCCTGCCATGCTTAAGGAGCAGAAAGCAAGCCAGCATGTCAGCAGGGGTGAGAGGCCTGGGGAGGGTCTGAGGACCAGGCAGGGGCTGGATCTGGGTGGGACTTGTAAACAAAGCTCACACATGTGGATCTTACTCTAGGTGTCATGGGAAATCAGCGAAAATGGGGAAGGATGTGATCTGGCTTACATTGAAAGTCTAGGCAGCAAACTTACATCTAGTGCTTATAGAGACCTTTTCAGCAGAAGAAAAGAATCTAGAACAGGATGCGATGGCCTTGGACATGAGTCAGGCTGCCTCTCAGGCCTCTTTCCCAGGCCTCCTCCTCTATCCACATGGCCACAAGGGTAGGCTCCCCACCCAGGCTGGCCAGAAGATGCTTCTCCAGCAACTTGCAGTCACCAAGAAGAGGTTCAGCCACAGCCCAGGTAGCTCTCTTGAAGAGAGGATTTGGGAAAACTCTGGAGTAGTCAGCAGCTGTGTCTTCTACCTTGTGGACAGAATAGCAGGAGAAGCCACACAGGGAGACTAATACTAAAAGCTAGCACTCTCATACTGTCTTCCTCTATGCCATGCTACACACTTTATATGTAATAACTCATTTACCCTCCCAGCAACTCTATTCTCATCCCCATTCACAGATAAGGAAACTGAGGTACAAAAAGGTTGATTTGCCCCAAATCACACAGGTAAGGAGGATTTATGTCCTGTTAGGCTGAAGAGCAAAGTGGATGTGCAGAGAGACAACATAGAGAAGGAGGCTTCCTGAATTCCCCACAGCCATCCAGATACTGGTTTTCAAGCCTTCTTGGAATTCCTGCTTTTGTTCCTCCATTTTACTCACTGTCTCAGTCCATTCAGGCTGCTGTAACAGAATACCATAGACTGGGTGGCTTTTAAGCAATGGGAATTTATTTCTCACAGTCCTAGAGGCTGGGAAGTCCAAGATCAAGGCACCAGCAGATGTGGTATCTGTGAGGACATCCTAGTTGCCCTGAGGCATCCACCTATGAACATCCTCATTCATAGATGGCTGTCTTCTTGCTGTGTCCTCACATGGCAGAAGGAAAAACAAACTCTCTGATTTCCTAACTATATCACCAATATCACTCATGTGGGCTCCACCCTCATAATCTAATAACTCCAAAGGCCCCACTTCCAAATACCATCACCTTGGGGGTGAGGTTTCAAAATATCGATTTTGAGGGGACACAAACATTCAGTCTATAGCACTGACTTGCTCTTTCTGCCAATGCTGGCCTGAGTAGATTTCTGCTATATTCAACCAAGAGTCCTAGCTAGTGAATATCTAAACATCTATTCACTTGTTTCTTTTCTTTTTCTCTTTTGAGATGGAGTCTCTCCCTGTTTCCCAGGCTGGAGTGAAGTGGGATGATCTCGGCTCACTGCAACCTCTGCCTCCCGGGTTCAAGCAATTCTCCTGCCTCAGCATCCTGAGTAGCTGGGATTACAGGCACCCACCGCCATACCCGGCTAATTTTTGTATTTTTAGTAGAGACAGGGTTTCTCCCTGTTGCCCAGACTGGTCTCCTGGCCTTGGGTAATCCACCTGCCTTGGCCTCCAGAAGTGCTCAGATTACAGGTGTGAGCCACTACATCGGGCCTAGTCATTTGTTTCTATAAGAAAATAGAGTCTCTTCAGTGAGTGTTTAAAAAAAAAAAAGGGACAATTCCCTCTCTTCTGCAGACAATTATAATGACAGCATTATTAATCACCCACAACTTTATCGGGTTCTTACTCTACACCAGGCACTGTTCTAAGCCCACTCCATGTACTAAATTATTCAATCCTCACAAACACCCTATGAAGTACAGCCACGTGCTACACAGCAACGTTTCAGTCAATGACAAACTGCATATATGACAGTGGTCCTGTAAGATTATAATACCACATTTTTACTGCACCCTTTCTGTCTTTAGCTATGTTTAGATACACAAATACTATTGTGTTACAATTGCCTACAGGATTCAGGACAGTAACATGCTGTGTAGGTTTCTAGCCTAGGAGCAATAGGCTACACCGTATAGCCTAGGTGTGTAGTAGGCTATGCCATCTCGGTTTGTGTAAGTACACTCAGTGATGTTTGCACAACAACAAAATCACCTAATGACACATTGCTCAGATCGGAAGCCCGTTTTTAAGCAATGTGTGACTGTATGTACTATTATTCTCTTCCTTTACGCCAAAGAGAGGCACAGAGATAGATATGGGTTGAATTGTGTCCCCTGGAAAAGATACGTTGATGTCCTAACCCCCCAGTACCTCAGAATGTGACCTTATCTGGATAAAGGGGTATTGCAGACATAATTAGTGGAAATGACGTCATAGTAGAGTTGGGTTCATAACCTATTGTGATTGATGTCCTCATGAGAACAGGAGAGAGAGAGACACGGAGAATGCCATGTGGACAGAGGTCGAGGCTGGGTGAGGCAGCTACAAGTCAAGGACACCAAAGATGGCTGGCAGCCTCCAGAAACCAGGGGAGAGCCTGGGGCAGCTTCTCTCAGAGCCCTCAGAAGGAAACAACACCAACGCCAGTCTCATGTTGGGCTTCTGGCCTCCAGAACTGTGAAAGATTACTTTTCTTTTGTTTCCAGCCACCTGGTCTCTGGTACTTTGGGACGGCAGCCCTAGGCAACAATGTAGAGCTGTTAAGCCATGTGCCCACGGTCACACAGCCAGGTGGGCGACAGAGAGGATGCAGGCCCGGGGAATCTGGCCAGTGTTGATGTTTTGAGCCCCCTTGCTGTGGCAGTGCTGGAGGACTGAGGAGCCGCGAGGAACGTGGAGCCCTCTTCCCCTCTTCCCCTCTGCACCTCTCCTCCTCCCTTCCTCACTCTGGGGCGAAGGCAGGGAGATAAACATTTAACACGTGCGCAGGAAAATCTGGATTGGGCAACTCTGCTGGAGCCCATCCTCCCTCCCAGAAAGGAAGAGCCTGCCTCTGTCGCAGACAGATGGTCACCCAGCGTCTGCCTGAATGCCTGCTGGGAAACAGCGCTGTGCACGGGAGTGCAGAGGGGCTGAGTGCTGGACATGGAATCCTGATTTTGCCTCCCATTGGCTGGGTGACCTTGGCCGAGGAGCCTAACTTCCCCTTGCCTCAGTTTCCTCGTCTATAAAATGAAGACAATGAATCCTACCTCCCAGTGTCATTATGGTAAACGTGGCAGTGAAGGTGACCCCACATGGCCTGAAGCAGGCCCTTAAGGACAAGAGAGAATCAGCAGAGACCCTCCACTCTGTCGGTGCCCTCAGTGAGGGCCACAGGCCAGGGCCACTGGGCTTTTTCTCCACTCATTCCCTCCTTGGTTTTATCTAAGCCAGGCCAACTGTGTGGCATTTCAGGCTGTTAGTATGCACAGCCCTTCCTAAGCTTCCAAGTGGGATGATCTACATGAAAAATTAATTGTGTATTTTTTCCTTTTTTTTTTAAGTGGAGAAATTATTTAGGGCTTTGGGGAAGAGGGGGCAGCTATTTGCTATGCAGCAGCTCGTCCCCTTAGCCCTCACCCCTGCATGTTCAGCAAATGACTCTTCTATTCTCTTCCTGGCAGGTGGTCTCACAGCTACATGTGTTCCGTGCTTGCAGCAGGGTGCTCCAGGGAATGTGACATGGTGATGACTGCTGTTTCTAATTACTGCCCTATCAGGAGGCAGAGGAAGGAGCCAGCCTGGTGGGCCACTGAGGAAACGCTGACGTTCCTGATTGTCGGGTAGCTGGGGCTGGTAGGGCCTGGCTGATGCCTGCCTGGTCACTTGGGAGTGAGGACTTGCCTTTCCCCAAACAAACTCAACATCTGAATGATTGACAAGGGCACAGCAATCAATAAGTCCTTATTTCCTGAGCACCTAGTGTGCTCCTGGTTTTGTGCTAAGCACAGGGGCTGGGGACACAGATGCAAGCAGTAGCAACACACAGCGCCATCCTTTGGGAAACTTACATTATAGCTGGGGGCGAGGGCAAAATAAACAGAGGGAAAAAATAGCTCTATTCATTCACCCAATGGCATTTATTGGGAATGGCCTGATAGTATTTTTAACTATGTATTTACAAATACTATTGTAAAGGACCAGAATGTAAACTCCCACAGGGGAGTTTATAGTGCAATGGGAGAGAGGGACATTAATTAAATAATATCAAAAATATGTTGTTAAAAGCCATGGCCAATTCTATAAAAGTGCAGGGGCTATTCGAGTATAAATGGGGACCTGATTTCTTCTGGGGTTAGAGAAGGATTTCCGGGTGAAGTGCTATAATCTCTAATTGTGGAAATGGAAAAGAAGGTTGGCTTCAGGAAGTGTTTGGAGAGAATTGACAAGCTGTGTGGACAGATATAGGGGTGAAGGAGATAGATGCTAAATATGACTTTCTAGGTGCTGACCAGAATAACAAAATCAAAGGCGCTGCTGTCGGACAGGGCAGTTGGGGTGGAGAGCCAGTTTTGCACGGGAAGCAGCATGGAACATGCTGAGCTCCGCGGACCCACTGATAGACCAGAAGCGCTGTTCGGGGGTGGGGAGGGCTGGGCTGGGGCGAGGGCCTATTTGCTGCTGTGACTCTACAGGAACCAAGACTCTAGGGAAGTGGAGACTGGAGTAAGTTCTGAAGCGTGAGAGCTGCTCATAGTGAAGGCAGTAGATGGGAGATGGGGAACTCGCACTAAAGGAGCCTGCTGTGCTCTGGGTCTGTGTTGGATGCACCACCACCATGTGGGCTCGGCAGCAGCAGGACTCGGGAACCTGCTCCAGGCTTTCCAGAAAGTGTGTGTGTAGGGGATGGGGGGGTGTAAGGTGCATGTGTGTGATGTGTATGTACGTGTGTGGTGGTGGGGGTGTGTGGTCTGTGGGTATATAGTGTGTGAGGTGTGAGGTGTGTGTGGTCTGTGTGTGTGTGTGGTGTCTGCAGTCTGTGGGTACATAGTGTGTATGAGGTGTGTGTGGTCTGTGTGTGCATGGTGCGTGTATGTCTGTGGTGCTGTCATATCGCAGGCAGGAAACAGCTGGACCCCCTGGGACTTGGCCTTGGCCATCAGGAGCAGTGCTTCTCCCCTCTCTCTGGCATCTTCGCTCTCTGGGAGGAATGTGTCTGCTTCCTCTCCCTGTTTCTCTCTGCTGATGCCTTCCTTGCTTCCCCATGGCCCAACTGTGGCTTTTTAGTTCAAGAGTTCAGCATTATTCATCTAATCACTCATTCAATACAAATGTATGTCAGGAGGTATCTTTTGGCACTGGGGATGCAGTGAATATCAAAGCAGAGTCCCTGATCTCAGGAGGTGACATTCCTGTGGAAGAGACAGATATTCAACAGAAAAAGAGATATTTCAGGTGGCAATCCTGCTGTGAGGAAAAAGGAAGCTTAAGGAGGGTCTGGAAAGCAGCTGAGAGGTGTGGGCTGGGGCTGTCTTGGTAACTGCTGACCTGGGAGGCCTCTCTGCCCCAGTGACATCAGAGCAGAGACCCGAAGGATGCAGGTGCAGCAGTGGAAATGGGAGAATCTGGGCAAAGCCCCTGAGGTGGGGCATTGTCTGAGGTGTCCACAGAGCAGCCAGGAGACCCATGTGCTTTGGGTGGAGTGGAGACAGGGAGTCATCGGACATGAATTCCAAGAGATAACACGGGAACGAGTCATGCAAAGCCACAAGAGGTGTGAGACGGGAGTGGTGGAGGGACATGGTGCCACTCACACATAGCTCCGAGCACTGTGTGGAGACAGAAGTTGGGAGGGAGGGTGCAGCCAGGAGAGCAGGTAGGAGACTGTTGCAGCCATCTGCATGACACATGACGATCTGGACTAGGGCAGAAGCTGAGGAGGTGACAGAAAAGGTCAGATTCTGGACACATTTGAAGATTGCGCAGATACAACTGCAGATGGATCTAACTGATTTGCTTCTGGATCTTACAGTTTGACTCATTAAGAAAATCTTAACGGGTCCAGCACAGCCTATGAATTGGCTGACCAGAGGGAGAAGGGTAGGGTCAGGAAGTACAAAGCAGCTCCTCAGGCAAGTGAGTGGGGAAAGACTCCCACATACAGGGCCTGGGTAGTCCCCTGGTTGGCATGTTCCCGTTCTCATGCCTGCCCATTTAGTGATGCTCACCACAGCCTGCAAGGGAGGTTTTTTTTTTCTGAGACAGTGTCTCACTCTGTCACCCAGGCTGGAGTGCAGTGGTGCGATCTCGGCTCACTGCAACCTCTGCCTCCCGGGTTGAAGCAATTCTCCTGCCTCAGCCTTCCAAGTAGCTGGAATTCTAGGCGCCCTCCACCAGGCCCAGCTAATTTTTTGTATTTTTAGTAGAGATGGGGTTTTGCCATGTTGGCCAGGCTGGTCTCGAACTCCTGACCTCAGGTGATCCACCCATATTGGCCTCCCAAAGTGCTGGGATTACAGGCGTGAGCCACCGCGCCCGGCCAAGGGAGGTGTTCTTATTCCAGTTTTCTATTTACGAACCCGGGGCTCAGAGAGGATGAGTGACTTGCCCACGATCACACAGCTGGTGAAATAAAGACTGTATATTTGATCTTGTGGAGTCAGTCTGATTGTAAAGCCTCTGCTGTAACTACAAAGTCAAGGCTGCCTGGCGGGGGGGATAAAGAAATGCCAAAAGAGGTCCGGAGAGAGGCAAGGTCATGGAGGTTCCCACGGGAGCATTTGAGGAAGGAGGAAATGGTTAGCAGCGCCTGTGCTAAAGAGAAGCCAACCGAGGTGAGAAGTGAGGGCTGCCTTTGTCGTTGGCTTTCATGGAGAGCCAACGCCAGGTAAGATGCACATGAGGGCAGGTGGCTGAAGAGGGGCAACAGGGAGAGGGTGTCCAGGAAGGATATGGCGACATGCTCACTCAGAAGGACGCTGCCACCCACTGGCAGTGTGACCTTGGGTCGTTACCCTCTCTGAGCCTCCAACGGCCCCATGATAATGTCAGCTTAAATACATTGTGCGGTATTAAACAAGCACAAAGGTTTATTTCTTGCTCATGCTCATGTTCATGGTGAAGCAGTTGCAGCTCTGCCGCTCCCTGTCATCTTCTCTCTGGCCCTGGCTAACACAGGAGCACCTGTCTGGGTCGCTTGCCATTTCAGTGGCAGAAGGTGGGGTGAGGGGATCATTGGTGACATCCAAATCAATGGGGAAAAGAGTATCCGCTCTCCCTTGGAAGGGCAGTAAATACTCAGATGACAATACAATTGACCCCAGTACCTACCTGCAAGAGTTTTAAAAGAATTTAGTGTGGCATCTTGGCAGTTGGTGAGAGCTCAGCGATGATTGCTGTTACATTATTAACAGGCTACAGTGTCCTGGAAAGCAACTTGCTGGTAGTCCCTAGGAAAAGCTCCAGTGGCTCTCATTAAGTAGTTCGTCACTATGGGGCAGAAGAGGCAGTGGAGCCCGTGGCTTGCTCTGAACGTAAGCCCCATGGTAACCACAGAATTCTGCCCTCAACTCCCCACACTCCTCAGCCGTGGCCTCTGGACTCTGGGCATCTTGTCCTGCTCCTTTGCTGTCTACATCTTCAGAGTTTCTGCCTCCACTTCTCTCTCCACCAGGCACTTCCCTCCTCTTCTTAGAATGTGGTTTGTTTGTTTTTAACAGAAATTTGAGTAGAAACCATTTATAATTGCAGGTTTTGGTTAAGATCTCTAGCTAACCAAGTTGCAATAAAGTAACAATTTCTTACTTTCAAGAGTGCAGAATGAGGAACATTTTTCTTCCATCTTGATTTCTAATAGAAAAAAAAAAAAAAAAAAAGCAAAGCTCAGAGAGGATCTCGGTTCTCCTAAGCCCAGGAGACTCCACTTCGAGTGGGCCCATCATCGTCCCTCTGGGTTGTGTTGAGTGTGTGCCTCCATGCTGTGGTCTGAAGTTAGGTACTGCGTACAAATTCATTTTTTAAAAAACTGAGATGGACGCAGTCTAATTAGGAATTCACGTTGTAAAAGGATGATACTACTGATCCTGACATACCTGTATTTCATCTGGCGTATTTCATCCAGACCCGTGATGGTAGCTGAGAAAGGGCAATTTTACTCACAGGGACTATAACAGCGGGAAGGGAGGGGGAAGCAGTGAAGAGAATAGCTAAGCCAGGAGGTAAGAGGAAGAAGAACCAGTTAGGAGAAGACAGTGCCCATAGTTGGCTTTAATTTTTGCCTGGGCCATAGGCCCAAAGTTAATGATTCCCAAGGCATTTTTTCATTTGATTTTCTAATTTGGACCTCACAATCACCTTGAGAAGTAGAAAGAGCTGATATTATTATCTGTATTTTTATACACAAGGTAAATGAAGGTCAGGGAAATTAAATGATTGAGCTGCAGATACACGGCCAGTAAATGAGAGAGGCCAAATATTTTGACACCTTGCCATGTGTGGTTTTTATTACTCTGAGTAGCCTCTAGAGGGTAAATGTAGGTTTTACAAAATGAGTAGCCGTGATTCCTTTCTTCACTAGGAATTTTCAACATGCTCAAATGATTTTCGTGGGGGATAGACATAAGTAGTAAAAAGCAGGTTTCATAAAAGCTAACTTTTGACTGGAGTTGTAATAACTGCATCAGTTAAGATTAGGTTCACTAGTCCATGCTGCACCATATTCTTACAAACTAAGGTGACGACAAGATTTATTAATATGTGAGTTTTAGGCCAGGTACAGTGGCTCACGCCTGTAATCCCAGCACTTTGGGAGGTCAAGGTGGGAGGATCGCTTGAGCCCAGGAGTTTGAGACCAGCCTGGGGAACATGGCAAAACCCCATCTCTACAAAAAACAAAAAATTAGCTAGGCGAGGTGGCATGTGCCTGTAGCTCCAGCTACTTGTGAGACTGAAGTGGGAGGATCACCTGAGCCTGACAAGGTCAAGGCTGCAGTGAGCTAAGATTGTGCCACTGCACTCCACCCTAGGTGACAGAGTGAGACCCTGTCAAAAAAAAAAAAATTAAATTAAAAAGTGAGTTTTAGATATCAGCTTGTGTTCTTTGGTTGCAAACAACAATAATCAACTTGGGTAAGTTAAGCAGACAAATTTGTTGGAAGTACTTTAGACAGCTCACAGAGTCCAAGGGAAGACAGAAGAATTAGGCTGGGAAAATGATGTCAGTGATCTGGGCAGCTAGAGCTGGTGAGAGGCAGGAACCAGCCAGGGTAGAACCAGGGACTGCCATGAGAATGAATGGGGAGGGTTGGCCTCATCTTGCCTGAGTCACGTGCTCTCCCCTTGGCCAGGTACTCATTGGCAGTTCCACTAAAATGACCCGCAGTCAGCAAAGGAAATCAAAATTTGCAGCTACTAAAAGAGGAGGCGATGGATGCTGGGAAGACAATGACCGCCTTCTACCCACACTACTTGCCTCCATTCAATCCTCCAGGAAAGGAGAGATTTTGCCAGCCCTGGTCCAGGATCTTTTGTGATGTGGAGCGAGGGGGATAAGTTAAAAGAGTTGGGAGTGGGATGACAGAGGAACAAATCAGTCAATACAGAGAGTGACTGCGGAGGAGACACGAGAAAGATCTGTCTCCCTTCTCAGGTGCTGGGGCTGAAGGAAGAATTTGAGGTTTAGAGGATCTCCCAGACAGCATCACGCAGAGAGGAGGCGAGTTGAGATGTGTTGTGCTGAGTTAGGAATCGAATCTCTTTGAATGTACTTTGTGAGCTACAAGTGAAGATGAGCAGTTCCCTTTAATTACATGTGGCCCCTGTATTGTGCAATTTTGAATGTGCACAGACTGATCGTGTAGGACCCTAAATTTTATTAGGGTCATAATGATGTTTAGTGTTTGTCATCAACATTCTTGGGAAGTAAAGGGCTACAGCTAGAAGGGCTTATAGAATGTGGTTGAGTTGATCCATTCTTTCTTTTCTCTGTCCTGGTTCTAGAATTACTCATTTTAGTTTTTCCCCAAGGAGCGTTTAAAATTTGCTCAAACTTTCTTTAAGGAAGCAGAACATGTGACGGCTTTATTTTCTAGAAACTAAGCCGTCACAATTTCTGGTCAGGGGTTAGGATGTACTTAGATGGGCCCTAAATTTCTATTATTGTTGTTCCCTTGTAAATAGCTCATCATTTTTATCATATAATAAGAACTTGAATGTAGTATTTTATAGATAAGAAAATTGAAGCACATGATCTAGCTCATAAAAGTTTAATTAAGCTAGTCTGTAATGTTATTTGGAAGCCAATATTATTATCCTCATAGTAACCAACTTTTGAGTAAGCATTTTACATGCGTAGTAACCCTATGAAGTAGATCTCCTTTTATCTCCACTTAACAAATTAGAAAAGTTACTTGTTTACAGTCACGCAGGTGGTAAGAGGGGGTCCTACACTAGCCCAGCTGATGGCAGAGCCCACACTCTGAATGCCTGCTTAGCACTGGACTGCAGGCAACAATCCAACTATTAATACTCACTGCCCTGGACCCTGACACGACCCCTGACTAGGTCTAGCTGCTAGGAGCACTCATTGACCAGAACCACTATAATATTCAGAACCATCTATTATATTAGAATAATAAAATAACTAAAAAAGAAATCCATTGGTAAATGAATGAATTAGTTTTTGATTAATTAGAGTTTGCTAATTGAAAATCTTTTTGGGGAAGCTATTTACCGTATGTGTTAGGTCTGTGGACATAATAGTGAGATTAAAAAAAAATAAGACCCCAGCCGGGTGCAGTGGCTCACACCTGTAATCCTAGCACTTTGGGAGGCTGAGGCGGGTGGATCACCTGAAGTCAGGAGTTCAAGACTAGCCTGGGCAACATGGTGAAACCCCCGTCTCTACTAAAAATACAAAACTTAGCCAGGTGTGGTAGTCCCAGCAACTCGGGAGGATGGGGCAGTAGAATCAGTTGAACCCGGGAGGTGGAGGTTGCAGTGAGCTGAGATTGCACCATTACACTCCAGCCTGGTCAATAAGAGTGAAACTCCATCTCAAAAAAAAAATATATATATATATATATCCCTGCCTTCAGGGAACTTAGAGTCTGGTGGAAATGTCAGATGATAATCAAATAATTGCAAAACAATAAATAAATAATTACAAATTCTGATGGTGATGGGTTGTTCGAGGTTGAATTACAGTAGCAGTGGCAGGCGGAGAGCAGAGGAATGAAGGGGAAGCATTGAGATGGTTCTGCTTGCTGTCCGTTCAGCAAACGTTTAGTGAAGGTGCTGCAGGTGGCCCACACTGTGTCAGTTGCCATGCGGGATATGAAGATGATACAGGCATAGTCCTTTCTCTCAACGGGGTCCCGAGGGAGGAAACACATACACACAAGTCATGACAAAAACACAAACAGAGATGACAGGATGGCAACGATAATTACAATGGCTTACATTTATTGGCAGAATTTCAAGTACTCCACATGAAATAACTCATTAATTCCTAAAACATCCCCACATGGATGGGGAGAGGGGCTAGAGAGCAGCCAGGCAAGAATACCTCTCAGGTTAGCCTGGGGTGGGAGATAAGGAAACGAAGGCTGGGAGTTCGAGGAAAGGCTAGGAAATGACGACATGGTACAGGAGTCAGAGGACAGAGAGCATCCTTCTGGCTGGAGGAGTGGGGGCAAACTTACTGGAGGAGTGGATGTTTGACGTGGGCCTGGGAGGATGAGGGGGTTGTAGTAGGCAGAGACTGGAGCTGTTGGCAGAGAGAGCAACACTGAGGCGAGCATATGTGGCGAATGTAGGGGGCTGGCCAGGTTCTCTTTGGCAGGCATGCAGGATACACCTCTGTGCTTCGGCCACCTGGAGAACTTTTTACAAATGCAGAGTTCGGGTGTCTACCCCAAGAGAGGGTCAGTAAGTAAGGCTGGGTTGGGCCTGGGAATACCCACGTTTATAAAACACCTGGGTGAGTCTGGCCCTTGGGCAGATATTTGGAGCATTAGTGTGGCACCATGCAGGACAGTAGGGTGATGTGGGGTATGGCCAGATGGCGTGTGGCCTGGGACCCGGGGCTGAGCCGTTTGCTTTGTGAAGTCGGGGGTAGCTGAGAAGGGGCACCATTGGGAGGTGCCTTCTGTCTGCTGAGCTCCTCAGAGAGGAAAGTCTGAAGGCAAGGAGACTCGTTAGTGGCCAGTTAACTGTCCATGCGAGAGGTGCATGGCCTGCGATGGTGGCAGTGGCTGTGGCAAGAGAGCCTGCGTATGTCACTGGGGCAGAGTCAGCAGGACACGGTGAAATGGATGGGGAGGAGACAGAGGGTGGCTGGGGCCACTTCTGGACCAGGTAGCCAGCCTGATACTGTGGCCTCTAGTGAGGTTTCTGCTCCACGAGGGAGGACGAGGGAAGGGTCGTCCTGCCAGAGGCCTGACTTCCTCACAGGATAGGTGTCTGGCCTGAATCTTTCTCTCCTCACTGTGTCTCTAAGAATCCTCCCTGGAGGAAGCTGTCTAAGTATCTTAGAAGCTCAAGCAACATTCCACAAACGTTCTGCCTAAAAGGGACGGATTCTTTAGTTTATAGAATAAGAAAGGGAGGTGGATGCAGGAACAATGATGCCAAGACCAAGACTGAGTTAAGACCTACTAGTTGAGTGGTTTGCTTTGGCTCCAAAACTGAACAGTTTCAGCCAGGTAACAATATCAATGATTAAAACAATAACAGCTATTGGGCATTTTCTATGAGGTGTCTGCTGTGCCAGGAGCTCCATCTACCTCATCTCATTTATCTCTTGAAATAGCCTGGAGGAATATTAACTGGGTTCTTCTTAGCTCCAGTTAACAGATGAAGAAATGGAGGCTTAGAATGACAGAGTAATTTTCTCAAAGTGCCACAGCTCCTGAGTGGCAGAGCCAAGATTCTGCTTAAGCAATGGAGGGATTGCACTGCCTGCGGTGGAATGGTGCTTGAGGGGGACACGAGGAGGAGGCAGAAAGGAAAGAGCCCTGGGTCTGGAGCCAGAGCCGTGTCTTAATCCCAGCCCTGCCATCTCCAGAGTCACTGGATACAAAGCCCAGTTCTCGCCCTTGTAAAATGTAGCACCTGCTCTCTTACCCTCACTGGGAGGCTGTAAAGCTCAACCACAAAGCAGAGGTGTTCATAATGCAGGATGCCCTGCTGTACCTGCTGCCCGTGCAGAGAGGGCCCAGGAGGTGGCCACTTATTAATTTAAGGGAACAGCCTCAACAGCAGGCAGGAGGGACAGTTACACTCAGCCTTGTTCAGCTCGGCAAACCCTGGGGCCAACTTGGTGTCCGAAGTTGTACCTGGAAGGGATCAAAAGATTCTTGGAGACTGGTCCTCATCTGAAGGGGAAGGGGAAGGACAGGAAATAAGTGTGGCAACCCTTCTACATGGCTGTACCAGGACAGTGCACAGGAACAGTGGGAATGGGCAAGACAAGGGAGATGTCCTTTTCCATGAGCCCCAAAACCTGGGAGATGGCTGGGTCGGTAGACTCATTCTGAAAACAACTGAAGGATAGGAATATAATGACAATTGGTAGAATGCATGGGTTTACTAAATACATATCTTGTAAAAGGGAAACATTTTCTTTCCATCAGATAACTGGTTTTTGCTTGGGGCCAACAAAAATTGGATTTAGAGGCATATTGTGGCTCAGTGAAGAAATAACTTTTAGTTTACCTTACCCTTAATACTAACTTGGGGAACAAGCAGATATACCAGTTCTTTTAAGTTGAGGGCGGAGAGAAAAAGAGAAGGAAAATAGCATCTCAGTTGGAATTTGTTTATCTTGAGAACAAACCTTCAAATGTAAAATTCTTCCACCGAGGCAAGATTGTCCTGGGGCACCCGAGCTGTGAAAGAAGGATGTTTATTGATTAAGTTCATGCATTTTACAAGGGGAGAAATGCCCTGTATTGCTCTGAACCTGACTTGCGGCCTAACTGTTTTTTATAGCAAAGTATTTTGTTCTGAAGCCTCACTCCATGTGGCCTGGTGGTCCTCAGCTGCTTCAGGCAAGTACTAAGTATTTTGGTTTCCTAAACTAGACACCAGGAAAATTTAGGGCAAGTTTACAACCTTCTCCTCTGCAGGCTGCCTTCCTCCCGCCCGTCTCTGATCACAGCTTTGAAGAACACTCTGGTTCTGGGGTGGAAGCTTTCTCGCCCAGCCTCTTAGCACCAGATGCAGCATAACCTCCAGGTTGCTGCGGGTGCCTGCCAGGGCTGATTGTTTAATCTTGCACTGTCTGCCTGATATATGACTAGGAGGCTCTGTCAGATGGGGTTTATCTTGCCTCACTAATAAATGCAATAAAGCCTCTGCGTGTCACAGTTTGTAGCACTCAGGGTTGACAAAACGTCAACAAGTCTGTATATCTGGGTCTGCCCATATGGTATTTTTATATTATTTATAGTTTATGTGTGTTTTGTCACTCATCCATCTATCCAACATCAACTGAGCACCTACCATGTGCCAGGCACTGTGCTAGAAGCTGCTTGATATGGTTTCACTGTGTCCCCACCCAAATCTCATCTTGAATTGTAGCTCTCATAATCCCCATGTGTCGTGGGAAGGACCTGCTGGGCAGTAATTGAATCTGGGGGTGGGTTTTTCCCATGCTATTCTTGTGATAGTGAGTAAGTCTCATGAGATCTGATGGTTTTGTAAAGGGCAGTTCCCTTGCACAAGCTCTCTTGCCTGCCACCATGTGAGACGTGACTTTGCTCTTCCTTCACCTTCCACCATGATTGTGATGCCTCCCCAGCCATGTGAAGAACAGACTAATACACTGCTGATATGAAGATAATTAAAAGACACCCCAGTCCTTAAAAGCCCAGGGTCTGGGAGAGAAGACCGGCACATGAACACATAGTCGTAGTTCAGTGTGATAAGTGCAAAGATGGAGGTGAGGGATGTCACAGGAGAAAGTGAATAACTACTCTCAAGGGTCATTCTAGAAGAGGAAGGAGATAGTTTATCTGGTCTTAAGGGACTCCTAAGTGCTCCTGGGGCAGTCCGGGTTGTAAAGCCCTTGGAGATGGGCCGTGCCAACACAGACTGGGAGGGAGGGAAGGAATGCTCGTGGGAAATCTGATGCTGTTGCCAGAAGGAAGGGAACAGGTTGCCAGGCAGGCACAAATGATAGCAGAGTTTTACCTCCTGAATTCCCAGCAAGATCTAAGTTCCTTGAACTTGAAACCTGGGTCTTCAATTCGTCTTGCCTTCCCCATAACAAGGGGTAGCCCGCCTTAAACACCTGCTTCAGGGGCAGCCTGTCTGTCCAGCTGCTGTGCATGGCCAGCTGGGAAGTGGCTGTCAATGCAGGCTGACCTAAGAAGAGACTGAGGAATTGCTCTGGAAGTCCAGCCACCTTTGTCCCTCTTCTTGGCTTTCTCTTTGTGCCCCAAGGATAGCAAGCACCTTGTACCTTTTTCTCAGGGGCTGCCCTCACTGTCTTTCTGACTGGGGGCTGTCACTGCAGTCCTAGCTGGGCTCACTTCCTGAGTGGTCCCTGATCCTCCTCATCTGTTCCAGCCAAACAGGGCTGCATAATGATTCACATCACTTACAGCTAAAACATCTTTAAACAAATGGGAACTGCTGCTATAGGGAGCTTCAGACAGTGCACTTTACATTAATTTTAATGGCAGTGAGCTATATGGCACTCAGCTGAAATTTGTATCTAACAGATGATTTGGTATTTGGAGTTTCCACACTTCATGACTCAAGGCAGACTGAGAAGGAAGGGGGGTTGGAGTGGGAGCACACACAGCTGCTTGGATCATGGACGAAAGACCCCCTAGGAGCAGGGAGGCCTTTGGAAGCAGTGCTCCAAGCTGGTATGGTCCAAGGTCAGTCCAGCGTCACAAATGATCCAATTTACTTAGTACCTCTTCCAGTGGTTTTCTGGCCAAAGGAGAGACCCTGCAGCTGAGGGGAAAGAGTGCCAGACCTGGAATTGGGAAACAGAAAGTCTGGTCCCACTCTGCTGGGAGTTGGCTGAGTCCATTGGGATAAATTACTGTCTATGTCTCAGTTTCCTGATTGGTGAGATGGGTGCTGGCCTACCCTTGAACAGGATTGTGAGGTTTGTCCAGGATGTTAGATGCTCTGAGCTTTATCTGTTTCCTCACCTGTGAGTGAGAGATAGACTCAATCTCTCAGCCCTTCCAGGTCTAAAATCAAATGAGAAATTATGATAAAAATACTGTACTTGTTATTATTACCATTATTCCAAATGGTAAAGTAAAGATTGTGCTAAGGTACTTAATAGCCTGATATTCTCCACTGGCCAGTGCTTAGCGAAGGGAGCGAGGCAATCCAGGACTTATGACTGGTCAGGGCATCTTCCTTGGGGAACAATGTCATGACAGCCTGCTTGGAAAGGAGGACTCCATGGCAAAGGGAATTGTAAAGGAAATTGCCACTATCTCCCCTTACAAGTTACTGAAACTCATTCGACAGCAAAAAAGATACTTTTGCTAAGAAATAGGTTATTGTCATAAAAAAATTAATCTGACTTCTGGCTAGAATAAAAAACAAATCTAAGTTTGAACTGAGGAGAGGTGCAAGGAGGAGCAAGACAAGGCCCCTTGCATTTGCGTTGGGGAGGCGGCCATCTGCGCCTGAAGCATTTAATAGGGGTAAGTTAAATGAGAACACAGTGCAAACACATGCGATTAGGGGGTTGTTTCAAGGTGAGTTGGTGAATGAGTGGCACAGAGTAGCCTGTGGGGGCTAGAACAGAGACATTAGTGGAAGCCAAGTTCATGGAGTCTGAGGTTTAAGAACACACAGTGAGTGGCCAAGACTGCAGCCTTGCTGGTTCCTACAGAAGCAGAGGCCCAGGGTGGCAGATGAAGAAGGGAGGCGGCATACTTCTCGGGAAGGCCATACTTCCTAGGCACCTCCAGAATGTGACCATCGGGGCTTTGTTAAACACAGAGAGGCCATCTCCCCCTACACTGATGCCGTCTTGTAACTCTACTTTGCAGGATTCACTCGGGAACTTGGCAGATTTTGAGATCTCCTAATAAGTCCTTCAAGAAAGAGGCCTCTGGTTTAGGAAAGTCTTTACCAACGATAGGAAAAAATCACCTATTTGTATCATCCAGACTTTCTCCTGGAATGGGCAGGAAGCAGCAGGCATCGTGGAAAGCACACTGAGCTCAAAGTCTGGATGGCCCAAGCTTTGGATCTTGGACAAGCCACTTAAACTTTCAGGTTCTCAGTTTTCATATTTCTATAATGGGGTTAATTCTCACAGTCAGTGTGAGTCTCTGAATCAAAAAGAAATATTCTATGTGGAAGAATTTTGAAACTCTGAAGTTGTTACTGAAAACTGAAAATGTCTGATGCAGCTTCCCCGCTTACTAATTCTTTGAGCCCTGTTTTCTCGTCTGTAAGATGGAGATAATCGATAACAACACCTACTACTCAGGGGCATTTTCAAGGTTAAATGAGGCGATGTGCGTGGAGTGTTCAATATGGTGCCAGGCTCACAGCCTAGAGAATCCAAGTTTGTTCCTCCTCTTTCTCCAGTGGTTCTGCTAAGTTACAAAGCTCAGTCGTAGGGAAAATTTGAAGTTGCCAGCAAAAGTCTCCATTGTAAACACTCTGGTAACTGTCACCTCTGGAGAGGACCTAAGAATTAAAACAGCTTTTGTCCACCTCTTCAGTCCAGCAATTCACAAGCGGACAGACATCTTTACAGAAACAGCTCAAGCCCCTTAGCAAACTCTGTGAGTTTGCAGGCAGCAGCCCACCCTGACCATCCCCTCCTCCTTTCTGGGCCTCTGAAGGCAAACGGGGAGCAGGTAACAAAGGGTGTGAGGCCACCAGTGAGGAACCTCAGGAATCTGCCTCCCATAGGTGGCTCGCTCGGCTCCCGTCCAGGCTAAGGGGGCCCCTGTGTGGTCCGGCAGCTGCATTGCTGAGGACTGAAGGTGATGCCAAGTAGTCCTGCCAGCCCAGAACTCCATGATGAATGGGGTAATTTAGTGTCGCGGGTTCTGTGCTGAGCAGGCAGTAAATCCTTGTTTGTTAGATTGCCGTAAGTACTGGGTAGTGCTTTGCACTGGCTCAGGAAACCTCAAATTATCCAACATCTAAGCTTGATTTGCGTCTCTTTTGGGTGCTTTCTTGAAGTCTTTGAGACTGCCTCTCCTCTGCCTTTTGACAGATTGTTCTGATTCCACCTCCTGGTCCCATTTCCTTCGCCATCGCTCAGCTGGGTTGGCTGCACTCAGAGCTCCACCACAGTCCTTTCTCTCCACAGGCAATGCCACCCACTGCCTTGGCTTCCACCCTCACATCATGCTGATGCTACGTGACTTTCTATCTCCAGTCCCCACTTCTCTCCTGAGCTCCACGTCTGTATTTCCAGTTGCCTGCTAAGATAGGTTCATTTTAATGTCCCATATGACCTCACGCCCAGAGCATCTCAGACCAAACTCATTGTTTATTCCACATTTTGGTAAAACAATTTTTCCTCCTTTATTTCCTGACTTGTTTTATAGCATCATCACTCAACTGGAGATCATTTTTGAAACAACTTCCTTCTCATCTCACCAGTCATCAGGTTAGAAAAAAAAGCCCCCAAACTCATTTCCTTACTATTCATCTTCGACATTGTCACCAGGATTGTATTGTTAAAAATCAGCTCTGTTTCTGTATTAGTCAGAGTTCTCTAAAGGGACAGCACGAATAGGATAGATGAATATATGAAGGGAAGTTTATTAAGTAGTATTGATTCACATGATCACAAGGTGAAGTCCCACAATAGGCCATCTGCAAGCTGAGGAGCAAAGAAGCCAGTCCGAGTCCCAAAACTTCAAAATCAGAGAAATCCACAGTGCAGCCTTCAGCCTGTGGCTGAAGTCCCAAGAGCCCCTGGCAAATCACTGATGTAAGTCCAAGAGTCTAAACGCTGAAGAATGTGGAGTCTGAGGTTCAAGGGCAGGAAGCATTTGGCATGGGAGAAAGATGGAGGCCAGAAGACTCAGCCAGTCTACTCCTTCCATGTTCCTCTGCCTGCTTTTATTCTGGCCACTCTGGCAGCTGATTAGATGGTGCCCACCCAGATTGAGAGTGGGTCTGCCTCTCCCAGTCCATTGACTCAAATATTAATCTCCTTTGGCAACACCCTCACAGACACACCCAAGATCAAGACTTTGCTTCCTTCAATCCAATCAAGTTGACCCTCAAAATTAACCATCATCGTTTCTATCTTTCCATTGCTCAGAAACCTCTTTATGCCCTCCATGGTTTATAGGAGAAAGACTAAGCCCGTTAGTGTGCCTGTCACACTTTGACCTGCATTTCCCACCTGTGCCAGTGTCTCTCAGCCTTTTCCTTGCCCAGTGACAACTGAGGGATCAGTAACAATGACTCGTTACTTTAGTAATACTTACTGAGGATGGGGGGAGGGAGTCTCCTAGTTCGGTATTCAGAATCTGGGATGGAGGCAGGGATAGTAAACATCTTCCCAGAGGGCCTGGCCCATAAGCCCCTCCTGTGTTTGGGACATCTTTCTTGCTACTTCCCCTCATCATCCTGCTCCCTCATGGACTCTGGCAGCTATGTGCCTCTGGCCGTGCTAATCTCTAGGCTTGGGACTTCCTTCCTTTCTACCCTGCTTGTTGCCAGATCTTGCTATATTGAGATGTCTTATAAAGTTGGAAATAAGATTGTTCTCTTGAGAGTTATGCAAGAACAGATCATGTTTTTGCCTGGGCTCCTCTAGAAACCAGAGCCAGAAGCCAAGATTAATGTGCTGCTGCTTTATGGGAGAGGTAGAAGCCAGGGGATGAAGGTGAGGGGAAAAAATGGTGGTGAGAAAAGGGAAGATTGGAAGTGATATGAGGCACTACTCAGCAGCATTGGCCCCACTCCATTGCAAGCCATGGAGACACAACAGGTCACCTGGCAGGCAAGGGTAGCAAGGGGAAACCACATTGCAGGACAGCCCCTGGGAAGGAGAACGAGGAAACTCACCTGCCCAACTCCTTCCCTTCTCTCTGTCCCCGGTTATTTGCCCCACACCAAGTTGACTTCTCTGTGCTTCCAGGTTCATCAGCTAGTCCCTTAGCGGCCACTCAGGGAGCCAGATTCCATACTTTATGGGATCGCATTCCATCCAAGTCTATATGTGGACTGATGACTTGGGTGAATCAGGGCTCAGTGTGTGGAGCATGACATATAGTCCTGGGGATCCCATTTGTCCTGGCAGGTAGGAAAAATACTGCAGCATAGAATGAAAAAATCTATATTAAATATTAAGGTGGCGCTTAAGGCTTTAAAGTAAATGTGTCTGTAGGAGTTTTGTTAGACTATACCCCCAACTTTCTATGGGGCACAGATTTGTTTCTTCCACAAAGGATCTGAGTTGCCTTGGATAAGAGCACAGGCATGTGAAGGCATCTGTAGGAGAGAGAATAAAGAGCTTCCAACCAGGAGGCCTCAGCTGTGATAGACTAAATGTGTTATGTTAGCTGCAGTTGGTGAGCAGTGGAGCCCCAGGAAAAGAAGTGCACGTCCACGCACTAACCAGGAAAGGGAGAGTCTTGACCACAGGCTTACTGATGAGGGCATGCATAATGTGGAGACTGGGTGCAGGAGTGTGCACAGCAAACTAAGTTTTCCCACTGTCTTCACAAGAGCATATCATCATAAATTGTAGGCTGTGAAAGATGTTAAGTTTTCTTCATAGTATCTGTTCATCCTATTTTTATTAATAGTCTTTGATTAATGTTGTGATTCACCCTCCCTCATTCTAAGGCCACATACTTTAGGCATGGTCCCACCCCCAATTCAAGGGCTGGAGCATGGGATAAGCCTAGGCTAGTAAACACTTTTCATTCCCCTGACTATAATGTGTGAATCTTAGGACTTTTGCAGATCTACTAGAAAAGGAACTATGTCCTAACGTAGTTTTGGAGTTTAGAGTGTGATGCTGGAGCAACTGCAGCCACATTGCTGTCATGGTGGAGAGAACTTGTGTGGGGTAGGGCTAACCAAGAGGAACCAGGACAAGAGATATAAAGAGAGGAACTAGATCCCTTTGGGTTCTTATATTAAGTCATGCCTGGGATCAGCTCTGCTTCTGTTTTTCTCAATTGTATGAACGCTTTTTTGCCTAAGCCAGTTGGGTTGGGTTTTTTGTCATTTGCAACCATAAGAATTCTAATGACCACTCGTACATCAGACCATCTAAGCCTAATGGCAATTACATATTTGCTTCCTCTCACTTTCCTTGGTTTCATTTCATTATTATCAAGCTGCCTTCTGATTATTGTTGAATTTCCAAGTGGGTCTTTCCAGAGGGAGTGAGTTTACTGATCACTTATGTTCATAGGCTCTTCTCATCCAAATAACAGGTGTTTTTGTTTACCGTGTGTATGTGTGAGGAAGTAAGTGGGTTTTCTGAGTTTATTATTTGGTTACTGTGAGCCTGATTCTTCAGAGAATGTGAAAACTGGGTTTCTGGTTTAGAAGATTGAGGGGCAGATTCTGGATTGTGGGAAAATTGACCAGAGTGGTAAATACAGCCTCTGGGCCTTTTCCCTTGAAGAAAAACCTGGTATCAATGTGTAGCTATGTGAGTATTTAATATGTTTCACTTCCTTGTCCTTCAAGAACTGTCTGAAATATCTCTTCCTCCTCCTTTTGACGTAGGATTTTTCTCAATCACTTTGCCAGCTGAGAACCTCTAGCCGATGACGACCCACCCCAGGCCTTGCTTAGGCACACCGCCTGACACAGGAGGCACCCTGTTCACTCAGCCCACCCATGCTTAGTCTAGCTTGTGCACTGGCTTAGCCTGTGGCTGGGCCAGGTGTGCCCCAGCCCACCTGTGTTATAGATTGTACTCATGTGCAGTGGTTCCTGACCTCTTGTCCCATGTCCAAGAAGAATGAGAATATGCTGATAATTGAAGGGTGAGGAGGATGGGGAATAATTTTATTGAGTGATGGAACAGCTCTCAGCAGAGAGGGCATGCTGAGAGCTGTTCCAGGGCATGCTGAGAACTGAGGGGGTCCCCCACCCCCACAGTCAGGTGATTTCTGTCTCAGTGTGGCTGAGTCCGGGGCTTTTATGGGCTCAGAATAGGGGAGTGCATGCTGATTGGTTTGTAAGTATGCAGAGAAACGCTAAAGCAAATGCACCACTCAATGTGAGTATGGCAGTATAGAAAACCAATTAGGAAAGGGTAGGTATATGTAAAATAGTTGAAGGGTGGGGATCAATCAGAGGAAAGCATGCCAAATGGGAAGACAGGTTCTTAATCTGGTCCATGGATTTGACTTGTAGCTTGGCTTTCAGGCTTTAAACTGTCTTTGGCTTGGAGGTGGGGTTTTACCAGGTACTTGCCCCATCTGCCTAGACATTTGTCTGCCTCTTGCCACTATCACTTTCATGTTCATTGACTAATTCAGTCAACAATTACTTACCAAGCACTGGGAACACATGGTGAAAAAAACAGGCAAGCAGTGCAGCTATGGAGGGAAAGCTGAGGACCAGTGTCAGGTGGCACAGACCCTGAGCAGTTTGGAGGTCACAGAAGATTAGGGCCTTGGGGTGGGTGGACTGGGCATGGTGTCAGGAGCATCCATGGTTTTGAACTGTGGCAGTTTGTCTGCGGTAGCACGTAGCACAGCAGAGACTAGCTGCCTGGAGACAATTGGCAGAAGCAACAGCCAAGAAAAGCATCCGGATCAGTAGCCTGGGAGAATGAGGTGCACCTGGCATGGTCGACCAACTAGGGCCAGCAGAGTAACAGCAGACAGTGGAGTAGAGTTGTAGACAGAGATTGGAGTGGGGACAGAGACTCTGTAAATGGAAATCACTCTCCCTTCCTTTGGAGATTTTTTTTAAGACACAGGTTCTCTATCACCCAGGCTGGAGTGTAGTGGTGTGGTCTTGGCTTAATGCAGCCTCAACCTCCTGAGCTCAAGCGATCCTCTCACCTCAGCTTCCCAAATAGCTGGGATCATAGGTGCATGCCATGACACCCAGATAACTTTTAAATTTTTGGAGAGACAAAGTCTTGCTATGTTGCCCAAGCTGGTTTCAAACTCCTGATTTCAAGTGATCTTCCTGCCTCAATCTCCAAAAGTGTTGAGATTACAGGCATGAGCTACCACACTCAGCCTTTGGAGCTTCTTAAGGAGACATAAGAAAGCAGGACTGAAATCCTGCACCTTGGTAGGTGGGGGACATTATCTAGAGCAACTATTAAAACAACTTTGCGTATGGTAAGACCTAAGGGATATTTTGCTTTATAATTGTTCCAGTAAAGCAATTCTGTTGATAACTACCAATCTCCTCTGTCCTCTACAGGTATGAGCAGTGCTAAGGTGGTTTCATTCTGGGTCCAAACCTTTCCTTTCTTTGCCTTCTCTTTAGCTGTTTTTTGCTGATGAACCCTAATGACCCATGTCCCTTGCTGGATCCTGCTGCTGAACACTATATTGGTTGCTCCCTTACCTCAAAGTTTGTAGACAGATTGTTGTGTACTCTCAATCTCTCTGTCTGCAACTGTTTACAAAGATTAGGCTTTAATGTACACAGACTTTCTGCCTCAATTGTATAGGCTTAATCAATTTGGCTCCCTTTATTTCTTTTTTATGAGAGCTATTGTCTTCTGATTACAAAAGAAATACATGCCCATTGTAGAACTCAACTGATTTTCTCAGCTTTTATTTTAAATTTGCATTTCCTATGAATGCCCATCTAGGCAATTTGGGAGATGCTGGAGGGGCAACTCTCCTTGAATGCAAATGCATCCTAAGCAGCCTTTGCTGGGGAAAGGGCTTCCGGAGGAAAAGGACTGTTCACAGCTGAGTGCTGTCTGGACAACTCCTTCTCATTGTGCAAACATCCTGCCCCTCTCATTGTTTTCTTTTCCCCCTCTTTTTTCAGCCTGCTTTTAACAACAGCTGGAATTAAAAGGCATTCACTTACTGGAAAATATGGTCTCACCAGGGCTTTGCTATGTACTTCTTTCATGCTTTCCTCTTGGTTAGTTAACATGTGATTTGAAGGGCTAACTCATTTGTATAAAATCTTGTTCATTCGTGTGCTGGTTTAACTGGGTACACTCTTAGGCTTCTGAGTATGCAAGGGTATTACATTTATGTTCACTTGGTCAAAGTAGGAAAAATTAGGTAGTTAAAATCTATTACATGCTACACATTTTCTTTTACTCTCTTCCTCTTCCTGAACCTGTTATGTACTGTAGGGTTCTATACATGAAAACCACCTGTTCTGATAAATGCCAGTGGGGGCAGATAACATTTATGGAACATCCAGTCTGTGTCACTCATGTATCTTCCACCACAACTCTGTGGGGGAAAATGTTGTTCCTAATTTACAAATGTCCCTGTCGTATGGATGAACACACTGGGACTTAGAGAGGTTAAGTACTTGCCCAGGAATTTCAAGTTTGGCCAGTGAAGTTGATGTGACTTTGGATAAGTCCTTTAATACTATTTCAGGGATAAGACCAGAAAAATTGCAACTTGAAGAGAACAAATTAAATTGTTAAACTGCAAAGACCAAAGGTGTTGCTTCTCTGTCCAGATTTTTTTCAGCTCTTTCTCCATTCTATTTTCTTCTCTTAAACAACCCGACTGGCCAGTTGCCAGGGATTGATGTACTGCTGGGTGCACAGCTGTATGTGCATAGACAGGAGAGCTAGAAGAAAGCCTACTGGCTTGGCTGATGGAGGTGACAGCTTGGTAATGGACCTCGGAGAGTATATATATGAATTAAGCACCTTTCATTTCCTTTGCTGCAAAAGCATCAATTAAGCTTGAATAATCTATGGGTTTTCCCCATTTTCAGACAAGAAAATCAGCACAAATTGGCTAGAGTGTCTTTTCCTCTAGGGTTTGGTCATTAATTGTCTTCAGCTCTTTACTTCCCTCGCCATCCCCTCCTTCCCCAAAAAACCAGACAGCCATGTGCTGCCATTTCTGGCATTCACTGCAAACATTTACTAGGCAATTTGTTCCATCTCGAGTATAAGGAAGATGTGCATTCAATGTTTTGAAGGCTGATTCTAGGGAGAATGTGCCAGTCTGTTCAGCTTAAGATTCATGTAGAGCTTATTCGGAGCACCTTTTCCAGGTTGGCCATATTGATTGGCTTTGACCTCACAGTCTGGTCTCTGGCTGGTGCTGTCCTGCACTTGAGCCAAACAGATGTGACTCTGCAGGCCTCCCCATCAGACACGAGACAGAGAAAGCCTCATCTGTCTTTGAAAGGTCTCCCCCAATCCATACTCTTGTTTTGAAATAACACTGGAAATGCTGTGCTGTAAGAATTGATATGGGCAAGCATCTTTCCCTCATCCCAGAGTCCCCTCTTCCAGTGGTTTGGGTGACTCTGGGCTCACCTGATAAGACCGTGGTTGCCTAGAAAGAGGAGCCCCCAAGAGGTCATCCAGCTCCTCCTTTGCTTCCGGGCAGGGAAACACTCAACCTTCCAATGAAACATATCTCCTTTTCTTTCTTTTTTTTTTGTTTAGATGGAGTCTTGCTGTGTCACCCAGGCTGGAGTGTAGTGGCATGATCACTGCAACCTCCACCTCCTGGGTTCAAGCAATTCTGTCTCAGCCTCCCAAGTAGCTGGGACTACAGGCATCCTCCACCGTGCCCAGCTAATTTTTGTATTTTTAGTAGAGACAGGGTTTCACCATATTGGTCAGGCTGGTCTCGAATTCTGACCTCAGGTGATCCACCCACCTCAGCCTCCCAAAGTGCTGGGATTACAGGTGTGAGCCACTGTGCCCAGCCTGTTTTTTTTTTTTTTTTTTTTTTGAGACAGAGTCTCACTATGTTGCTCAAGCTGGAATGCAGTGATGGGATCGTGGCTCACTGCAGCCTTGACCTCCCAGGCTGAAACAATCCTCCCGCCTCAGCCTCCCGGTTATTGGACTACAGTCATGTGCCACCACGCCTGGCTAATTTTTTTGTATTTTTTTGTAGAGACGGGGTTTTGTCATGTTGCCCAGACTTGTCTTGAATTCCTGGGCTCAAGCATTCCACTGCCTCAGCCTCCCAAAGTGCTGGAATTACAGGCGTGAGCCACCGTGCCAGCCTCTCCTTTTAATAAGGGCAGCTATCCACTGAGTGCCAGAAGAGTGGTTCTTTACATGAGCTCTCAGCACAGCTCTGCTGAACAAAGTTAGGCTGAACCATGAAGTTGCTGATGTGCAAATGCATTTGTCCTGCAAAACAGGCAATTTCATGTGGTTTAAACTAATAGGTATTATTAGCCCCATTTTCCAGATGAAGGCATTGAGGCTCAGAGAGATTTAATTTTTTTTCTTTTTTTGAGGCAGAGTTTCACTTTTGTTGCCTAGGCTGGAGTGTGATGGTGCAATCTCGGCTCACCACAACCTCTGCCTCCCGGTTTCAAGCAATTCTCCTGCCTCAGCCTCCTGAGTAGCTGGGATTACAGGTGCCCGCCACCACGCCCAGCTAATTGTTGTATTTTTAGTAGAGACAGGGTTTCTCCATGTTGGCCAGGCTGGCCTCAAATTCCTGACCTCAAGTGATTCGCCCACCTTGGCCTCCCAAAGTGCTGGGATTACAGGCGTGAGCCACTGTACCTGGCCGCGAAGGTTTAACATTTTTTTTCTAGTAAGTAGAAGAGTCAGAGTTTCTACCCAGGGTTGAGTGGTTCTAAGTCCCACTCTTTTCTTTAGTTTTAAAAAAGTCATAAAATTTTTAATCACCCAAATAAGCACAGTATACATAGACATCATATTCATATAGAGTTGAAGTCTTCCTTATTTCCTGTCTCCCAGAGAGGTGCACCACGGCACTTAGGTCTACATCAGCCCCATGCATGACTTACATTATTACTCCAAGTAAATGTACCTGTGGACATGTGATTGCAGTGTTTTTCATTTTTAACTTTTATTTGTGTAAATAAAAAAGTATCTGCGACAGGTCTCAATCAATTTAGAAGTTTGTTTTGCTAAGATTAAGGACGTGCCTGTGATGCAGCCTCAGGAAGTCCTGAAAACATATGCCCAAGGTGGTCAGGCTACATCTTGGTTTTATCATTTTAATAAGACATCAATTAATACATGTGCTCTACACTGGTTCTGTCTGGAAAGGCAGGATAACGTGAAGTGGTGGGGAGAGAGGAGGGCTTCCAGATTATAGGTGGATTCAAAGAGTTCTTGACTGGCAGTTGGTTGAAAGAGTTTATCTAAAGACCTAGAATCAATAGAAAGGAGTATCTGGGTTAAGATAAGGGGTTGTGGAGACCAAGGTTTTTATTATGCAGATGAAGCCTCCAGGTGGCAGGCTTCAGAGAGAATAGATAGTAAATGTTTCTCATCAGACTTAAAAAGGCGCCAGACTCTTAGTTAATTCTCTCCTGGATCAGGAAAAAGATCTGGAAAGGAAAGGGAATATCTACATTTTCCTCATAAGAGACAGCTTTGCAGGGCCATTTCCTTTTAGTGTCTGCTGTCTGTCATGTTGGTACCTTATTGCTACAAACAGTCTGCTTTGTCAGTCTTAAGGCCTCTGTTTTAATGTTAAATGCTGGTCAGCTGTGCCCGAATTCCAAAGGGAGGAGGGTGTAATGAGGCATGTCTGACCCCCACTTCCCATCATGGCCTGAACTAGCTTTTCAGATCAACTTAGGAATGAATGCCCTTGACAGAGAGGAGGGGTTCATCCAATTGGTTGGGAGGCCTAGAATTTTATTTTTGGTTTACAATTGGTATCAGACTGTGATTTACTCTTTTTCCTTCTGTAACTTGTTTTTTACTCAACTTTTATGTCTTAGACATTTCCATGCTTCTGTGTCTAGTTCTAGTTCATTTATTAACTGTGGAATCATGTTTTATTATTTGATAAGCCACATTTTATTTATCCATTTTCTGGTTGATGTGCATTCTGGTTATTTCCAATTTTCCAGTATTACAAATGGTGCTGCAATGAACATGCTTCTATGTGTCTCTGTACACACATTTGAGAATATCTCTAGAAGTGGGATTTCTGGGTCATAGAGCACAAACATCTTCAATTTCATTGATTATTTCTGAATTGCATGCCAAAATGCCCACATCAATCCACACTCCTCTTAGCCACATACGAGTTTTCATTTCTTCGCATGCTCATCACTGCACAGCACTGTTAGAATTTTACATTTTGCTGATTTGATGGTGTAAAATGGCATATCATTGTTGTTTTCCCCATTTCTTTCCCCTACTTTCTTTAATGAATTTAGAAGAAGAGCTGCCACAGTCTGCAAAGATGTTTCTGTGTGCTGATTTGTTTCCTAGGAAGGGAGAAGGAGGAACACTGGGTATAGGTTGTATTGAACAGCCATGTGGTTTTTTGCTCTGTACCATGGATGCTTGAGGTGCATAGCACCCAGTGATGCTGACCACCCCTCTTATGCTGGAAGAATTTCCCATATCATGTGTCCTGCCTCCCTAGGTAGAAATCAGAAACTCACTTCACCAGCCGCCCAAGGAACAGGATTTTAAGCAGAGCTTATGACCTGCAAGCAGACATACCCACATAAAACAAATGTGGAACCTGAAGAATGAGGTGCTGTATTGTACGGGTCTAGTTTGGAGAAGGGATAGAGAGACATCTACTTTCGGAGGCCACAGTGGTGGAGCTCCTGAAGGTGGCATCCTGGAGCCATGCTCAGCTATGATAGCTGCTGTGATGGTGTGTTCCCTGGAGCAGTCTAGAGTGCAACTGCGCCATTCCAGAAGCAAGCCTTCTTCCCTGACCCTCTTAGATATTCTCTGAGCTGTCCTTTATTCAATGCCTTTCTGCTTAAACTGGAGGGCATTCTGTTTGTGACCAAGAACCCCATCCAAACTCTCCTTTATTGAGGTCTTTATATTTGCCAGCGTTTCCCACACAATCTCTAAGTATGTCTTAGAGATAAGAGGAGATACAGCAGATGTCTCTCTACCCCTCCTCCAGACTAGAACCCACACGGCACCTCATTCTTCATGTTCCAAATTTGTTTTATGTCATATGTCTGCTTTACAGGTCTTGTGGAGTACTTGTTAGAGATTCGTGTGGGAGACACTGGCAAATATAAAGACCTCAAAGAGTGAGAGTTTGGTTGGAGTTCTTGGTCACAAACAACAGAATCCACTCCGGTTTAAGCAGAAAGACATTGAATAATACTCCACAAAGCAGATATTATTAGCCATTTTAGAGATGAGGAAACCAAGACACCAGGGTAACTTGCCCAAGGCCATGTGGCTAGCGGGTGTTGGAGCTGGGTTTGAACCCAACCCCAACTGACTGCAGACCCCATCAGATGGAGCTTGCCTCCTCCCACCTCTGGTTGCTCACCTGCACGTCACTGCTTTTTCTACTTTATAGCACTTATTGCAGCCTAGGGTTATCTTATTTATTGGCTTACTTGTTTTCTGTCTCTTGCAATTAACATATCAGTTGCATAGAGACCAAAGACCAGACCTTGTTCACAATTGTACCTCCAGTCTTGATATCATACTTACCACAGCAGGCATTCAGTAAATATTTGTTGGATGAGTAAATGAATTGAACCAATCTACCATGGATTTCCTTGGGGGAGATAACCCTACTTAGCATTTCTGTTAAACTCAAAAACATGTTCAGTACTTTAACATGTGTTTTATTCATTCAATAGTAACAGATTATGAGGTCTCATGCCTCTTAGAATCCTAAGCTGTGTCTATTGCCTGTTTGTCCTGTATTTCCTAGAGATTGTAAGTCCTTCCAATGTCTGTTCAAATGTGCTGCCGTGCTTGTCCCCGGGGTCTGCATCCCCACAGCCCAGATAGTTCCAGGGTCTCTGGGGGCCAAATGACAGCCCGTGACAGAGCTGGACAGGAGTAGAGCCACTCAGTCGATACCCTTCACTAACTGCATGTCTTCCAAAGTTCCGTTCTGGACGGAATGTTGGCCCTTGAATTTGGGTAAGTTATAGAACCAGAATAGTCTCAGCTTTTCACCTGTGGGAGATGCGGGGCCAAGTGGCCTACTGAATCCATTGAACACCTGGCAGGCGTTCCCACCTTGCAGCCATTCTGTTTCTAATCCTTTCATTTCAGTTCAAACCCTCAAACCTCTTACCCTTATGTCCTTTCCCATAAATTCTCCATTCTATATTCTTTTGGACCAGTGTTTCATGATCACTGTTTTACAAATGAATAAAGACCAAACATAATGGCTTTGTGCCCAATTCCTCCTCCAACAAATTCCTTGAAGATGGCCATTTTGAGTTGTTTCTTCTCTTTCTCTTTTGTTCTCTGTTTCTCACTCTTAAGGTCCAGAGTAGAGAATTGTTAATTAGTTCCCAGAATAACCAGGATTGTAAGACCCAGCTCTATTTCCCTCTTCTTAAATCCACCCAGACAGGTAAATCCTGATCCTGGGACACATTTAATGGGTATAGAGAACTTTGGGGGAAAGGTGCCATGAAAAGCAAAGAAATACTGATGGTATCTATCGATGTTTGTTTTCCCTAAACTGTTATATGGCAGACTACCTGATGGGATGGAAAGAATGCATGCCTGTGGCATTTTCCAGGCCCATTTGAATCCCAGTTCCTCCACTTACTGGCTATGTGACCTCAGACAAGTTGCCTAACCTAAACCTGTTTTAAGATTCAGTTTCCTCATTTGGGAATAACCCTTGTGGGGTTGCAGTGCAGTTTAGAGATAATGTGAAAAAATTACTCAAAGAGCAGGCACTGCTCTTACCAAAGCTAGGTCAGGGCCTGACTTGGGGCACCCTCCATTCCTTGCTCACTGCCCTGCCCAACGCATACATACACACACCACACCTCACACACCTCACACACAAACACAACACTATACCATACAAACACATACACGCTGCACACACACTACACATTCCATACACACACCATACACACACACAGAAACACACTATACCATACAAACACATACACACTGCACACACACTACACATTCCATACACACACCATACACACACACACACCTCACACACGCACATACACACTATACCATACAAAAACATACACACTGCACACACACCACACATTCCATACACACACCAGACACAGACACAAACACAAAACTATACCATACAAACACGTACACACTGCACACACACTACACATTCCATACACACACCATACACACACACACAAACACTATACCATACAAACACATACACACTGTACACACACTACACATTCCATACACACACCATACACACCACACACACCACACACACCTAACACAAACACAACACTGTGCCACACACATACGCACTGCACACAAATACACACCATACACACACCACACACAGAGTATACACAGCATACCACACACACATACCCCACACACCACACACACACCCCCCACACACAGACACACTATACTATACAAACACATACACATAAACACTGCACACACACCACACACATTCCATAAACATACCGTACACACTGCACACACCATACACACCTCACACCTCACACCCTCACACACAAATACACTATACCACACACACACACACTGCACACACCACACACACACCATACACACCACACACATGCACTATACATACATACCACACACACACGCCACACACACCCACACCTCACACACAAACATACTATACCATACAAGCACATACACATACACACTGAACACACACCACACACACACTATACACACATAACCCCCACACCACACAATCTCACACACAAACACAATACCATACAAACACATACACATACACACTGCACACACACCACACACACCATACACATCACACACACCATACACATACCACACACACTATACACACATACCATACACACATACCCCCCACCCTCCCCACACACAAACACAACACTATACCATACAGACACATACACATACTGCATACGTACCACACACACACACCACACACACCGTACACACCACACATGATACACACATACCATAAATACATACCATACACACACACACCCCACACACCATACACACCTTACACACAAACACAACACTACACCACACAGACCACATGCACACACCATACACACACAACACACACATGCATGATACACATATACTATGCACACCACATACACACCACACACACACAAACACATACACATACCACACACATACATGCACACACACCACACACATCCACACACCCACATACCACACACATACACACAAACACACATGTACACACATGCCACACACATACGCAATGCCACAGTAAACACAAACATAAACACACCACGCACATAAATACTGCACTCATACCACACACGTATACTACATATAAATACACACACTACATACAGACACACATCACACATACCACACACCATGCACACACACACATTACACCACATAAACACAAACATAGACACACCACATACATACACACTGCACACATGTACATACACCACACACATACCACACATACGCACTGCCAAAATATACACACATGCACATATCATACACACATATATTATACATATATCACAGACCTCACACAAACATACAACGTGACACCAGACAAACACAAACATATACACATCACACACACACACACACACACACACACACACACACTCTTTAGGACCCTTTCTCATCCTCCCAGCTGACCTAGTGAGAAAGGAGAATCTCTGCTATGCTTTGAACATCTTAAAGGCCATGTTGATTTCACTTAGAGAAAAAGGGATGCAATTTCGCCATTCCACTGGGGAGGTTCGAGGAAGTAAATGCAGGGAAAGAACAAAGTTACAATTTGGGGAGAGTTTAAAAAAAGGCTCATAAAAAACCCATCACTTTTTGGTTGTAGTTCTGGCAAAAGGATCTTGAGGAACAGCAGGTCAAAACTATTGCCTCAAAACACGTAAGGATTTGGGGTGATGATTTGTCTCTTCTTTTCACAGCTAGATTAAAGTTGACTCCTGTTTTCCTTGGATGGGCTTGCTGGGAGAGATAAGCACACACTAGCAGCATCACCTTCAAATTGCACGAGCATTCTTTTCTTCAGAATGCCTTGAGTGCATATTATGTGATGACAGAGCAGCTCTTGGGATGCGTCAAAGCTGACAGCCATCTGCACTTGTTAAGCCCCTCGAGCTTTGGCAAAATAGCAATTTGTTTAGATTCATATTGAATTATGCTTTTGGACCAGTCACTAACCAGGCAACGTAAAAAATATACAGAGTCTTTTTACAGGTGTATTTCATTCCATGTAGTGATCTTTGGGGTGGAGGCAGGATGAACCGGAGCACACCCTTTTCCAAGGAGAGAATTTAATTTCTTGAGTACTACTGGGCTCAGCACCTTACCACATTCTCTTATGACAGCCATGGAAATTAGATGCTGTTATTCTCCCCGTTTTGCAGATGAAAAAACTGAGTCAAGTAGCCTCCTCGGGTACTCAGAGTACCCGAGTCAGGACTCAAACCCAGGCAGTTCAACTCCAGAACCTGTGCTCCCACCTACTGAGGTATAAGGATGCCATCCAGCACAGCGATGCTGGACCTTACTGTCATTAAGGGGCAAGGTCAAAGACACACCATCAGGAGAAATAAGCTTCCTCATAGGAGACTGGACTGCATTTTCTATAAGGAAAATTAATGTTCATGTTGGAGAAACATGAACATTAATTCCTAGACAAAGCAGTGAGAAAATCAGCTGTGAGGCTCGCTGGTGGGAATAAGCTGGGGTGTGGGCTCTGTCTCTGCTCTCACTCTCGGTGCCTGAGTGATTCTTACTGGGATTAGTTGGTGCTTTGGCTGGAAAAAGACCGTCTCAACCCTTGTTGGATGTTTGGCATCCCTGGCCCTGCAGCACTAAATGCCAATAGTGTGCCCCAGTCACTGTGGCTGTCCCCAACACTCCCTCCATTTCCAAATCTTCCCACTCTACTTGGGAACCAGCCAGAGGACATGAGATGCTGGAGTCGGAGGAGGTGGGAAGGGAGGGGACAGCACCCCTCCTCTGTGTTTGTGGAAAGGGGTGGAGTTTCCACTGTAAAGAGGAGGGCTGGGTGGGGCACCTGAAGGAGAGGGGCTGCATGAAAACGGTAGAGACTGAGAAGGGGAGAGAGATGGAGATCTGGGGAAAGGAAGCTTTGTTTGAAGGCTCAAGCTTAGGAAGCCTCTCCTTTCTAAGTTAAAGTAATAGTCATTCTGCTTTCTCATGGCCTGCTGCTCTCAGAGATTATAGTATGCTCTGGGCTTGACCTGGGAAAGGTCCAGTAGCCAGAAAGTACTCTGGGAAGGGACCACAGTGCTTCTGAACCACCTTGCAGTGGCTCTAGCCAAGAAGGGACTGGAGGCAGCCCTCTTCACCTCATAAGGGCTCTGGGGGCCTGCTGTGGCACAGAGGACACCTCCAAGAGTGGGGCGTGGCAGAGCTGCAACACTGACACGAGGGATTTAGGAAGGTGCTCCATTTGGGAGGGCATTTCAGAGAGAAAGCCACACTTAACCTTGAGTTATATGCAGTGCAGTATGAGCTTACCAGGCGAATTCAAACCCCTCACCTTGTGTAGGATATACCAGGAGAAGTTGACCATGGAGGTGCTATGCAAACCTGTGTCTTTTCTCATGTAAATTTTAAAGAAAATCAGTCATTCCTCAAGAAAGAAGGCAGGTGTGGGGCCCACATGGTGTGGTAGGGTGGTGGATGGACTCAGCTAAGCCTGCTGCTCCTGGGCCACGGTGAGAAACCAGCTGTGGTGACTGGGTGGGTTAGGCGCCTTCCCACAGCCTGCTGCTCAGGTGGTGCAGGGCAGCTACGGGCTGGTAGTGACGCCCTGGATATGAAATCCGTGAGTGTGTGCGGGAACTGTGGCTGACCATCCTAAGGAGGTGCTGCAGGGAGGGAAAGCACCGGGGACAGAGCCATAAAGGAGGGAACGTGGATTGGAGGAGCCAGGAGCAAGGGAGGTTTATAGCTCAAGGCGGCAGATGCACTGGCCCCAATGAACAGCAGCTCAGAAGCAGCGCAGATAAACAGGCATGGCTAGGCCCTAGGCAGGGGATACTGCATTTACTTTTGCATAAATTCATGAAGTAGTTATATGCTTTTGACTGGAAACAATAGGAGGCCCAGTGAAAACAAAGAGACTTAGCAATCCAGGCTTTTTAGGATTGGATGCTTGCTTGAGATGCCTAAGCACATAGAAGACACTCGGATGCCCCTGGGGTCAAAGTGTCTACTGGATGTAGACTTACAAGGGCCACGGCAATGGAGGATGGTGGGGGAAGTGATCCCCGGGAAAAGTCAGCTGCGGGTACACCTGCCCTCCCTCTCACCACACCAGGCACCTTCTTCAAGTTTGAGTCCCTAAGTAATTTCTTAAATCCGACCTAACCAAAATCCAGTCCCCATGCAATCCAGACATTTGAACACTCAGTGCTGCAGAGCTCTGTCCTTACTTCTTTTGTCCATCTCTACCCACTGCCCTGGAGACCTTGGTGATCTTTTCTGGTCTCACAGTTTTGATTACCTTCTATTTGCTGAGGACTCCCAAGTTCCATCTTCAGGCTGGATCTACTCAGCAACCTCACTAGATGTCCACTGGATTTCTCAAACTTGACACATCCAATGGAAACCTCTGATCTTTTCCCAGAACCCCCACATGACTTGCGGCTGTCTCCATTTCAGCTGATGGCCACTGTGTGACCTGGTGGTCAGTCATCCTTGATTCCTCTTTCTCACACCCGTATCTGACACGTCGGCACGCCCTGCTGATGCTTCCTTCAACATCTCACTTGGGCTCCCAGCACTTCTCATCACCTCCACTGCTCCATTCCTGGTCCACATTGTCATCAGCCGCTACGTAAATATGGCGATGGCCTCCTAACTGTGTTCTCTATTTCCCCCTTTGCCCCTTGCAGGCTAATCTCAACACAGGTGCTGGAGTGGTCCGATTAAAGTATAAATCAGGTCATGGCGCTCAAACCCTCTGCTCAAAACCCTCCAATGGTTCCCCATTTCACTCAAAGTAAAACCCAAAGTCCTCACAATGGCATTACATGCTCTGCCTATTTTGGCTATGATGACTTCTCTGACCTCGCCTTCTTGTATGACTCCTGTCATTCCCTCTGTTCCAGCTACGTTCCTGTCTTCCCACATACTGTGGCCCCCTCAGGGCCCATGTGCTGGCTGCTCCTCTGGCTAGAATGCGTCTTCCCTACATATCTGCATGGCTCTCTCCCTCACGCTTTAAAAATCTTTGCTGAAACATCATATTTTTAGCCAGGCCCACCCTGACCACCCTAGAGGGCAAACAGATTTTCCCTGATCCCTAATCCTTCTTATCCTCTTTACCTTACTATATATTTTCCACAGCAGTTTCCACCAGTATCTAACATACCCAATCATGTATTTATTTCATACATTTAGGCTCTTTTTCCTCACAGGGACATAAGCTCCATAAGAGCAGAGGTTTTTGTCTGACTTGTCTAGTGGTGTAGCTCTAGTATTTAAAACAGTGCCAATAGGAGCTTAATACATATTGTTGAATGAAATATTCCCCTTAAGTTGGAATTCCTTGGGGGGAAAGGAGCTCTAGGGATCTCACCGAAGCGCTTTCTGATGCATCTCATGTTTCTACTTGCTAGCCCTTCTTTCAGTATGGTTGCTTTCCATTTAATCTTTGGGCAGCCATGGCATCTGAGATTCTAAGTACCCTCCTCACAGCCTCGCCTGTTTTCTCTGCTTTCCAGATGAGGTTGTGCTGATCTGGTGAACTGCCCTTTGGAGCTCACCTTAGCCAGGTCATACCGCCACTCTGGGAACCCTGGAATGTTATTTGTTAGTACGGGCTTTCTGGGCCTCCTGGGTCCCTTACCCAAGCCCTGACCTGAGAGTCCGTGAAACTGAATCCCTCCTGTCTCTGAGTGGGACTCCGGGTGCACATTCCTAGTTCTCCTAGAGTGTGGCTCTGCTTTTTTTTTCCCCTCTGAGCCAGAAGCTTGGAAACAGAGAGGTAACGAAATGGATGAGAAATAGGGAGTACATTTGAGGACACTTAAATACAACCAGGCAAGAAAGTTAAAGAATTTCTTCAAGGCTGGGGATGAAAATTGCTGTGTGTTCATTTAATGAAAATGACATAGAAGAGCCAGTGTTCAGACAAAAAATAATTCAGAGATTCTAAAAGTTAGAATTTATCAGTATGCTGAGAAGTCTTTAAAATTCTAATAAGCTTTCAACATTTGTGCCGTTTGCTGGGCTTAAAGAAACACAAGGAACAAAGAACAAGAATTTCCTCTTAGGTAGGACGATGATGTCTAATGCATCTATTTCCCTTGCTACATTCTATTTCCATTTCATTCTGAGATCCTGCTAAATTCGGAAGGTTGCCCTTGGGTTTTCAACACTGCAGGGGATGATTTAAATCTAAATAATAATAAAAAGCCACTGCTTTTATTGTACTTTTATTTTATAAGTTGATGGAAACATTTCATATACACATTAAGTTTTGTAACCCAATCTTGGTACTTGCTGGGTCCCGGAGGGGCTGTTTCACTACTTGGGACTTCCCTTGTGTTTGCATTATCCCTCCAAGGCAGAAGGAGAAAATGCTTTCACTGAAGCCAGAATAGTGTTTTATTTGAAATAATTCTCATTTAAGGCAAGGCACACACATTCCAAGTGCACATACATGCACACACAGTCTCTCTTATATGGGCTGCATCATAAAATCACAGAGTTTTGGAATTGAAGGGACCTTAGAGATCATCTGTTCTAACACCAGCATGTTACCTATGAGGAAGCTTCTGCCAGACAGGTTAAGTACCTCATCCAAGGTCACAGGCATGTAGTGAAAGAGACCAGGCTACAATTCAGATTCCCTGACTCAAGTCTAATTTTCTTTCTGCTACACCATATTGACTCCAAAATAAGATAATGTATATGAAATCACTTTGAAAACTGAAATGTATTACACAGGTATTCAGTGTGGAGAAGGAGAATTACAATGAGCTTGCTTTCTTCAGAGGTGAGCATGACTTGCTCAGGTCTCTTCCCGGATAAAGTAAGTTCATGGTGTGTGAATCATGAACCGTATTTCTAATTAGGTTTCTGGGTATGGCCTCCAGAAAATGAGCATCAAAGGGGTCAAACCAAAACACAGTCTTCATTCAAGTCCAGCTCGTGTATAGCTCTACTTTTTCTTCCTTCTCACCCTCTCTGTCTGCCTCCCTCTAGTGTCCACCTTTAGTTATTGCATGTGTGCCCCGCAGAAAGGCTGCATGCAGACTACTATCCACCATGTTCACCATTATTTGTTCAAATTACCCCCCTATTTCTTGATATCAGTAGCTGTCATCACGACCAAATTAGGATGCTTTTTATATCAACAGGAATAAATGACTAATATAAAGACCTGGATATTAAGAAAAGTATTTAAAATCGTTTTGTGATTGGAATGATAACACATTCAAAGTTTGGTAATTAAATTGTCTTTAATAGACTTAAATCACATAAGAAGCCCTTATAATTAATTGAAATGTTTTAATTACAAACATAATTATTTTTAAGGTAGAAGGCCTATTAAATTAACTAACACATGATTCATTAAAAAAATTACTGCTTTACATGGAATGCTGTCAATTACTAAATATTATTGCAAATTACTTGAAGGATTAAAATTTTATTTTGGTACTATTAATAGATTAATGTATTAAATCATATAGTGATTATAAATAATATTTAATTAGTCCTATGTTGCCTTCTTTAATATATAGACATATCTATATATCTATATTTATCCCTCAGTCATTGTAACGTGTTCCCTTGAAAGAAACATGTCTAACTTCATATTCTAACTAGGATCCTTGTTAATGTGTAAAATATTGACAAGAACACTCACAACTCATTGGTAGGAGATTCTTTGGTAGCGTTGCCTAAATGCTCTGGATCAAGTAGAACAAATTGGCTGCTAACAAAGCCTGTAAACTATGGATCCCATTTCCTGATCTTAAAAGATCCATTCAAAAGTCTGAACGACATTTACAAGTAAGAGCCTTCCACCATGTTCCCAGCTCTTTTCAGCCTGTGACAAATAGGTCAACGTGCACAGTGAGAAGGGGAACTGTGCATTGTTCTCCTGCCTCATTTCTTGAGTTGGCTGTACCTCCTGCCTTGATCCTTCACCTGTCCCTCCACACTCCTCATTGTCTAGAGATGCACACATGATGCCAAGCACACCCGTGCACACGCACGGGCACACATGCACTCTGAAGGCCAAAAGGCAAGAAGTCATTCAGTTGGATGGCTGTAGCTGGGTCTCAGAGGAGACGGTGTGCAGCTGGAAGCGCCATGCTTGCTGGTTTACTTGCTGCTCAGCAATATGGAGTGCTTTGCCAACAGACTCCTACTGCTTCTTCCCCTCTTGAGGAGAAACTGTCAAACAACACGAGGATAAAAATTAAGCTACAAATAAAAATGTTTACAGCTTTCAATAGAAAGTCAATCCTATTTTAACACTCCAAAAGTATTCTCCAAAAAGTTCAATGACACAAATTGCGAGGGTGATTTATTGCCGGGTGAATGAAATGACCAGATGCCCGCAATCTGAATGGGGCTTTTCAGGGATGCTTTCGGGAGGAGTTTCACTGGACCTCTGAGGTAGGAAGTTGGGGGTGAGTATTGTTTCCACTGCCTATACTTTTTCCTTTACCTTCTTCTGGCGACAGACCTCTCCTTCCTCCCTGTTGGGTGCATGTGTGACCCAGAAGAGACCAGTCACAGCTGCTCTTCCCCAGCCACAGGGGTGAGTCCAGGGACAGACACAAAGCAAGGCAGAGTCCTTCCCCGAAACTGTGCTTTCTTCATGAGTCTATAAGGGCGCAAGTCCAGATCTCTGGTAGCGAAGGAAGCAGTCTTTTAAGGATGTGCAGACCAAGGGAAGAGGCAGGAGTGGCTGCCTAAGAAAGAATGCCCCAGTGCCACCGTCCCCAGGGCCAGTTGCACCCATATTCTTTCTTTGCAGCTTAGGATTCTCTCCCCTTTTTGGCATAAGTTAACTTGAATAGAGTTGCTGTTACTTGCAAGTGAAAGAACCTTAAATAATACAGAAATGACTCCAAGATTTAGGTCAGAAGACACATTAGTGAGGCAGCAGTTGCAAGTGACAAAATTCCGTCTTCAATTAGTTTAAGCATAAAAAATAAAGGATTGGCTTGAGGAACAGAAATGTTCAGGAAAGCCTTCAATTTAGGTTTCCCTGATTCAAGCACTCAGACGATATCTTCAGGATCCCACTGAAGGCGTTCTGGAAATGCCAGCCCCAAATATGCCACTGTGGTGTGCTGATGACTTTGAAGTCAGGGGACTTGGGAAACAGTGATGCAGGCAGAGACTTTCTCTGAGCCCCTTTATCTGCCTAAAGACGGATCCTCCGAAAGGAACTCAATTGTCATGAATCCCCTCCTGGGAATCTTCTCAACTGGGGAAGATTAACTCAGCTCACAGGAAAGAAGAATAGAGGTTGGCACCAGCCCAGGCAGATTGTCACCTCTGCTCCTGAGACAATATTTGTTACCGGAGAGACTTTTATCTGCATAACAAGACAGCCTTTATTCGCACAAATTTCCTCCCCTCACGCTCCCATAACTTGTGTCCCCACCACCCCCCAAAGCCCCAAGCCCCTATTCCTTTCTGTAGCTCAGGATGCTGCATAAGCTTCAATCACTTGGCCCGTCTTCAAGGTTTATTCTGCAGGACTGCCATGCATATGTATATAATTAAACGTGGCTTTTCTCCTGTTACGCTGTCTTATGTCAATTTAATTCATAGCCTAGCCGATGAACCTAGAAGAGTAGAAAGAAACCACTTTTCGCTCCCCTGCACCACTTTTTCTCCAACCCTCTGCTCCGTCTGTCTTCCCCAGTGTTAGTTTTCTTCCCAGGGTGGCTCTCTGGCTTTCTCTGCACATGGTAAATATCTGCCACGTTGCACCCCGCCCCACCTGAGGAACTTCGCGCTTGCAAGGTTCTTAGTTCCCACAAAGCAGAAGGAAAATTCCCCTCCCTCCCCTGACACCCACATCACCCCCAAAGTGAACCAATCACTGAGTCCAGAGGTGTGGGTGCTCCACTTGGTCAGACATGCTCTGGGCCTGACCTGGAGGTGGAGCTACTTTCTCACTGCACAAGCAGGATTTTTGCCATAGAAATGGGAAAAGGATGACCCCCACTGACCCCCACCTCTTTGGGAGAAGATAAAACTTGTGGTAAAGGGAAGATTGAACATAGAATACAAGGAACAGGCAAAGCAGATCAGAAACTATGAAGCAGCAACAGAGGCGGCCGGAAGATAACATGTCAGGCATGCAACCCACTGGCTGCTGAGACACCGGACATCCACAGAGCGTCTGCTGTGCGCGCAGGGCAGCACCAAAACACTGCACGTTTTGGTTGCTGAGCCATCTCCTGAAAGGGAATCAGTGCAGGCAGCTGGCAAAGCAGTTCAAGGTGGTCAAGGGGCGGATGGCAAAGAGGAGGACAAGGTGAACAGCACCAACCAGCCATCCTACATCTGCTCAGCTGGGGTGGCGGCATCCTCCTGGGCACATAGGATGTGAAATCTGCTGGTGGCGTTTTGTTTTTCTCTCCCTTTTGTTTGTTTAATTGACAAGAGTATGTTTCTCTTTCTCTTGGCTTGACTATCGTGAGAAAGGAGGGCGGGCTCAATTAGCTGTAGATGCCTTTCCTGGAGGCCTAGGAGCTGTTTAAAAAGGCACAGGTGTGTGGTGGCTACACGGTATCACCTGGGATTTACTCCCATAAATGGGTCAGGTGTAAAAGAACGGCCGTTAATTAATGCTGATGAGCTGAAGATGCATTGCTTACCCTGACTGCTCAGCATGGAATGTGTGAGTTAATTCCAGGAAATCTAATTACTGAAGTTTCTAGTTTGCCTCTCCCTTCCCTGCGATGCTAGCATTTGAAGCATTGAAAGCATCTTTAGGGAGCCTGGGTGTTACTTTAGACTCATCTCTCCTCCCTGCAGTGTGTGGCCTTGGAGAAATGGGTTGGCAAGAAATCCCAGCCTGAGAATTGAATTAAAGGGAAAGGAGATGCCTGGCTTCAGAGGAGAGCTATGATTTTGGGGGTAAAGGAGATAATCTCTTTTTCATAGGAAGGACTTTGCCCTTGGTGGGACCCAAAAGCAGAAAGAGATTCAGAGGTTGGTCTGGTTAGCTGTGGAAGTCATTGGCAGGGCAATAAATCCATCCCAGCTGAGAAAACTGTTTACGTACAGAACCAAACCAAGCAAGTCGGGCCTTAATAGGCTAAAGCTGGTTGGCTGCTTCCAATCCTGAATTTGGTTCTATCCTCCAAATATTGATTTAAAGCACTTTTGATTTCACAAACTCCTTTCAAACCTGGATCAGGAGATGGTATAACCTTGGCTGTAAGCAGGTGGAAAGGCAGATGGAATGAGGAGGGCACAAGGAGTCAGTGAGGGTTTAGCTCCATTCTCCAGGTACTATATTCTTGCAAGGGGGCTGCCATGTACATAAAGTGGCCCTGGGACTTTAGAGCACTGCCTTTAAACTGGCATCAGCTGGAGATGCTAGAGGAGTAGAAGACAGGTTCTTACCCTTCTGGAGGAAACAAGCAACAAATAACAAACCACGGCAAGAATATCTAGAAATGTTCCTATTAACTGGGATAAGAGCAACTATCAGTTAATGCAGCCTAGGTAGCCCAGCAAGGGACTTGGGCAGTTGGACATGCAGATGCAACAAAGAAAAGATGGAGTTGGGCTAGTCCTCTGGAGGGGACAGGGTGGGGGCTCGATTTTGGTTCTAAAGATGGAAAGAAAAATTGGCTAAGAAATCACTCAGTACCCACTGAGAGCCCACTCTGAGCAAGACGTGGCACGAAGGATTGGAGTTCAAGCCAGAATGTATCTCCTGATTCTGCTGAAACAGGCCCTCTCCAGCCACCTTCACCCAGACCCAGCTGAGGACCACCCAGGAGGACAGGAATGGGGAGGGAAGGCAGCAGGGTCACTAAGGCAGAGTCAAATTTTCACCTGCTGCATGGTTCCCGTAGTGGCCAAGAGAAAGCTTCCCCTTCATCCTCTGAAACTTCACTGAAAAATCAACTCACAAAAGGCAGATCAATGGGAGAAATGGCATATAAATTTATTAACATGCATTGGGGGGGATCACAAAGGGATTATCTTATGTCTGCCTCACAAAGGGGTACGGATGGTTGTATACCCTTTTTCTTAGGAGAAAGGGAGATGGGGGAGTGTGGATGATTTTAGAGGGGCAGTAAATGATTTTTAGGGGAATTCAATGGGCTTGAAGAACATACAGTGACCTGGGACAAAGTCTGTTGGGCCCACAGAGCAGACCATGGTTTGTGTCAAGTCTGTCCAAGTCTGTTAGACTTCAGTCTTTCTTCCTGTGATATGAGTTCAGTTAATGAAGACTCCGGGAAGGGATTGGAAGTAACTCTTTTCTTCTTTGGTGGCTCTGGACATTAGGCAGATGATATGGTTTGGCTCTGTGTCCCCACCCAAATCTCATCTTGAATTGTACGCCCATAATTCTCAGGTGTTGTTGGAGGGACCTGATGGGAGATAGTTGAATCATGGGGGCAGTTTCCCCCATACTGTTCTCTTGGTAGTGAATAAGTCTCATGAGATCTGATGGGTTTATCAGGTGTTTCTGCTTTTGCATCTTCCTCATTTTTCTCTTGCTGCTGCCGTGTAAGAAGTGCCTTTCACCTCCTGCCATGATTCTGAGGCCTCCCCAGCCATGTGGAACTGTAAGTCCAATTAAACCTCTTTTTCTTTCCAGTCTCGGGTATGTCTTTATCAGCATCATGAAAATGGACTAATATAGCAGGCGAGGGAACTTCAGAGAGCAGCTTCCTCCTGTGCTTTGGGAGAGAGAGAGGATTGAGAGACAGGAGGGAGGCGAAGGCCAGAGAGACCTAGAGGCCGTTTCTTCAGTTCAGCATGTCAAGGTGCCAGATTTTGGGGTATTGGTTTCTGACCCCTAACAGTATCGATTCTAAATAATAATTAGAAGCTAGGAGGAGGTCCTCTGTCATTGTGCAATGGGATGTGTTGGCTGTACTCAGGTCTGGGATTCAGACTCCATGGATGGGTGACGATAAATATCTTATCTCCCCTAATTTCTCTACCACATTCAGAAACAACGGCTGTCACACTATTTAATTTGTTCTAAAGAAAAATCAAATATGTCTCTGAGCTCCCAGGCACCAGTGATAAGAAGTCAAGATTGGTTATGGGTTAGCCCCACCTCTCCCTGAGGATCTTGCAGAAATCCCAGGGAACCCAGGTGGAGCGTGATGTTCTGGGGCAGAGCCCCTGGTCGCCACCCCCTTAGGGTCAATACTGAAGAGATGATGGGAGGAAGGGCGTGCCCACTGCTTCTGGGCTGAGTAGGATCTTGGCAGAGGCTCCCAAACTTCCAAGTCTGGTGTCCATCTCCTGGCCACCTACACGTGAATGGTGGCATGTGCCATGGTAGGTTTAGCAGGTGATCCAAAATGTAGATCCCCATCCACATTGACAGATTGGAGTGGCCCTGCCCTCAGTGACCCAGGCTGATGGTTTCAGGTGTTGAGTAGAAGGAGCTATGCGTGACGGGGGTGCATCCTGAGCCCTTGGTGGAGCCTTCTGCAGCCTGGACTGCAACGGCAGAGGCTAAACCGGGGAAGGCTGGGCTAGGCGGCTGGTGAGCCATGCTTCTGAGCAAACCATGGCCCTGAACACTGCTCCTGTCTCCAAAGACCCTGGCTGCTTTTCTGTCTCGGCAGGGGTGGTGCCTAAGTAAGTGAATCCCTCAGGAGGGGCTGGTAGGGCAGGGCTGGGGCATGTACCCTCAAGGGACCCGCCTGGGGTCTTGGCCCTTCATCAGGCTGCCGTAGGGCAAGGGACCCTCAGAAACCAGGCAAAGCCTGGAGACCCTGCAAGGAAACTGGGTGGGGGTTGGAGCTGCTGAGCTCTGGGGCAGTCATGTAAATATCGTTGTTTATTTGCAATGGTTGTTGTTAAATGCCAGATAGGTCTGGTGCATCTCATTCTCAGTGGCATTGAGATACCAACGGTTCCTCACCACTCTGGGTAAGGCATGGAATGGTAACATGTTCTAATAGATAATGAAGATTGTGTCTCTGGAGGATTTCCTCCTAAATTATAGGCTGTCATCTGAATTATGTGGTACATTTGGTATTGGGTTTAGCAGGTGATCCACATTATGCATTAATGTAGCCATAGAGAAAAAAATAGATTCAAATAAGAAATATGGGGCTGGGCATGGTGGCTTATGCCTGTAATCCCAGCACTTTGGGAGGCCAAGGTGGGTGGATCACTTGAAGTCAGGAGTTCGAGACCAGCCTGTCCAACATGGTGAAACCCCATCTCTACTAAAAATACAAAAAATTAGCGAGGCGTGGTGGTGGGTGCCTGAAATCCCAGCTACTCAGGAGGCTGAGGCAGGAGAACCCAGGAGGCAGAGGTTGCAGTGCGCCGAGATTGCGCCACTGTACTCCAGCCTGGGCGACAGAGCGTGACTCTGTCTCAAAACAAACAAACAAACACAAATGACAACAACAAAAAAAAGAAATATGGAAGAAAGGCTTCCCAGCATGAAACTCGATTACTACCTGCTCATCGGTGGCTTCTTTCTATCAGGTTGTTAAGCAGGTGGCAATAATTTATTTTAAAAATAATTAAATCTTCTCTCAGAACATGTGCCGTATTTGTTATTGCTGTTGTCACCCCCATTATTGCAGCTGTTAATTACTTCAGAAAGCAGAGGTGTAAGTAACTATTTAGGTCATTTCTAATCTCTCTCTGGAGGACAATTGCTTCTTCTAGCATGTTCTCCCAGGCTTTGGTAGGCCTGGTTTTAAAAGTATCCTGAAATGAAGTCCTGGCCCTTCCCCGGGGAAAGCCTGTTCCATGGTTACATCTGATCACGAGGATGAGCTTCCTCTTGTTACTCTTTCTCAACTTTCTTTTCTAAATGTCATCCTAGCTATCATTAATCACAGTGAATAAAAGTTATAATTAATAGAGGCCCAAATCGTTCAAGTGGAAGATTACTCTTTTGAATTACTGTGTTTTTCTTGGAAGATGTCCTCGAGTTAATTATTTAGTATTTAGGGTTTTGTTTTTTTTTTTTTAACCACAGTTTCGCTTTTAAGAAGAACAAATTGATCACAGTAACTTGGGGGTGAGGGGATTATGTATAATGTATGCAGGAGACCCGTGTTAAAAATAAACAATAAACACAAGGCTGGGGGCTTTGCTGCTCCCCCTGCTGGCTTTTTAGAAAGGAAAAAGATAAGCAGCCTAGACTCAGAGCTGTGTAGATCCTAAGGAAGCTGCAGGAAGCTGGTGAAACATGCAACCAAGAGATTCCCGCTGTCGGATTCCATTAGATGTTGAGCTGGGCTCTGGGTGAAGGATCACAGTGGGTGAGCAGAAGAGCTCGCTTCCAAGCATACAGGAGGGTGTGGTGGCTGCAGGGCCCCTGAGGCCTGCCACTCAGCACACTAAGAAATTGTATCTTTTAGATGGAGCCATCTTGTGTCCCCAGGATTAAAAACCTTCATCCACACTGGGAACAAGGAACATTTCAAGTTCTAACCCAAAATACAGAGGCAACTGTTCAAAAGTCAGCGGTGAAAGAGTGCAAACTAAAAACCATACGCTGTGAGTCTCTGGTTCTGTGGTTGAGGGGAGAGGCAGAGGGTACAGAAGTGTCCTGAGCCCCTCCCTGTCCCTGACCTGCTGGCTTGGCAACTCAAGACAGCATCCCTCCTGGGGCTAGTGTTAGGATTATGTTCCCAGTTACAATTCATATTTATATCCTACGTTCCCTTGTTGGCTCATTGGTGCCACTTGTTTTTAAAAAGGACATCTCTGTGTATTCTCAAGCTCAGCAACTTCTGGGCTACAAAGCCCCAGGGAGGAGTCCTGTTATGCTGCTGGGCTCTGTGTTGTTTGCGGGATCTTGCTGGCATTGGGTTACAACGTCTGGACCTCATTCTCGCTGACCTCAATTCGCGCTGCTGGCCTTGGGAAAGCCCTGAATCAAAGGTTTGTCAATTGCAATGGAAATCTGTGATAGAAACAGAGCGGCTCGGGCATCTCCACTGAAGTCCTGTACTATGCAGGGGTGGGGACAGAACGGCAGCACTTAACTCCAGGTCTAAGGGGCTAAAATTCATTCGTTCATTCACTCATTCACCCACTCACTTAAAAGGCATTAATATAATTACAAATTAGTTCCTGTAATGCAATATACTGCAAAGTGAGTCCCTGTGCCTTTTCATCTTTCCACGTTGTGAAAAATTGTTGGCCATAAATGGCCTCGATGATTCCTCCCTATATACACTTTTTAAAAATGTGGCTTTGCAGTTTTCTCCGTGGAAGAGAAGAAATCTGTTTCTCCTGCCTTTGAATCCAGGCTGGTCTTGTTACCTTTTTGGATCCAGCAGGCATGGCAGGAAGGATGGTTTGGAGCCAGGGCCTCAGGAGGCCTGGCCCACTTCTGCTCCACTCTTTCGGAATCCTGCCACCTTGAGAGCAGGCCCAGCACAGTGCTATTCTCAGCTGGAAGAATAGAGAATGGAGGACAGTCCAACTGTCCCAGCTTGAGGACATCATAGATCCTCTTACAGCCTGCCGGCCCCCGACCTGTGTGAGACCAGCCCAGGTAAGAAACGCTGCTGACTGCAACCTTCAGCTGACTGCAGACACACGTAGGCTTGTGAACAATAATCAGTGTTTACTGTTTCAAATCACTGTTTCAGGATGGTTTGTTACACAGCAATAGCTAAGATACACACACACAGAGAAGGAGCATGCATCAGTGGAATTTCCACTTTGGTGGGAACATAGAACCAAGTGCTAAATTTCCCATCAAGCATGCCAAGTGCATTCTTAGCAATGGGCACACAGAATCCGTCCACTGACCCTGGAGGAGTCTGTTGTTACTAGGGATTCCAAGATTCCTTGTCCATCTGCAGGGCCATGGAAGCTAAAGGAGACTGTGGCATCATCGCTGGAAAGCCAACTTACTTCGGATAGCTAAAATGGGCTGGTTCCAACTGCAGCCAGGCTTTTAGAAACTGGGGAGGGGGAGAGTTGCCATGACAACCAGCATACCCTCACTGTGCTACCTAACGCTCACAGTGGTGGGGCTCAATGACTGTTGTCCACAGCAGGCCCAGGGTGAGGGTGAGGCACGGCAGAGGGCTGGGCATATCAGGCAAGACAGGCCTGGTTTTGCCTACAGTGATGCCCCATACTGACTGGCTAGGTGAATACCCACCATTATTAAGGTAATGCAAAGACTCTAAGAAGAGGATAACTCATTTTCAGGTGTGCAAAGTAAGGAGAGCCCACTTGTGGCGGTGGTGAAGAGAGCCGGCCGTGTGGAGGAGGGAGCGCTGGTCTGGCTTTGAGGATGCAGGAGGTCCCATTGCTGGTCCCTCACTCCCTCATCTTCACCACCTCCTGGAGAGGCCTGTGGGCTGTGCAGCCTCTGATGAGCATGTGAGAGAGACTGTTGTTGCTGGTCTCATTATCTGTCCTTTTAGGCAAAGGAATTCCTATATGTTTCAGAACAGAGAGCTCACTGTGTGCCTGTAAATGCCAAGAAACCAAGACACCATCCGTTAGGGAGCCTGCTCTGTGTGCTGAAGCAGGAGGTGGGGCACGTGGGCCATCTCCAAAGGCTCATAGTGCTGGTATGGGACACCCCAAAGCTAGGCTTGGACTCCAGTCTGTAGAGGCAGGGTTTCCTCTCAGTGGTGCTTGGCCTCCTGCGTCAGGTTCCCCTGGGGGACTTGTTAGACATGTAGACTCCTGAGTCTGCAAACCTACCACCTCAGAACCAGGGGGACTGGGTCTGGGAATCTACGGGTTTAGTAATCTGCCCTGGATGCTTCTAGCACACTAACTTGGAGAACCACCACCCTGAAGGAAATTACCCCAGCCCAGCAGGACCAGCAAGAGGCCTCCTGTGCAGGCTCCAAGGCCCTGTGGGCAAGTACAGTGCTCCCTCAGGCCTTACAACCACCCTGTTCTGCACACGTTTCCTCTTCTCTCCTAGTGGCTTCCAAACATACCTGCATACCAGAATTGCCCGGAAATATTTTTCTTAAATGTGTATTTTAAGGCCCCCTCCCAGGTTAACTAAATCAAAATCTCAGGACAGGTGCCAGAAATCAACAAGTAATTTTAGAAAAAAATATAAAAAACACTCTCTAGTAGTCTTTGATGCCCAATCAGATGAGGGGACCACTGGGCTCTGCCAATCAGGGTCATACGCAGAGGACACCAATAGGTGATTCATTCTTAACTCAGTGCTCAAGGATCCAAATCCACCACCAGCCTTGGAGTGTGTTTACCCAGGATATGTGTTTTTTCCTTTTATTTTGGGGGCGATCTGAGTCAACCAATTTTTGAGTCTTCGAAACCCAGAGGGAGAACAATGAATGTGAACTTGTAGGAGGCAAACTAAAACAACATGCCATCTGCAAAAAAATCAGCATAAATTCCCCAAATGGCATCGTGCTGCCAAGACAACTCTCCAAGGCTCCGCTGTCTGCCTCAGTAGAGTACAAGCCCTGGAGAGGTTCAGTTATCCTCCACACATGTGCTCCTAGGGAGCCAGGCAAGAGAAGAGACTGGAATGTTTAACAATAAAGTTCCCAGGGTTTAGAATACAGTGAGGGGCAGGTAAGCCAGAACTCGCTCGCAGTTCTGTTACAGCTTTGATTGCTGATAATTGGTCAATGGTTTGGTTGTGATACTTGCATTATTAACCTAGTTGAAAAAAAAACTGATAGATGGTGCCTTTCTTAGGGACACATATCACAATTGAGTATCCATTCATTCATTTGACAAATATTTATCTACCATGTGTGAAACACTGGACAAACCACACAGCATCTGCTTTTAAGTTGCTTAAGGAAAGGGAGGGGTGACATCAGCGAGGGGCCACCAGTTAAGGAGTTAAGGGAATATTGTTCAGCTCAGGAAACATAAGGTCAATTTTAGGGAGCAGATTAGATTTGAGAAATTGGTTGTGTAGTTTAAGGTGAGAGCAAGTACATTTGGTGGAGGAGGAAAGACGGCACAAACCACACACAGCCGCAGCAGGTGTGGGATAGGTTTGGAGAGCAGTGCTGCATTCTGTTATTTTAGCACAGAAGATTGGAGAGCTCTCAGGGTGAAAAAGGGAGAATGGGGGATTGAGGGATGGCAGGCCGAGAGGTGGGGTGGCCTGTAGGCAGCATGGGTGTCCCGTGCTCCTGGACATGGCCAGTGATCCCGGCCATCTTTTCCACTCACTCCGCAGAGAGCCTTGGGGTCCTTTTCCACACTGCGCACTCCACAGCCACCAATAATGCTTTGGAGTTAGCTCGTGAGGAAAACTGCTCCAAACCCTTTCTCCACATGAAGGCTAAAGAATTAGCATTTTATTCTGGAGACAATGACGGGAGAAAACAGTCTTCTTTTTCCCACTTGAAGAGGTGATATAATCAAACAAGATCTTCTGGATGGTTAATCTGCCAACAGAATCTGGAAAGAACTGGGATGGAGCAGGGCATAGGTGAGCCTGGGAGGCCAGTGACGAGAGGATTGCAGCTGTTTAGCGGGAAAAGAGGAAGCACTCGCTTAGGGAGGCAGCAGTGACGGAGCAGGAAGGAGAGGACAGAAGCAAGGGCCCCTTGGAGGGGAGAACTGGAGGGGCTGGGAAGCTCCTGGAATATTGGTGGCTGGGAGGTGGGAGAGATCAGACGGCTTGAATTTCATAGCTGAGATATGATGGTGCTCCAGCAGAGGAAGGGGCCTCAGGAGAAGCAGGCTTTAGAGGGGTACTGGATGAATTTAGTTCTGGAATACTGAGCTGGAGAAGCCAGCACTATGCTGGGGGATGGTCAGGAGAAGTTGGGAAGAGTGGGACCAAGATCAGCAAAGAAGAAGAGCTAGAAATATCCCTCTGGGAGTCATGGACCTACAGGTGATGGTAGGAAGCATCTGATTAGACAAATCATCCAGGGAAGGTCTGTAGAGGAAGCAGAGGAGGAGAGCACAGGAAGGAAGACAGAAGACAAGGGCAGCCTGTATGTTGAACCTGTCACAGGACAAATGGTTTTTGTCTTTATCCTCCTAAGTCTAGTTGTTCCCTGCCTGTTTGAAAATATCTACTTTCACGCATTAAAAGACTCTGGTGAATGTAGGACCCTCTCCCCAACCCAATTAACCAAGTTCAGGGAAAGACCTAAAACCCAGGTACCAGTTAACAAACATCCATGGTTTATCTCTGTGGACACTGGCTTTTTGTTGGTATGCGGACGCAGACATGTAAACATGGCCTATGCAGATGTGCTCAAGAAACCCCCTCCTGCATGCTGGAGCCCCACGTGTTGTTTTCCTTAAAATGCCCCTTAACTGCCCCTGCAGCCTAGATGACAGAGCAAGGGAGGGAAAGCTCTGTTATCAGTGATCTGTTTTTTGTATTCCTGATCTGTTGCCATTTATAAGTGATTGAAGTTCTCTAGGGCCAGCCCAGTCCCTGCCAGGCAACCAGGTGGTGTTATGGTGTCAGAGGAAAGTTTCTGGTACAGAACCTTGGTGCAAAGGGCTTATCTACTGCTTGCTAGAGCATCTTCCATGTCTTGAAGACTGAAATGGGCCACACAGCCAGGCTTGATCCTGAAACATGAGGGCTCCCACAGCCACAGATGCAGAGTGCTTTGGGCCTCAGGGACCAATCATTCCCACCCAGTGTTTAACCCGGTTAGCATCCTATGCATCCCCAAGCAGGCTGCTGAAACAGATAGCAGGAGCAACTTTCTGCAGAGATGTGTGCTGAAAGCAACATCCTAATAAACACTATAACACTATACACATTCACGAACAAAGGTGGACTCCTATACTAATTGCCCGAATTTCCTTTAAAACTCACCTTGGCCATCTTTGCAGAATTTTTCAGCATCCAGATTCCTCACTGGCCACATTCCCAGCAACAATTCTGGTCCCTCTGGCTCCAGAAGGAAGTGGTCATCTGCCACTTCCTCCCCACTGTCCGTCCTCTAAGTCTCAGTCCTCTGGCTCCTCCTCCTTGCTCTGCTCTTTGCAGGATCTGCCTTGGCCTTTCTCACATTCATCGCCTCCTTGGCTGCCGGCTCCCTCTGGCCAGGCAGGGCTTCTCCTCTGCCTGCAGTGGCTTTGGGGTGGCTGCTGCATGGCTGGGGCCCCCTGCTTCTTGGCAGGTGACATTCCTGCCCTCTTGGGGAGGTCATGATGGCTTTCTTACCAGAGATGTCAACCACGCTTACTTTAGCTGGTGAAGGCACTGCCTTCATCCTTGAATTAGGCACAGGCTTTGACCTTCTGAGGGACTACAACATCTTCACTCCTTCCCAGCATTGACCTAGGAAGGTAATAATGACAAAGATTTTCATAGCCATAGTATAGTAAGAACCAACATAGATTGTACTCACCATGTGCCAGGCCCTATTCTAATATCCTCACAGGGTGGACTCTTTAAATCCTTACAATAACCCTACAAGTTTTAATAGGCATTATTATTATCATCCCCATTTTATAGATGGGGAAACTGAAGCATGGAGAGATTAAATAACTTTCTCAAGGTCCATGTAAAGCCCTGAATACCAAGACTGAAATGTGTGAAGCTCTAGACAGATGTGGCTGCTGTTATTTCTATTATTAGTTCATGTCTGCCTCTGCTTGGCTGTGATCTTGGGAAACATGCCTTGTCTTTCTCAACCTCAGTTTCCTCCTCTGTAAAGTACAGATCATCTATTCTAATTGTACCCTCCATGCTCTTAGCTCATCTTGTTCCTGCTTTTCTGCAGAAGGAATCCTGTTTTCTTAGAAATTCTCTTTCTCTGTTTTTTTTTCCTGAGTTTTGCAAATAAATAATTGCTTGACTGTTTTGGAAGCTTCCAGAAAGTAACAGGAAATAATGCTCTGGGGCCTTTTGTCAGCTCCCCTTTCTCTGAGAGGGCTGTGGAGTCACAGCTGCCCCAGCTCTCTCTAGGAGCCTTCATTAAACCAGCGTTTTGATGCTAAATCAATGTTTTCCAACCAAAATTCCCTCTGGGAGAGGAGAGGAAGAGATGGGAGAGCCTGGGTCAGTCCTCAATCACACTTCTTCTCCCATTACATCTTGGATCTCCAACGCATTGGTTCCCCGCACCCTGGGATTTGCCAGAACAGAGGTTAGCATCAAGGACTCCCCCTTGACCATCAGAGGATTTCCTTTTCTTGGAATAACCACAGTGACAGAGGGTGCATTGGTTTGCTTTCCTGATCTGTTGCCATTTATAAGCAATTGAAGTTCTAAGCTTCCAGTCCCCCATTGAGACAGGCAAGCCCATGGGCTGGTCATGTGGGTTTAATACCACTGTGCTAGCAGGATGTCCTTTGATCCTGTCCTGTAAAGTCTAGGCAAATGACATCCTGGGGGCTCCGGAGGTCCCAGGCCAGGGTGCTGAAGGACAGAGTGTTGAAAAGAGAGGGCTGTCTTTGAGTACTGCAAAGCGCAATGCAGTGTCCTTGCCAAAGCAACGTGGTGGAAGCCTGCCTGGTATTAATAGCAACAGCAAACATTTATGGAGTGTTTACAATGTGCCAGCTGCCATGCTAAGCACCATTTAATCCTCACAATGACCCTCATAAATAGGTATTATTATTATACCCCCACCAAGCTTTGTAGATGGGGACCCTGAGACTGAGAGAGGCTGAGCTACTTGCTGGATCACACAGCTATCGCCAGACTCCCAGCACCAAAGCTCACACCCTTACCCCCTGCAGTCTGCTGCCTCCCTCCCCAGTCCTTGGTGCTAAGGGCCTCCCAGTGCAGATAAGGCTTGCAGAAGACAGCGGCTGAAGGGCTGCCTTGGCCCTGTTCTCGAGTTTGCTCCTCAGGGCTGGGTCTTGGTGCTGGGAATTCAGAAGCTCTGTTACCAGAGTATCTATGGGGGATTGATCCCAGGGAAAGAATGCCTATTGATCTCACAAGAGGATTCAAGACCTCCACAAGCAGATGTTAGTATACAGGGGGACCCGTTCCAGCCACCTGCATGGTAATCCTCCTGGCAGGTGGTCTGCCCAGGAGACCACACAACATGGCAGATAGGGAAGTTGCTCAAAGGACATTTCCACTGGCAAACAACTCTTCTCTAGAGATCTCTCTGCCTGGTTTATGGATACCAGTCTTTGGAATTCAGAGTACTTTCTGTTTTGATGTTTGCTGGAGATGGTCCAGTGCATTCTTACTCACCAAGTTTTATTTTCCAGTATTCTTCCTTAGGCCTTAAACCTTCTGTTGTTACAACACTGCTTTGTGAAAACCATGGTGGAATTTCTGAGATTAGTTTTATTTCACACCAATACATTACAAATTCTGCCTTCCAAAGAAGAAACAGAAAGGGAATTGGATTAGGAGGCAGGAAAACCCAATGCCAGGCTCAGTTCAGCCCCAGTGAGCCTTATGGTTTTGGGCAAGTCAGCCCAATGAATGGGTTGGACTAGGGGTTGGTCCAGCCATTTCCCTTCCTGCCCAGATGCCCTGGCCTCGAAGAAGCTCAGCATGGACTCCCGTCTGGGGCTGAGATGAAGTGAGGCACGTGGCTGGGGAATGAGGGTAGCAGGGCTAATGGTGGGGGTGGGGCAATTGAACAGTTCCTGACAACCAATGAGTACACGTCCAGGCTTCTTCTGAGTGAAGAGCTTTTCATGGCTGAGGGCCCACCACTGAGTCCCGTTTGGAAGAAACCCACGGGGCCGATGGCGGAGGGTCCCGCTCTGAAGCACGCGGGAAATAAGGAGGAAGAGCCAAGATGAACAGCGTGGATGCTTTTCTGGTCACCTTCATTTCACTTCTAAGCCTCAAAGTTGGTCAAGGCAATTTATTTTTAACTTCCTTGTCATGGCAGGTGGATTATAAACTACCTTCTAGAAAAGTGATTGCCAACCTAAAAATCTGAGGTTTCAGGTCCCATCAGATATTCGAACTCTTTTCAGTATTTCAGAAAATCTCTTGGAAATTGTACATTTACACAGATAATGTATTTACTAACAAAAATGCCAAGTTTCTCTGCTCTTTGGTTAAAATGATACTATTAATTTGGTGTGATAACTCACACCTATAATCCCAGCACTTTGAGAGGCTGAGGTGGGTGGGTCACTTGAGCCCAGGAATTCGAGACCAGCCTAGGCAACACAGTGGGACCCCATCTCTACAAAAATAAACTTTTAAAGAAAGGATTATCCTATTAGTTCAGTGCGGTGACACTGGTGATCTCATGCTAATCTGAAGAGCTGATTGGCAGCCATTTATATTTTGAATAAGTAATAAGTAGGGAAAAGGTAATGACATACACTTATTTTTCTATCATTTACACTCTGTCCTACAAAGTAGATTGGAGTGCCTGGATTACTGCTTGAATTTTTAATTGTAGAACATTTTTCTTAACATTGGGGCCTTGGAGGAAAAACCTAAGGAAAGGAGTATGAGGAAATGAGGGGTTGGAGGGCTCTTTTGTGGTTCATTATCTCTCATCTAAAAGGTAAGTGGGGTCAGCAGAAGACATCTAGAGGCCATTTCATAAGGGGGAGATGTAGGCTTAGCTTCACAGATACCCTGCCAACTTGGGGGCACAGATAACTTCTCTCTACCCTCTAATAAAGCCACTACATGCTTTGTGTTTATCTGGGTTCTTTAACGGTGTCATTATATAAATTTGCAAGAACTGACTCAACTCCCAACCCCTCTCTGAAACTATACCCCATAGACCAGTCATCACTTGATTTTCTGAACGGCTGTGGCCATTTTTTCTCTACCATGTTTAGCAGGTAATTAGGCATTGCCTGGGTGTCCTCGCTAAATGTCCCTAGGTTGTACATCTCTCCTGAGACCTCATCATCGGGGTCTCTCAAATCTTTAGTAGCAGAAGATCTGAAACAGTGCCATAAATACCTTAGCATGATATAACCTTTACTATTTCAAAAATGCTGTAGTGGTCATCGCCACGCACAATCCCTACATCCATCAGGTGAGTTAAAAAGGAGGATGTTAATATCCTCATTCTACAAATGAAGAAATGGAGGCTCAGTGTGGTTAAGGGATCTATAGGCAAGTGGTGGGGCTGGAATATCAACCACTGATGTCTCATTTTCTTTCCACTGTGCTGCCTTTCTAGGTATTCAATTCCAGGTGCAGTGGCTTTTAAACTTTATCACCTTACTTTGGTAGGACTGCAACAAATATATTTCTCAGAGGATTCTAGTGGGTTCTGGTTGTTTCCATTGAATGGTATGGGGCCAGCCCAGGTAGCATTGAAAGTCATGCTGTGGATTTCTTTGTTTAGCAGACTTTATTTTTCCACCTGATACCTGGTCCAGCCAAGGACTGGAGAGCCTCTGACCCTACATTTCTGTTCTGCCAAGGGGACTGAAAACATAAAAGTCATGCTGGATGAATAGGGCTGCCCAGTAGGCAATGAGAAGCGAGGGCTTTTGAACAGGCAGCAATCTCCTTTTGCCTCACAGACCCCGGCTGCTTGTTGTTTGGCTGCTTTGTTTGTCTCTGTGTCACTTTCTCATCTTTTTGTAACCCTGCTGCATCCCTGAGCTCTGATGCTGGTTTCACCAAGGCAGCAGCTTCTACCCAAAGCCTCACTTCCCTTCTCAGTAGAGTCATGGGGCTGACCTGGAAGGAGGGGATTGATGCATCCTTCAAAGGCTACAAGTTCAGGCCCTGCCACTCCTGGGGCAGAAGCCCATTTCACCAGCCAAGAGGAGGATTTTAGCTACACCTGTAGGTTGACTGCCAAGTCTCAATCCCAGGACCCCTGACACACCAACACCCACCTGGGAGGCTGAGCAAAGAATCGCTTCTTTCTGAGGCAGCCAAGTGAATAGATGGTGGGAAGCATCTGCCTGAGAAATGCATTTCTCACAGTAAATAACATTTACATGATTGTGCCTGCAAATGTCACTGTGGCATTTGCTCAGTTGAATATGGTGCCTCTGCTCTCCTGACCTTCCCCTGGCTCCAGGCCCACGATGCTCCTGGGGTCCAGGAACCCCACCTTAGGGAGGGATGCTCCCCTCAGCTCTGTCCTCTGAGGGAGAGACATTTCCTTCTTGACTTGGCAGATGTGTCTCTAGTACACATAGCATCTGGGTTTTGAGTTAATTTTGATTCAAGCGGTCCATGTGGAGACCATGACAGTGAGGATTTTCTTGATGACCCCTTACATTTTCTATTTTCTGCCTCTCATAAGCTGCAACCCTCATGCTGATAGGTCTTTTCCATCTATTTTTTCACTGTATTGCTATGGCACTGTGCCATGTGTGCAAGCTTCCCCGCTTTGTCTTGTAAATGTGCATTGTCTCCTTCCAAAGATGGTCAGCTCCCAGAAGAGAGACCATACCTGTTATTACACTGAGTCATCCGTACACATAAATATGCTGTGCTTTTATGTTTATAAGATCTTATGAGCATAAAGAAATATATTGAAGGGTACGTATTAAGGTGTTAACATAGATTATCTGGGTGAGGGGTGGCTAATATAGATGGAAGAAGGAGGAGAGTAGGAAAGGGTGGTTAAGCACAAAACTACTACACTTACCCGCCGACCTCATGGAAAAAATGTATCCCTGGCACATCAGTGTGACTTTGAGGGCAAAAAAAAGCGAAAGCCAAGATGATGAATTTTTTGATCACATTTATGTGAAAATATACATATGTATATGTGTAAAGAGAGTCACAGAGTAGAATGAAGGAAGACCAAAAGAATACTGTGCACATAATAGACATTCAGTAAATATTTGGTGAATGAATGGATGCTGTGTGTGATAATTTTGTAGATTTGAAATTTCAAGCAGATAATTACTGGCTAATATTTATATTACATCCGCAATGCTCGCAGTGTGTTCTCGTAATCAGAATCACTAACGTTCTCTGGTTCATGGGTAGGGCTATCTGTCTGAGAGAGTCCCAGTTTACTCGATGGTTACCCTGTTCACCCACCAGAACTAGCTGGGGTGGTTGCTAAAGATGGAAATGACAGGGCCTCAACCCTGCTATACTGTCTCAGCATCATGGTGGGGGAGGGAGTGGGACTTGGGAATCTGCATTTTAACAAGCATCCCAGGTGATTTTTACGCTTTTTAAAGCTTTGGCGCCATTGCTCTAGGCATTGTTAGTTGCCAAAGTGATATATTGCTTTTATAATTAACTTTATTCAGACAAGGCAAAACAAAGATTATTATTTACTATATTTAAAAAATCATGCCTCATTGTCTGACCTCCCTTTGTTTTATAACTGATATTTAAAAGACCTAATTCATGTGAGCTTTCTAGTGTGTAGACAGAACTTCAGAAGAATCCATCTAACTTGGCAGGAATCAAATACCTGAACCGAAATTAACTATCTTCTCCTGTGCCAGCTTTGTGCAGTGATCTGCCCAAGTGAAAGAATCATGGGCCTTTTGTCACCCTAAAACAAATTTCCAGAAAGAAAATGAATATATAAAACATAAAAAACCCGTGGTGAATAATATAGCCATTATACACCCAGCTTATGTTTTCTTCAAATATATTTTTTCATAAAACATTATAGGAAAAATTGTGTAGTCCCCCAACACATCCTCTTTCCCCCTTTCCCAAAGGCAACCACTTTACTGAATTTAGTGATTTTATTACCATAACATAGTATTTGTAAATTTTTACTATGTATTATATTCATACACACAATTTGGTATAACACATCTTAAACTTTATCTAAATAATATCATATGATATGCATTTCTCTGCAAATAGGTTTGTTTTGCCCAGTGATGTACCATGTTGACATATGTAACTCCAGCTCATTTTAACTGTTATTAGTATGGCCTAGAGTGATATAGCGTTGTGTAGCATAGAATGATATTAGTGTAGTGTGCTGTTGTAGGAATCTGGCACCAATTTTTTTTTCCCAAGACAGAGTATTGCTCTGTTGTCCAGCCTGGAGTGCAGTGGTGCAATCTTGGCTCACTGCAACCTCCATCTACCAGGTTCAAGCAATTCTCCCACCTCAGCCTCCCACGTAGCTAGGATTACAGGCACATGCCACCATGCCTGGCTAATTTTTGTATTTTTAGTAAAAACGAGGTTCACCATGTTGGCCAAGCCGTCTCGAACTCCTGACCTCAAGTGATTCTCTTGCCTCGGCCTCCCACAGTGCTGGGATTACAGGCGTGAGCCACCACACCCAGCCCACCATTTTTAATCTATTCTTCTTTATTAACATTTGTTTTCATTTTTATAAAACTATTATGAACACTGCTGAAATGAGCCCTTTCGGTGAATTTCTTCTGGTGTATGAGAATTTTATGCACCTAGCAATAGACTTGCCTACATGTATGTCCAGCTTTAACAAATATTACCAAATTGTTCTCTAAAGAAATTGCATCAATTCATATAACCATTTCTTGAATATTCCACCAAGTTTTCTGTGGCCTCAAATTTAAGAGCAGAAAACAGACATACAAGCCAAAGAAAGAAAATAGCTTTGAAAACTCATTTAATTATTGGTAGAAAGTACCAGACTGTTCTTTTTCCAATCTGGAAGTGTTTCTTCCACATGACCACCTGCCTTCAAATACAATCAGTGCATATTGGTTAAGCCCTGCCAACTAGGCATTTGCAAGTGGAGGTCTCAAAATACACAGGCTAAAAGACTCATCCTCTGAAGTTTAAAAACTAACTGGAAAGCTAAGACATAAACTATAGATAAAAGTTAATTATTAAATAACAATTTAACAGTAAGAGAGAAGAGATATCCTTGGGCAGTACTGATTCATCACTGAATGAGTAGAGCCTGCATTAATTCTATAGGAGTTCACAAGATGGGGAAGTCAGAGCTTATGTGATTCTGATTTGCCACAGAATGGTTTCCTAGCAACCATTACTAGCTGAGAATCAGCTCACTCTGCTGTTTTGAACCAGACCTTGCTCTGTTAGAAAAATGAGTCAAATAAATGCCAGCTTAAGGTAGAATTTCACCACGTAAAACTATATTTGAAATATATGACTTTTGAACAAAGATCTAAAGTAATTTCCTTCGCCAGAACTTAACAAAGGTGGATGTGTGGAAATGGAAGTGGCACCAGATTTAGGGACTTGGACACCTAATTTTTCTCAGGAATGGGGGTGGACAGTGGTGAGTGAAGAGGCAAAAGACAGACTCAAGGAAAGTGTGGGCGGGGAGACAACAGAACCCACATGGGAATTATGGAATTGAATAATTCCCTAGCCACACCTGGCCCAGGAAATTTTGAAGTTCTTACAGGTACAGGGTTGGGAAATTCATCATTTGCACATAATTCCTGGAGACTTGCTTCATATCACCAGCTTCTACTTTGTCCCCAGAGACATTTCTACTTCTACTTTGTCTCCAAGAGACTGTGCATCACGTGTTTCCTGACATAGAAAACACGGCCTTCACCTGATGGTTTCTTTCTAGATCTCTCACCAAGTCTTACCACCTCTGAGGATGACTGAGCGGAAGAGGAAAGACCTTGAGGCTATTGTGGGAAGCAGGCCCAGGGCAGTGCTTGTTTTGAGCTTATCAGTACCTTACCATGCATTTGTTTTCGTTTTTTAACTATTATGAACACTGCTGAAATGAACTCTTTGGGTGAATTTCTCCTGGTGTATGAGAATTTTGTAGACCTTGCCATGGACTTGTGTATGTGCATCTCCAGCACCCAGTAGAACCACACAGAGGAGGCACAATTCATCACTGATGGAAAGAGTTTCCAAAGCAAACTCTTCCAGCTCACACATGACAGAAAGGCATTTCTTGGCCCTTCCGATAGAAATGTAGATTCCCAGAGTTCAGAGTTGAAAGACACTTTACAGTTCAAATACGTAGAATCTAAAGCAACAGACAATTCTGCCTTGTGGTTTAGTTATTACATATCTGTGCCCAACATCTCCTGGAGAGGAAACTGCCTCCTACCTTTCCCCTTTGTACAAAAACAACAATCAGATACTCTCAGAGACATCGAAAAGGCATAGTTTAAAAAAAAAAACCTAGTCAATAATATTGAGAATGAGATGTAAGTTAAGAGATCCTAAAAAAATTTTTTATTATTCTTAAAATCTCGTAAGGTTTTAAGTTTAGTTGAATTAAGATTAATTAGAGTTCTATTAATAATTGGTCACTTGAGCACAATTTTCCAGTACTGTAATTTCTATTACATATTGAATTTCATGGAAAGCCTTTAGATATCAATGTTGTGCCAATACGAGAAATTTACTGATAATTTTTTTTTTTCTTTTTTTTGAGATGGAGTCTCACTGTGTCACCCAGGTGCAATGGCACGGTCTCAGCTCACTGCAACCTCTGCCTCCTGGGTACAAGTGATTCTCCAGGCTCAGCCTCCCGAGTAGGTGGGGCTATAGGTGCATACCACCATGCCTGGCTAATTTTTGTGTTTTTAGTAGAGACAGGGTTTCACTATGTTGGCCAGGCTGGTCTTGAATTCCTGACCTTGTGATCCACCCACTTTGGCCTCCCAAAGTGCTGGGATTACAGGCTTGACAAATGTTTTGTTTCAAATGGTAGACTAAGCCATCCAAGTGCATTTTAGGTGTTCCTTGACATTTTTTTTTTTTTTTGATATATCAATTTTTATGAAAAGTGATTAATTTATTTGAATGTAGTCGTAAGAGTCCAGGTCCCACCAAAGTTGGTGGGTCTCCTGGTTTCTGTCACCTGAATTCAGCCTCTGTTCTGGTGGATACAGTGGTATGTGGGGTCTGGCTCATACAAGCCTGCAAAGGTTTGTTCAATATTCAGGCATTTTGTGAACCAGAATCAGTATTCAAAATTAAATGATATAAACTCACACTTCGGCCGGGCGCGGTGGCTCACGCCTGTAATCCCAGCACTTTGGGAGGCCGAGGCGGGTGGATCATGAGGTCAGGAGATCGAGACCATCCTGGCTAACAAGGTGAAACCCCGTCTCTACTAAAAATACAAAAAATTAGCCGGGCGTGGTGGCGGGTGCCTGTAGTCCCAGCTACTCGGGAGGCTGAGGCAGGAGAATGGCGTGAACCCGGGAAGCGGAGCTTGCAGTGAGCCGAGATTGCGCCACTGCAGTCCGCAGTCCGGCCTGGGCGACAGAGCGAGACTCCGTCTCAAAAACAAACAAACAAACAAAAAAAACCTCACACTTCAATAAATTACATTTAAAACAAGGCTAATAGGTACTCAAAACTCATGACTTCCTAATGATTTGGCTGTATTTTACTATTGTCTATGCTCTTGGGTTTTCTTTGTTATGCCTGGTGAATCTGTCTGGAAATACTACTATCTGTGTTCATCTCTTCCAACACTGTGTTCAGTAACATTATGTTGATACCATGAAACCAGCTGTGGCGGGAACATTTACACTACTAAAAGTGGCAAACACTACAAATCAGGGCTTTTATGGTAGAGCTAGTTGTTAGACATTTACCAACACGCTCTTGGGGCTCATGTCACCTCTGAGGTGACACTGAATTGTGAATCCTGGCCAACATTCCTTCCACCATCTGGCTCATGTGTTCCCAGTTCTAAGCAAAATACAGTCAGAAAGAAGGTACTCTATAGTCGCTTCTTAAATTAAAAAAATGGAACACCAAAAACCTCATAAAATCCATTTCATAAGTGACTGTTAAGTATCATACTTTGTTTTGTGGGATTATGCTGAGGTTTCCACCTGAAACCTTTATTCCCGTGGCTAATGGAGACATCTCTATAAGGCTGATTTAATCCTTTCCAATACTTCTTATTTATTTTTCATAGTGGGCCCAGCCTAATAACTGTTCTGCCTGTTAGGGAGCTGCCTTCTGCAGCAGTTTTGATGCAACACCTTTCACCGACCCCTGGAGGACCAGACAGCCAGAAGTACCTTTGGTTCACACTGATTATTAGCAGCTTAGCATCTTGAGTGCTAAGCATACTCCCCTCCTGCTGGTTAAATCCCTTGTTTTTTTCCTCTTGGTTGCACTAAGATAATCGCTAAGTATTCATCACACAAGGGCAGTGTGCTAGGTTCTGCTTTGTCAGGAAAACAGGAAGTGTTTTTTTCACTAATGCTCAGAGCCAATCCAGCATGATAGGGATTTAATGAGAGACTGGAAAGAGCCCAGCAGACAGCCAGGTATATGATGAGAGACCTGTCCCCAGTCCACTGGAAGGCCAAAGCAGCTGATACTAAGGCCCCTATGACAACTGGTATTCTTGGTACATTTTTGAAGTTGCTGATATATTCTTTAAAAAAAGAAAAACAGAGATGAAAAAATGTACTGTCACTAAGAGTTTGGGGTTAAGTTTCTTGAGGCAGAATAGATATGGATCCAGCCATCCATTCCTAGATAACTAATCAAGCAGTACGAAAACCTAGGAAAAAGTCTGCTTAGGCTCTTTGAGATTCTCTTGCCTATGGACGGGGCTCTGGGGATAGCGGGTGCAGAAAGTGAAGGAGAATCCACCTGCTATTGGCTTGCTTCCTGTAGGGTAATGCTTGTCGTGGGTGATACCAAACAACGAGAGGTCATTTTCTATGAGGAGTTTATGTAACTGGATGAACCTACCATTGAAACTTTAAACAAGGCAACTGTTGGCCACCATGCCATCAGTGGTGATAGGGGTGAAGACACAGATTTCTTACCTCCAGTACATTCTACTCCCTCTAGTTTCTAAATGAGGTATCTTAGAAAAGAAAAAGGCATAAAAGGAATCACTGATAGCAACTTAGCACTTCTAGGCCCTGACTACCCTCCCCAGCTTCATACTGAGTCAGACTTCCGTGTTTCTCAGAAGGGAAAAAGAAACTAGAGCAAAGCCGCAGTCTCCTGCACAGCTCCAGGAACGTGCTACCCTTGACACCTGCTGTCCTATCCCGTTTTGGGGGGTGCGGGGTTGCCCAGCCTCTCTGTTTCTCTGCTGCTGTTTCAGAGACTCTGTAGTATGCATACTGGCTCCCCAAGAAAAGCCGAAGCAAAAGTGGTAATTTAGTGGGAGATCATATTCCACGGGTTGAGTCTCATGCTGTGTTGGTCCCATAGATGCAATTAGTTACCCGAACAGCAGAAAGCTTGTTCTGTTGTTGGCAGGTACTTTGGCACATCACCCATGGAACAGATGGCTACTTGTTCCACAAATTAGATTTCCAGATGATTGCATAAAAGTGTGTCATCCAGCCACTCCTTCCTTGCCCTTCCTGCCTCTCGGACGGATTGGAATGACTCTAGGTAAATGCACTGACCTTCTGCCAATTAGCCATTCCTCTGGGTGGGAGCACAGAGGAGACAGGGTCTGAGGGAAGCAGGGGAGTCCACTCTATGCAGACACTTAATTAATCTGCAATGTGCACATCGTCTTGCCCTTTCCCTCCCACCCGCATCCCAACTTTCCCAAATGATGTATGTACTGACCTGAAGGTACCTTGTTTCCCTTCAATCAGCCTTGATGGCCAGGTTGGAAGGGTTTTCTCTGCTCCAGGTCTACTCTTCTGAGTCATAATGCTGGGATGCAAAGAAGAATCCTGCCCCGTCGCTAAGGGGTGAAATAGGAGGGGACTTCTGCGGCAGAACTGCCCACCAGTCTCCTCCTGTCCCTGCACTCTCTTCCCAGAGGACTTACATTTACTCTAATCAGACAAGGGGAGTCCTTTCATCATGTCCCCTCTCTATCCCAATCTCATTGACCAAAAAGGGACCAATTCTGACTGGCCAGAAGCCAATCAGATTTCCTCTCTTGGAAAATGAAGACGAAGTAATCAGGCTGCTGACTGGGATCAATGCGCAGGCGCTAGAGTGATGGTCCAGGCACGCTTGCTGCAGGGGTCTCCAAATGGGCCCAGCTCCAGGGTCTGCTTGGTCACCTTCTCCTTGGATCCTCTTAATCCAGACCTTTAGAATAAATATCCCTTTATTTAAATTCGCACAAGTGGTTTCTGTAAGTAAAATGATTCCTCGCTTGTGCAACCCTTACCCTACTTTCTTCATCAAAGGACAGTCACAGAAACCATGTCACTGCCTTGACTGTAACTAGTCCCCAAATCCTGAAATGTCAGATGCCCACCACTGTGCCAGGCAAAACATTCCTGAGCCAGCGCCACAGTCAGGTTCAGTCATGAATGGAGTGGGACCGTATCTGAATGTCCCTCACCTGTGCTCTACCCACTAGCGTACATCACGTTGCTTGAGTCTTAAAACCATGACATCCGTGTTCTTTCCTCTAGTTGCCAAAGGGACCATGCTGAAGGGGCTGACCTTCTGTGTCTTGGGCTTACTCAGCGATGTTGGGGTCATCATACCAGTAGGGTTGGCTACTGATTGTACTGCTTGATTGTCTTGCCTTTACCGTAAGGTGGTTTAGAGTAGAGAGAAGCAGGGCTTCTCATGACAGAGGTAGCTTGGGACATGGATAGTCGTCCAGTGAGGAGGCAGCTGGGCTCAGGCGCAGAGCTCCTGGAGGCAAGTATAGGAAATGCCCTGTCAGCTGGAGAAGTCAGTCGTTTTGGTTTTATTTCTTTGGTTTGCTTGCTTTTGCTTATTTATTTTCTCAAAAATTTCAAACAAACCTGCCTGCCAGGGTGTGTGCCAGGAGGCCATTGGACTCAGTCTTTATAAAAGGGATGGTTATCTCTGTGGGTCTGATGAAAGTGACCTTCAACATTCCCTACATAGGATGGCAAAGGAGATCAGGAACATGACTCCTCGCCCTCATTCCAGGCTCTAGACTTAGGACCCCTGAGACCAAGCTCTTGTCTGCTCAACCAGTGACCACTGTCTGCTAGCTGCTTGGAGATAGTCCTGTATGGGCCATTGGGGCACTGGGGAGCTGCTGGTCTGCCTTAAGAGGGACTCGGGTGAAGCAGCATGTCTATTGTCATAGTGTATTTGGCCAGAGGCACACTAGGAGAGACTGACTGTGGGTGATGAACTTGTCTCCCTGTCTAGCATGTTCCTTCTGTACTTGGTGATCTGTTCCTGACCGTGAAGTCCTTGTCATGAATGTGCTAGGCCAGTTTGTTCAACCTCTTTGGCCAGAAATGTGTGAGTTTGTTGTTTACATAAGACAAGGCTGTGAGGTCTACCCGTAGGGAAGAGGCCAAGCAAACTGCAAAATGATCATTTCCAGGTGTGTCCAGTTTTAATGCAGACTCAGCTGCTTCAAGCAATCAGCCAGTACCTCTGCCACACCAGGTTAGCTGAGTTTCCAGCAGGCATCAGCCCTTGTTCCCATGGTCTGTGTTCATTTATCTTCTTTAACTTCAAGCTGACCTGTTGTTTTATTCTTCAAAACCCCTAGGACTTTATAACCAGATGATTCTAAAATTTAAATAAGTATACACTTGGAAAGTGGAGAAAATATATTAAGACTCAGACCTCGAGCAATGGCCAGGTTATAGGCTGCCACAAATCAAAAGCAGGCTTCTTGGCATTTCACATGAAGGGACTGTCTCTAATTGGGGGCAAGTGGCTTGCCCTGCTCTGCTTCTTGGGTGAGTGACCACACTTGACCTTTCTTGTTTAGGAGTGCCTTTGGCCTCAAACCTGTGACTCTTTGGAATGCTGGCAATTTAGAAAGGGTTATCTCTTCAACTCACCACCTGAAAGAAAAACAAAACCCTAATAGCATGATTAAAAAAAATACAACCAAGGCAAAAATACATCAAAGGACCAATAAATGAGTGGATCTGCAGTAGGAGTGGGGAGAGATGGTTTTGCAGGACAGTTTCCAAGCCTCAGTTCCTCCCTCTTTACAGTTCTTGTCATGCAGCGCAATGCAATTCAAGGCTGACGTCATGTCGATATCTCTGAGTCCACATGAGGCCCTTTGGTTAGGCAATACCTACTGGGTGTTTGGTTTATAAAAGGCTTGGGATTAAGACCTGAGTGAGGAGACAAAGGGATCTGAAGACGTGGTTCTTGTATTCACAGGGTTTGCGATCTCACTGGGAGGTATCCTGAGGTCGAACAACTTAGAGGTAGTTCTTGGAAATCATAAACTACGAAATACAAATGGCCATAAGGGGCAGCAGGGAGGGGAGGGACTGAAACAGTGAAAATCCACCCATCTTGTCTGGGATATTTGACAAACACATTTTGTGTTAATATACATCCAGCTAAGTCCCAGATCTAGCCACATGGATGTAGATATCATAGGGGTCTTTGATGTGCTTAGCTACTCAAATGCCTATGGCGGTTTCGCTGATCAACATCACTTGGGAATTCTCACCAGTGGGACTATTAACCAGAGCCTGGTGCTGGTTAGTCACCAGCTTCTTTTCCCTTTGAAATCTTATGAGGTGAGAATTTATTCCTTGCCTTGCTGTCATTGGATAATATCGTTACACACCTTTATATTGTCATCACCCTTTCACCAATAATGTATGTGAAGTTATATTCTTGTTTGATGTAAGGGCAATCCTATATCTGGAAGCAAGTGCATGGAAAAGAGCATATATTTGAAAGCTTATGTGCATTCACAGCATGTGAGAGGACAAATGATCCCAATAAAGTGTGAATGTTTTGATTTCCAACATTAGTCCCCATGAGGCTGTTTATTTCTTCCTATGTTCTTGGCTGGCAATCCAAGGTAACTGACACCACGTGGACATGGGCTTATTGACTCAGGCCTCACAAGCCAAGCTGCCAGGCTCCCAGGAGTTTCTGCTTACTTAACCAAGGCGAATAACGTGCTTTGCCTCTTATTTTTTAAAGTACCCTTTCATTAAAACAGCGAATCACATGCGTTTTCTAAAACTTTACTGCCGACTTTAAAAGATGGCTGGGTTTTAGGGCAGTATTTAAGGTAATAATCAAGAATCCATGGGCCATGTGGTGAAGCTGTTGAACAAATCTTGACGTATTGGTAAAGACACCCTGGGAAACTTGAAAGACATAAATCTGGGTCGAGTAAAAGGATGTGCTATATCCTACAGTGGGTATATGGCATTTATTATCCAGAAGAGGCAGATTATACCAAAGATGGGAATAACTTAAAGTTTTAGATTGGTTTTTGGGTTGAAGATCAATGAAAGGATATTGAGGAAAATGAAATTTAGATGTGTATGACTACAATGTTTCTTTTTATTATTATACTTTAAGTTTTAGGGTACATGTGCACAATATGCAGGTTAGTTACATATGTATACCTGTGCCATGCTGGTGCGCTGCACCCACTAACTCGTCATCTAGCATTAGGTATATCTCCCAATGCTATCCCTCCCCCCACCCCACAACAGTCCCTGGAGTGTGATGTTCCCCTTCCTGTGTCCATATGTTCTCATTGTTCAATTCCCACCTATGAGTGAGAATATGCGGTGTTTGGTTTTTTGTTCTTGCGATAGTTTACTGAGAAGGATGATTTCCAATTTCATCCATGTCCCTACAAAGGACATGAACTCATCATTTTTTATGGCTGCCTAGTATTCCATGGTGTATATGTGCCACATTTTCTTAATCCAGTCTATCGTTGTTGGACATTTGGGTTGGTTCCAAGTCTTTGCTATTGTGAATAGTGCCACAATAAACATACGTGTGCATGTGTCTTTATAGCAGCATGATTTATAGTCCTTTGGGTATATACCCAGTAATGGGATGGCTGGGTCACATGGTATTTCTAGTTCTAGATCCCTGAGGAATCACCACACTGACTTCCACAATGGTTGAACTAGTTTACAGTCCCACCAACAGTGTAAAAGTGTTCCTATTTCTCCACATCCTCTCCAGCACCTGTTGTTTCCTGACTTTTTAATGATTGCCATTCTAACTGGTGTGAGATGATATCTCATTGTGGTTTTGATTTGCATTTCTCTGATGGCCAGTGATGGTGAGCATTTTTTCATGTGTTTTTTGGCTGCATAAATGTCTTCTTTTGAGAAGTGTCTGTTCATGTCTTTCACCCACTTTTTGATGGGGTTGTTTGTTTTTTTCTTGTAAATTTGTTTGAGTTCATTGTAGATTCTGGATATTAGCCCTTTGTCAGATGAGTAGGTTGCGAAAATGTCCTCCCATTTTGTGGGTTGCCTGTTCACTCTGATGGTAGTTTCTTTTGCTGTGCAGAAGCTCTTTAGTTTAATTAGATCCCATTTGTCAATTTTGTCTTTTGTTGCCATTGCTTTTGGTGTTTGAGACATGAAGTCCTTGCCCATGCCTATGTCCTGAATGGTAATGCCTAGGTTTTCTTCTAGGGTTTTTATGGTTTTAGGTCTAACGTTTAAGTCTTTAATCTATCTTGAATTGATTTTTGTATAAGGTGTAAGGAAGGGATCCAGTTTCAGCTTTTTACATATGGCTAGCCAGTTTTCCCAGCACCATTTATTAAATAGGGAATCCTTTTCCCATTGCTTGTTTTTCTCAGGTTTGTCAAAGATCAGATAGTTGTAGATATGCGGCATTATTTCTCAGGGCTCTGTTCTGTTCCATTGATCTATATCTCTGTTTTGGCACCAGTACTATGCTGTTTTGGTTACTGTAGCCTTGTAGTATAGTTTGAAGTCAGGTAGTGTGATGCCTCCAGCTTTGTTCTTTTGGCTTAGGATTGACTTGGCGATGTGAGCTCTTTTTTGGTTCCATATGAACTTCAAAGTAGTTTTTACCAATTGTGTGAAGAAAGTCATTGGTAGCTTGATGGGGATGGCATTGAATCTATAAATTACCTTGGGCAGTATGGCCATTTTCACGATATTGATTCTTCCTACCCATGAGCATGGAATGTTCTTCCATTTGTTTGTATCCTCTTTTGTTTCATTGAGCAGTGGTTTGTAGTTCTCCTTGAAGAGGTCCTTCACGTCCCTTGTAAGGTGGATTCCTAGGTATTTTATTCTCTTTGAAGCATTTGTGAATGGGAGTTCACTCATGATTTGGCTCTCTGTTTGTCTGTTATTGGTGTATAAGAATGCTTGTGATTTTTGTACATTGATTTTGTATCCTGAGACTTTGCTGAAGTTGCTTATCAGCTTAAGGAGATTTTGGGCTGAGACATTGGGGTTTTCTAGATATACAATCATGTCGTCTGCAAACAGGGACAATTTGACCTCCTCTTTTCCTAATTGAATACCCTTTATTTCCTTCTCCTGCCTAATTGCCCTGGCCAGAACTTCCAACACTATGTTGAATAGGTGTGGTTAGAGAGGGCATCCCTGTCTTGTGCCAGTTTTCAAAGGGAATGCTTCCAGTATTTGCCCATTCAGTATGATATTGGCTGTGGGTTTGTCATAGATAGTTCTTATTATTTTGAGATACGTCCCATCAATACCTAATTTATTGAGAGTTTTTAGCATGAAGGGTTGTTGAATTTTGTCAAAGGCCTTTTCTGCATCTATTGAGATAATCATGTGGTTTTTGTCTTTGGTTCTGTTTATATGCTGGATTACATTTATTGATTTGCGTATATTGAACCAGCCTTGCATCCCAGGGATGAAGCCCACTTGATCATGGTGGATAAGCTTTTTGATGTGCTGCTGGATTCAGTTTTCCAGTATTTTATTGAGGATTTTTGCATCAATGTTCATCAAGGACATTGGTCTAAAATTCTCTTTTTTGGTTGTGTCTCTGCCAGGCTTTGGTATCAGGATGATGCTGGCCTCATAAAATGAGTTAGGGAGGATTCCCTCTTTTTCTATTGATTGGAATAGTTTCAGAAGGAATGGTACCAGTTCCTCCTTGTACCTCTGGTAGAATTCGACTGTGAATCCATCTGGTCCTGGACTCTTTTTGGTTGGTAAGCTATTGATTATTGCCACAATTTCAGCTCCTGTTATCGGTCTATTCAGAGATTCAACTTCTTCCTGGTTTAGTCTTGGGAGAGTGTATGTGTCCAGGAATTTATCCATTTCTTCTAGATTTTCTAGTTTATTTGTATAGAGGTGTTTGTAGTAATCTCTGATGGTAGTTTGTATTTCTGTGGGATCGGTGGTGGTATCCCCTTTATCATTTTTTATTGCGTCTATTTGATTCTTCTCTTTTTCTTGATTAGTCTTGCTAGTGGTCTATCAATTGTGTTGATTGTTTCAAAAAACCAGCTCCTGGATTCATTAATTTTTTGAAGGGTTTTTTGTGTCCCTATTTCCTTCAGTTCTGCTCTGATTTTAGTTATTTCTTGCCTTCTGCTAGCTTTTGAATGTGTTTGCTCTTGCTTTTCTAGTGCTTTTAATTGTGATGTTAGGGTGTCAATTTTAGATCTTTCCTGCTTTCTCTTGTGGGCATTTAGTGCTATAAATTTCCCTCTACACACTGCTTTGAATGTGTCCCAGAGATTCTAGTATGTTGTGTCTTTGTTCTCGTTGGTTTCAAAGAACATCTTTATTTCTGCCTTCATTTTGTTATGTACCCAGTAGTCATTCAGGAGCAGTTTGTTCAGTTTCCATGTAGTTGAGTGGTTTTGAGTGAGTTTCTTAATCCTGAGTTCCAGTTTGATTGCACTGTGGTCTGAGAGATAGTTTGTTATAATTTCTGTTCTTTTACATTTGCTGAGGAGAGCTTTACTTCCAAGTATGTGGTCAATTTTGGAATAGGTGTGGTGTGGTGCTGAAAAAAATGTATATTCTGTTGATTTGGGGTGGAGAGTTCTGTAGATGTCTATTAGGTCCGCTTGGTGCAGAGCTGAGTTCAATTCCTGGGTATCCTTGTTAACTTTCTGTCTCGTTGATCTGTCTAATGTTGACAGTGGGGTGTTAAAGTCTCCCATTATTAATGTGTGGGAGTCTAAGTCTCTTTGTAGGTCACTCAGGACTTGCTTTATGAATCTGGGTGCTACTGTATTGGGTGCATATATATTTAGGATAGTTAGCTCTTCTTGTTGTATTGATCCCTTTACCATTATGTAATGGCCTTCTTTGTCTCTTTTGAACTTTGTTGGTTTAAAGTCTGTTTCATCAGAGACTAGGATTGCAACCCCTGCCTTTTTTTGTTTTCCATTTGCTTGGTAGATCTTCCTCCATCCTTTTATTTTGAGCCTATGTGTGTCTCTGCACATGAGATGGGTTTCCTGAATACAGCACACTGATGGTTCTTGACTCTTCATCCAATTTGCCAGTCTGTGTCTTTTAATTGGAGCATTTAGCCCATTTACATTTAAAGTTAATATTGTTATGTGTGAATTTGATCCTGTCATTATGATGTTAGCTTGTTATTTTGCTCGTTAGTTGATGCAGTTTCTTCCTAGTCTCAATGGTCTTTACATTTTGTCATGATTTTGCAGCAGCTGGTATCGGTTGTTCCTTTCCATGTTTAGTGCTTCCTTCAGGAGCTCTTTTAGGGCAGGCCTGGTGGTGACAAAATCTCTCAGCATTTGCTTGTCTGTAAAGGATTTTATTTCTCCTTCACTTATGAAGCTTATTTTGGCTGGATATGAAATTCTGGGTTGAAAATTCTTTTCTTTAAGAATGTTGAATATTGGCCCCCACTCTCTTCTAGCTTGTAGAGTTTCTGCCGAGAGATCCGCTGTTAGTCCGATGGGCTTCCCTTTGTGGGTAACCCGACCTTTCTCTCTGGCTGCCCTTAACATTTTTTCCTTCCTTTCAACTTTGGTGAGTCTGACAATTATGTGTCTTGGAGTTGCTCTTCTCGAGGAGTATCTTTGTGGTGTTCTCTGTATTTCCTGAATCTGAATGTTGGCCTGCCTTGCTAGATTGGGGAAGTTCTCCTGGATAATATCCTGCAGAGTGTTTTCCAACTTGGTTCCACTCTCCCCGTCACTTTCAGGTACACCAATCAGATGCAGATTTGGTCTTTTCACATAGTCCCATATTTCTTGGAAGCTTTGTTCATTTCTTTTTATTCTTTTTTCTCTAAACTTCCCTTCTCGCTTCATTTCATTCATTTCATCTTCCATCACAGATACCCTTTCTTCCAGTGGATTGCATTGGCTCCTGAGGCTTCTGCATTCTTCACGTAGTTCTCGAGTCTTGGCTTTCAGCTCCATCAGCTCCTTTAAGCACTTCTCTGTATTGGTTATTCTAGTTATACATTCGTCTAAATTTTTTTCAAAGTTTTTAACTTCTTTGCCTTTGGTTTGAATTTCCTCCTGTAGCTCGTAGTTTGATCATCTGAAGCCTTCTTCTCTCAACTCGTCAAAGTCATTCTCCATCCAGCTTTGTTCCATTGCTGGTGAGGAACTGTGTTCCTTTGGAGGAGGAGAGGTGCTCTGCTTTTTAGAGTTTCCAGTTTTTCTGCTCTGTTTTTTCCCCATCTTTGTGGTTTTATCTACTTTTGGTCTTTGATGATGGTGATATACAGATGGGTTTTTGGTGTGGATGTCCTTTCTGTTTGTTAGTTTTCCTTCTAACAGACAGGACCCTCAGCTGCAGGTCTGTTGGAGTTTGCTAGAGGTCCACTCCAGACCCTGTTTGCCTGGGTATCAGCAGCGGTGTTTGCAGAACAGCGGTTTTTCGTGAACTGCGAATGCTGCTGTCTGATCATTCCTCTGGAAGTTTTGTCTCAGAGGAGTACCCGGCCGTGTGAAGTGTCAGTCTGCTCCTACTGGGGGGTGCCTCCAAGATGGCCGAATAGGAACAGCTCCGGTCTACAGCTCCCAGTGTGAGCGATGCAGAAGACGGGTGATTTCTGCATTTCCATCTGAGCTTTGAAGAGAGCAGTGGTTCTCCCAACATGCAGCTGGAGATCTGAGAATGGGCAGACTGCCTCCTCAAGTGGGTCCCTGACCCCTGACCCCTGAGCAGACTACAGTGTTTTTTAATGAGAAAGGATAATCTCTGCACTCTCCTCCCAGATAAAATATTCCTTGGGACCAAGTTGGAAAAAGAATGATGGGCCTATCTAATTCAACATAGGAGGTCCTTTGTATGGGGCTGAAAGCAGCTCTCTTTATTAAGGTGATGTGTGATACTATGTATAACCTTGTCTGAGACAATTAAGAGCCTAAAGTAAATGGAGTGGCTCTTGCTCAGTTGACTGCTGGCTCAATAAGGATCTGCCAAGTTTGTGTAACTTAAACTACAATAAGAAAACCCTGGGACTAGAATAAGGACAGAATAGTCCCATTGTGCCCTCCTCTAAACAGATCACTTCTGGAGTGGTCTCTTCCAGGCTCTTGAAGTGCCACTGATGTTACAACTTGGAGAAATAATACCCAAACATGTATGTATGTATATATATATGTTTTTACCATGCTCTAGGGCTCTCAAAGCGGATACATTTATTAACTCCCTGAGCCTCACAATAAACCCAGGATTTCATATTATCCCCATATTGCAGATGAAAAAAACTGAGGCTCAGAGAGGATAAAAAACTGAGGCCAGGAGGTGGAAGTTCTAGAACTTAAACACAAGCTCTCTGGCACCAGGACTGGTGTTTTTTCCACTCTACCATGCTGCTTCTCTGCACCGCAAAAAGCTCAGAGGCAGGTGGCCAGGGCTGAGGCTTCAGGAAGCCACATCCTGGAGGGAGCTTTTGAAGAAACTGGAGATGCTTGGCCTGAAAAAGAGGTTCTTTAGAGGGCCCCCGATAGCTGTTGTCAAATATTTGAAACCTGTCATATGGAAGAGGGAGGAGATTTCTTTGTAACTCCTGAGGGCAGAATTAGGACTAATCGATTGGAATTATGCATGAAGCCAGAGGGTGAATGCAAAACCATGTCTGAAAGGAGTGAGAAGTGTTGGAGCTGCAGAACTATGTCCATACACGTCATCAAAGCAATGGCTGAGAGCAACAGGAGGGCCTCTCTTTTTTATGTTCTAAGAGCTTAACTGACTTTGTACCTCTGAGTCCCTTCACAGAAGTTTTGTGTTCTTATACGATGATGATAATTTCTAAGAAGCCATTGGACACAATGGAATCAGCAGATTCCCAGCACCCAGCCAGAGAGCTGATAGAAGAGGAGCTTGAAGAAGCAACAGTCGGAGGCCAGAGAATTCTGGCAAGATGGTGGGGATGATGGCCACACAGGTTTTGGATCTTCCTAAATCCCCACCTAAAAACAGAGATACTAAGTAGCAACACCAAAATCCTGGCCATGGACAGGAAGGAAAGAGCCTTCCAAGCATCTAGGCAGGTGGGAGGGAGGCCACTGGCGTGCGTGCGCGCGTGCGCGCGCGCACACACACACACACACACACACACACAGACACACACACACACACACACACACGCTGATTTTCATCAGTCTGCAGCCCAAGCCGGCTCAGTTTTGATTTCCCTCCTGGTAGTTTTCTTGCTCTGGGGCCCTGTGCTGGAGGGGAACCCTGGCTGGTCAGTTTCAAAAGTTCATAGTTCAGAGCCGACCACAGATCCGTTACACGCTCCTCCCAGTAGCAGCTGCTGGTCTCAGGCCTGCAGCGCTTCCCATCTGTTGGTGTTTGGAGTTCTCCTGTGCTGGGTCTGTAGCTGCCCAAGACTTCCCTCTACTCCCTCACAGATAGTGAGGGCGCTCAGGGCTTAGTTGGTGGTTTATCCTGACCTGCTTGTATTTGGGGTTCATGGGGATACCCCATCAGCTAGTTTGTGATAAATGTTGTTCATGGCCAGGTTTTTTGGTGTTGCTACTTAGTATCTCTGTTTTTAGGTGGGGATTTAGGAAGATCCAAAACCTGTGTGGCCATCATCCCCACCATCTTGCCAGAATTCTCTGGCCTCCGACTGTTGCTTCTTCAAGCTCCTCTTCTATCAGCTCTCTGGCTGGGTGCTGGGAATCTGCTGATTCCATTGTGTCCAATGGCTTCTTAGAAATTATCATCAGCGTATAAGAATACAATACTTCTGCGAAGGGGCTCAGAGGTACAAAGTAACTTAAGCTCTTAGAACATAAAAAAGAGAATAATGAAAAAGATTTACAAACAGATATAAAGAGGTGTTTTTCCCCAGTGAGTTGTGATCCTGGGCCTGGCAAGATAGGCTGTTTATCCACATTTTGCATTCTTCACCCCAGTAGAGAGCAATTCTCACAGTTGGGTGTCCGGCTCAGTAATCTGTCGCTTTTGCCTGACTAAAGTCACATCATTGATTGATGCCAAATCTTGCTCAATTAAAGGTTCATTTTTCTTTTGGCTGTTGGCAAATGCAACATTGATTATGGGTTATTAGCATCCACCCCCTCAGATTTCGAATGCACTGGGAGCGTTTGCCTGCATACCAACCACAGCAGCAGCACCTAGGGCCTGGAGCCACCTTTCTAATCTGGGCCCAAGGACACCTGCCAGTGTGTCTGACTGTAGGGAAGGGATTTGCTCAGTCAGGTCCTTCCTGGGAAGATTAAAAGGAAAAAAAGGATCTTTTCCCAATCTCCTTCCCATTCCCAGCCCCCTACCCCCACCTCCAAGCCAAGAGAAATGGTGATATTTTGTGATAACATCTGGGCTCTTTTTACTTGTTGGTTCATTCATTCATTCATTCATTTATTCATCCATTATGTATTTTTGAGTGCTGGCCTGTAGGGGAAATGAGAAAAGCACAGAGTCTATGGAGAGATGAGACTGAGTCTCATAAGCCCTGTGTGAAAATAACCTCCTTATTGCAGGAGTACCTAAGCAGATTGTGGAAACTGAGCCTGCCGCTGTGGCCACACCTTCCCATCACGCCCCTTCCTCTGCAGTTCTCTGAGGAGACAGCAGCCAGCAGCCCCGTCTAATCAGACATTTCTGTCTAAAAAAATAATGCTCCAATAGCCTTTCAGTTCTCACTTCCCATCTTCCACCTTGGAATTTCCCTATGGACAGCATGTCCTCCAGCCCCTCCATTCACCCCTCAAGGCCTTGAGGCAAGCCTCATTGATGCCAAGGCTTTCCAGGAGGGACAGCAGCTTCTCTTCCTTGCAGGGCTGAGGCCTCTGCAAGGAGCCCTCTGGTGGGATGGAGTCCATGTCCCCGAGGCCATCCCTCTAGAGTTTCCTTTGCGTTCTTGCCTCTGCTCCTGATGGGACCCACAGGTCTCTACTGTTACCCAGTACCTTGGTTTCCTTGGGCTGCTGGAACAAATTGCCATAAACTTAGTGGCTTAAAATAATGCAAATTTATTATCTTACAGTTCTGGAGGTCAGATGTCTTACTGGTCTAAAATCAAGGTGTTGGCAGGGCTGTGTTCCTTCTGGAAGCTGTAGAGGAGATTTTGTTTCCTCACCTCTTCCAGTTCCTAGAGGCTTCCTGCATTCCTTGGCTTGTGTCCTCCTGCTCTGTCTTCAAAGCCAGTAGTGTAGGATCATCTCTCCAGTGTAGGATCATCTCTCCTCTCTGAGCTCTGCTTCGTCATCCTGTTTTCCGACTTTGACTCTTGCTCCCACCTCTTGAGAGGACCCTGTGATGACACTAGACACACCTGGGTAATACAGGATCATCTCCCCATCTAAATCACATCTGCAAAGACCCTTTTGCTATATAAGGTAATATTCACAGGTTCTGGGGATTAGGACATGAACATCATTTGGGGGCTATTACCGTATCTGCCACACCCAGCCCTCATTATCCTGACCAAGGCAGGGAGAAAGCCTCAACTCACCTCAGCTGAGACAAGCCTGACATTTGTCAAAATGATAATACCTATGAGAGTTAACATGTGAGTGTCTGCTTCAAAATCTCAGGCCCTAGAAGAGCTTTAGATACACGTTCTCATTTAATTCCTCCTCAACATCTCAGGTAGTTGAGGAGACTGAGGCATGAGAGGTTAAACAGCTTACTCAATGGAATCAAACCAGAGAGCGTCAGAAGCAAGCAGCACATGGCTTCCCTGGAAAGGAAGGTCGCCTGGGAAGCTAGCGGAGCAGAGAGATAAAGACTTATTCCCAACTATTGCCTGCAACAGCAGAACTTTAAGTATTTTATATGAAAGGCAGGGGATAAAACTTCTCAAACGCCTTTGTGGCCAGTGTCAATTAAGCACTATCATTCTAGGAGGTTGCTAATCAGACATTTCTGTAGAAAAAAATAATGCTGCTGAAGTAAGCACGACTTCTCTATGAGCTACAGAATAACTGTCAAGCTTGTTAGTGGAAATTCTTGCCCCTCCTTTTCCTCGGTGGTTTGTTCAAGACTCTGCTGCAAAAAATGCCTCAAGTGCTTTTTCTAGCCACAGTCCCCAGACGGGTCTCTCATCTCCTTGCTTACTTTTAGTGGCAATGTGGATCTTCAGGAGTCTAATTTTCCTTTTGGAGGAGAGCTAGCAAATCTTCAGAAGAACTCTGCAGTTCTATAATCCTTCTGACTGCTGGGTGAAATATGGGCCTGGAGACAGATTTCGCAGGAATGAAAAGGTCTCACAGCTACTTGCCCTAAAGAATGTGAGCCCATGGAGAATCCAGGAAATGAAAATAAAATGCCCAGTTTTGATATAAGGCCAACAAGACAAATCTTGTGCATGGTTCAGTGTTAAATAATGTCCTTAATCCTCAGCCCTTGGGACCCGGTGTCTCCACTGAATGTCGATCAGCTTGGGTCAGAGTCTTTGCCGTGGCTGGACTGGCATTCAGGGCTGTTTGCAGGCACAGTAAATATTTGTCCTGTCAGACAGCATCTGGCTGCTCACATGTCTTGTTTAAGAGATAAATGTCAGGAACTTCTCTCTTTCTCTCTCTCTTTTTGGTGTGAATTACAAGGAGGTATACAGACATCAATATCATTCCCACTTGCTTAACAACTGTGAGACCTCAGATAAAGATGAAAATCTTCGGAGGTCTCATATCCTGATTGGGTTTGTGTCAAGTCAAAGTGAAGCCACCCCAGCCTCAGCAATATACATGCCATTGATAGCACAGCCTGTTCCAGGCCAGAAGCAATTTCTGTTCTGACAAGTCTGTGTTATTAAAAAGTTAAGGAAAGCAGAGAAGGGAGTACAAAGATTAGATTTTTCAAAGATGAAATTACAAAGTTAATGGCACTGAGCCATCTGTTTGGAGAGGTAAGGAAATCCACAATGAGTTTAGGAGATATCAGGAATCCACCGGAAGGATGAACCTGAGGAGGAAAAAGGAAGAAGAAAAGGAAAATAAGAGCACTTCTGCCTTAGAGATATTATATCATGATTACAGGGATCAAGGATAATTATCAATTAGAAGGAAGCACACATTAGGGTAATGTGTCATTGCTGCAAGCTAAAACCGCATAATTGGAAATGATGACATCACACGTTCCTAATTACACATTCATAAATATGTAGCAAGTGATCCATGGGGAAACTGAGGCAACTTTTTTTTTTTTTTTTTTTTTTTGGAGACAGAGTCTCACCCTGTTGCCCAGGTTGGAGTGCAATGGCGCCATCTCGGCTCACTGCAACCTCTGCTTCCTGGATTCAAGCGATTCTCCTGCCTCAGCCTCCCGAGTAGTTGGGAAACAGGCACGTGCCACCACGCCCAGCTAATTTTTTGTATCTTTAATAGAGATGGGGTTTCACCATGTTGGCCAGGCTGGTTTCAAACTCCTGACCTCATGATCTGCCTTCCTTGGCCTCCCAGAGTGCTGGGATTACAGGCATGAGCCACTGTGTATCTTTCTCATGTGTGTGCTTATAGAAAACTAGGGGTGATGATTCTGATTGGCCACTGGGAGCTTCTCTCAGGCTGAGGAAGAGGGGTGAGAAGTAGCGAGAGACTTTCCTGATTTTGGAGGGAGGGGTTTAGGTGCTTACAATAATTATTCCCATTGCCACTAGGTAGGGCCACTCTGAGGAACCGCCCTGGTGAATGAGGTCCCATGAGGCTCAGGAGTATCTGTGGTGAATATTTTGCTTCCAGAATGAGTGCCCTCCCCATACAAAAATTAGGAAATGAGCTTTATTAGAACCATCTTGTGTGACTCTGAAACCAAGGGATGAATTGTTCAGTGCTTAAGAATTTATAAACTACATTTCACGTAACACATGTCCTCATGTGGTCCTCCCAGCAACTGTAATGGAAAGTTTAGTCGTTATTCCTGCTTGACAGTCGAGGAAACTGAGAGCCAGGGAGTTGCATGATTACTCAAAGTTACACAGCCAAGTAAGTGTCAGAGGAAAGTAAGTGTCAGAGCAGGGGAGGACATGGATTCCTTAACTCTAAATTCTGATGTATTTCCTTTGTTTTGTATTTCCATTTATTGCCCCATCTGGCCCATTGTCCAGTTGGAACCCTCTCACTATTTCTGTCTATGGGGCAGGAGAAAAGCTGGAGCTTTGGTCCAGAGGCTTCATTAAGACTTTCGACTGAATGTGGAGTGAAGGTTCTGGACCTCCCTGACACTCTGATGGGGATCCTCATCTGTACTGTCTGTCTCACCCAGGGCCTTGCCCTTCCCATTAACGCCAGGCCTTCCTTAGTCTTCACAAACATGGGCCAAAGTATATAAACACCCTATAATCAGCAGTTGATGAGGATGTTTATTCATTCAACAGATGTTTGCAGAGCTCCACACTGGGCACTGTGCCAGGCACTGGCAATCCAAGTGGTGCTTATCCTCATGAGCTTATGAACACATCGTGTCCATCATTTGATATGAAAAATTATCCGTATCAAATAATTAATAATTACTTGATAATAATTTGATGTTAATCAAATTATTAACATAGGAAACATACAAATGGGGAGAATAACTATGAAGGAAGAGAGTGCTGTGTTAAAGCAGCGTATATCAAAGAGAGCTGAATGAGGGTGAAGAGAGAAGGTAGGCGCAACATGCTCCACTTGCTCTCCAGGTCAGAGCAACCTCTTCTAGTTGTTCTGATCCCTAGAGAGCCACAACACTGTGGCTCTTGCCCTCTGACTTTTGGGTGGGTTTGGCCAATGGGAGACACCAGCGAGAGATAAGAGAGTGAAAGGGGAGGGGTAGAAGTGTTTCTAGCCTGGCCTCCTCCCCCTTGGGCTACAGTTTAGTGGTGGTGTGCTCCTCTTCTGGGGATCACAGCTGCTGTCAGGAGGCCCCTCTCCTACAGCTGCATTGTCCTCCTCTTGCTCCTTCAGACCCAGGGGTGGCAACAGGGTCCAGCTCAGGGTGCTTCTCCAGCCCTTGCTGGTTTCCCTTGACCCCGTCCGGATGCTGTAACATGCCCCTTCATTAAACTCCTTTCACTCGCCCTCTTGGAGTATGCTGTCTGTTTCTTGCTGGGACTGTGATCAATACTAACAGCTACCCTGAGGAAGTGACTTTTGATTGAAAATTATCGAAGAGAAGAATTTGGGAGCGAGGAATAGAGTGTACTCGTAGCAAAGAACACTGTTGGCTGGAGTGAGCAGGACACATTTGAGAAATGAGAATGTGGCTGAGTTTAGAATAGAAGGGCCAGAGTGGTAGAGATGAGACTGGAAAGATAGGTCAGGGCCCAGGACCTAGGTATACAGCTGTGCAACCTGTGCACTGCACAACTTCAAGCAGAGCTCCACACAAACTATGAGACAAATGGAGGCCCTGCAGGGGCCAGACCTTGTTGGATCTTATAAGCCATGTTAAGGATTTGGACCTGGATTCTAAGAGCAATATAAAACCACTGAAGGGTTTTAAGAAGGGTAGGGAGGGAGAGAGGGAGGGAGAGAGGGAGAGAGAGAGAGAGAGGAAACCAAATTTGCATTAAAAAACATAACACTCAGCTTCTGTTCATTCAGGACAGAAAGCTCTGTGAGGAAGACTTCTTAAGAGGTCAGTTTTGTTGACCAAGTGAAAGAAAATGGTGGCTTGGAGAGGGATAGCAGTGAAATGGAGGGAAACAGATCAACTTAAATATTTCAAAAGCAGAACAGTGTACTTGTTGGTGAATTGGATGTAGAGGGTAAGAGGGAAAGAGGTGTTGTGGGTGGCTCCAGGTGAATTCTGGCAGCTGGTTAGATGATGGAAACCCTCTTGAACTTGGAGAACCAAGTCAGGATCAGTTCAGCGGCAAGGCTGTGACGTTGGTTGCCTTGAGGTATCCAAGGGAGTCTTCAAATTCTGAAACACTGCTGGGAGCACAACTGAGGCAAGGACTGGAAACTGCTGGATTTAGCAACTTGGAGATCATTGGTAGCCTTGGTTTTTTTTGGTGGAGTAAAGAGTCAGATTGGGGTGGTCTGAGGACTGAGTGAGACATGAGCAGATGTTGTCAGTGGGGCTGGACAACACTTTTGAGACACTTGGTTACGACAGGGAGGAGGCAGGGTGCCAGTTGACCAATGAGGATGGGGTGAGAGAGGTTTTTTTTTTGTTTTTTTGTTTTTTTTTTAATGGGAGCACATTCTTCATGAAAATTCAATGGAAATATAGAGCTTGCATGTACAAAAGAGAAAAAGGATCATTGAAAGTAAAGATTCCTGAGAAGGAGGGGTTGATGGCATCCAAAAATAGGTAAGAGAACTTGCCTCAGATTGCTTTGATTGAACTTTCTTACAGGAGAGGGAAAGGAAAAGAGAATGCATGTGGATGTGGGTGGATTGTAGCTCTGAATGTGTGACTCTGAAGGACTTTCCAGATGGTGGTTCCTATTGTCTGTACGAAGCAGGAGACGTCATCTAGGCATCACCTGCTGAGAGTGAGGGGTGATGGTGAGTGGATGTGAGCATACGTGTGCATGCACAACTGCGTACATGTGTGTCTGAGCTCCTATGCTCATCCAGAGTTTTAAAAGAAGCCTAGAAGATTTGACATAATATAGTAGTATTAGGTAGAAAGTTCAAATTGATAGGACCAGGAGCCAGTCCCAATCCAGTGCCAGGCTTATGGGCAGGACATCAGCATTTATTGAAGAGAGCAGAGGAGGCTGGGGCTCCTTGAGCATGGTTTCCATCTTTTCTCCTGCACCCCACCTGCTCCTTAGGGACAGCAGATGAGGAGAGAAAACCTAAGGAGGTACTTAAAATGTTACTGTGATATTTATAGTGTTGTGATGAAAATAGAAAGTCTGTGGATGTGGCTTAAGTGTGGGGAAGAGAAATTGATCACCCAGGGATCCTGTGCTTCTCTGAAAAGCTGATCTGTGAAGAATTCCTTGTTAAGATGTTAACACATGGATGAGTGATGTACATGTTTCAAGACCACAAGTTGAAGGGTCAGGACTTGAATTAAGAAGGCAAGTTCATACCTGTTTATAACAGTGGGATGTTTTTAATAATATGTGCTGTCTGTTTGAGGGGTAGTTATATACATTACTGCCAGGAAGAATTTAACTCCCCGGTCCTGATGCTTCCATGAAGAAATGTTAGCTCTACTCCTTACGAGGAAACAGCACTGGAGAGACACTGCTGATTCCAAGGTAAAATGTTAGGAAGCCCCCTTGTCTGCAGGCCAATGCCTCTGTCTCTTATCCATCTCTACTGGCTCCAAAGCTAATCTTTTAGACTCCATTTTTTTTTTTCTATATCTCACTTGCTCAGATCATGAAAAGGAGAGGGGGTGATTTATAGCCCTCCCTCAAACCAAGCCAGTCACAATTAAGGGCCTGTTAGTGCCAGGCTTGGATTTTCATACATCATCTTATTTAATCTTAAAACACCTTGCAAGGCAAGTGTTTTTAATTCCCACTTATCTCATTTAATCCTTACGACAACCGTATGGGATCTATGTTATTAACCTTAATTTAGAAACGAAGAAACTGAGGCTTAGAGGTGTTAAGTAAATGAAGTCACTCTGTGGGTAAGTGGCTGGTTTCAACCCAGTGTTTTGTTAAAGGCAAACAAAACCCAGGCTCCTTCTCTATGCCACACTGTAGCTGACAGGGAGCGCATTTTCAAGTCCAAGTCTCAACTGAAGTTGTGAGATTTGGCGGGTCTGGAAGACCTCACTGGAGGTTGTGATGAAAGTCAGAGTCCTGTTCTATACCTGTAATGATGACTTCTCCCACCTCTCCACAGCCCCTCCTGCACAACCCCACACTCTTTTTGGAGGTGGTTATTGAATAGAGCAAGACCCGTGCTATGACAGTGCAGATCACAGTCACACTCATTCAGAAATGAGTTAAGACCCCTACCTAACCTGCTTTTCTTGCTTCAGCCTGGCATATCTTCCTTAGGAAATCGGCACTTACCTAGAGCCCCCTATGTGTAGAACACAGTGGCTAAGGCCACGGGGATCTACAAAAGCAATGGGAGACACAGTGGCTGCTTTGCTGAGCTTTATTTCGGGACTTTGTGTGCATTAGAAACTAACATTTTTTTCCAACAACACAATCCCCTCCCAGGTTTTCCTCCATTTGCTGACAAATAACTTCCTCAAGAACAAAGACTGAGACCCAGACTTGAGTTTTTGGCTTGGCCTAAGTTGGGCCCCCAAATGCCCTGTGGTCTCCTCTCCTCACTTCCCTTTTATTTCTGGGGCCTGGAGAAGGATTTGGGCTCAGTGCAATCAGGAGCTGAGGCAGATTTGGAGCCTGCTTGGCTCAGAGCCACTGGGATTTGGACCCATTAAGGCATGACTCCAGTTTCTTTTTGCAATCTCTCTTGTAACTCTCCAGTTGGAATTTGTTTAAATTGTCTCTAGGTTGTACTGCCTTGCTTCAAAAGACTTGTTCCATTGTGGAATAGAAAGAGTTTTCATAAAATGTAAAGGCTTATGCAAATCGTGTCCTCTCGCTACCATTTCTTCCATCCTAACCCAATCCCTGCCGCCCTTGACTGCAGTTCAGAGGCTTTAGAGTGGCCAGAGAGGAGCAGGAATCTGTAAGCAACTATGACCTCGACCACTGCTTACTGAGCACTTACTCTGTGCCAGGAACAGTGCCAAGCTTGTTACTTCATTATCTCATTTTCCTTCTCAATACCCTTATGGTAAGATGTTATTAATATTCTTATTTTAATAGATATATTAAATAACTTGCTCAAGAATACATAGCTTCAGAAAGGGCCAGGATTTTACTCCTGCTCACAGAACTAGAAATCCAAGGCCTGTGAGTGCTGTGCTTTCCAGTGAGATGTCTCCATAGCCAAGAACAAGGATAATGGGGCTTGAGAGTAGAAGGACAAAAAAAAAAAAAAAAGAAAAGAAAATATGAATCACCATGATGGGACTTCCTCAAAGAGGCACAAGACTCAGGACCATATCCTGGGTAGTGAAAAGGTATGAACTCTGTGGTCAGAAAACTGGGTTCAAATATTACTTCTGGCACTTAGAACTGTGCAATTGCAGGCAAGATATTCAGCCTGTTTTAGCCCATTATTATTGCCTTATTGCCATTATGGCAACAATAATAATAACAATAATAATTTCCAACAAATCTTACTACCTAGTTTATTTTTCATCTTGTATTTTTTATTTCTGGTGTGTATATGAATGTATGGCACTTGGGAAATGCCACCAAAATGATAGATATTATTTGTAATTCAATCATTTATTCAACAAGTATTTATTGAGTGACTACACAGTTATTATATTGATTTTTGCCCCACAGTTACAGTGCTTAGGGCTTAAGAACTTTTCAAGTACCTGCAAGAATGTTAGAAACCTAAAATTAAATTATTAACTCCAAGATAGAAAGCAAAATTTAATAAATGCTTAATTGAGTGTCTATTAAACTAAAATTATGTCAACCAGTTAACTGTTGACAATGCAATGCTTTTATAATTATATATAAATAATAGAGTTTACACCACAAAAACAAAATAAATTTAACTTGTTAATGGATACTTTTTTAAGATAAAACCATGACTGTCAAATAAATATACAAAGTGAACATATGTCAAATATTTTATTTAACTTATTAATTCATGAGGAAATCAGTAAGATGTTACAAGTAGTTCAAAGGAGAATTCAAAGAGTAGAGCTATATGTAGGTCATGAAATGAATTTACAAATAAATGCAAAATTGGCTTTTTCCATAATTGTTGGGGTGGGGTGGGATTCAATTGTTCCTCCACCAGACAGAATTAATTTGCATGTTTATAGAAAAAAATTGTTTACATTGCTATCATTTTATTTTTATAACTTACAGAGTGGTAAAATAGCTCAAAGATAGGATAGGTCTAAACCACATAGAATTAGATAAGCCAAAGTGGTATGCTCTAGACAACGCATAGTTTTCCAATAAAAACATCCAGTAATCTCTTTGGTAGTTTTTAGTACATTTCAAAGTCTTTCACAATTTTTTTCTAACAATCTCCTTCTTCCCCTTGTGATTACATAATCTCAAAGAAAGAATTCTTGATCACAAAATAAGGCTGATTTCAATTAGGTTTAGCCTGATTGTTTACATAGATGCAGCAAGGATGTTAATTAGCATATCGTTTTTCTTAAGTTTGCCAGTCTTTGCAAATCTTGAGCTATATAGTACTGAGCAACAACTAATGCTACCAAATTAACTTATGTCTGGGAGTTTTCATAAAAATATCAGATGGGTTTAAAAGCCTCTGCTATTTACTATCTTGAGGCTAGGAAATCAATTCCAAGAAACTCTCTCTACCAAATTTCACCTGCAGTACCTATGAATTTGGGTGAAATCCTCTTTTCTTACGGTCCCTGAATATCCTAACGTTACTGGTGTACTAGAAAATGACCTTTCCAACACCTCAAAAGGTGGGGACTCTGTCAGCCAGGAACCAGGCCAGTTTTCCTGGGAGGGCTTTGTAGGCACTGATTCTCTAAGTATGACCAACTTGCGTTTGTTAAAACAAACTGGTGTTCATATCTGATTAAATGAGCACCATTCTCAGATATGACACTTCGGATAAGGCCTTGATTGTACTATCAATTATTTAATTATATTATGGTGAAAAGCAGGACCAATTCCTACCAAAATTATGCAAATAACTATATTGCCATGAAAAGTAAGGAGGTTCTTTAAGAGTTTCTGAATTCTGGGAACTCAGTGAGAATCAGATATTTAAAATCTGTTTCTTTAAATTTTTTTTTTATTTTTTTGAGACAGAATTTTACTCTGTCACCCAGGCTGGAGTATAGTGGCAGAATCTTGGCTCACTGCAACCTCTGCCTCCTGGGTTCAAGCAGTTCTCTGCCTCAGCCTCCTGAGTAGCTGGGATTCCAGCACCTGCCACCACGCCCAGCTAATTTTTGTATTTTTAGTGGAGATGAGGTTTCACCATCTTGGCCAGGCTTGTCTTGAACTCCTGACCTCATGATCCACCTGCCTTAGTCTCCCAAAGTGCTGGGATTACAGGTGTAAGCCACTGCGCCTGGCACCTCCCCCCCAAAATTTTTTTTAAAATTATACTTTAAGTTCTAGTATATATGTGCACCACACATGGTTTCTTCAATACCTATTTATTGAGAGTTTTTAACATGAAGCGGGGTTGAATTTTATTGAAAGCCTTTTCTGTATCTATTGAGATAATCGTGTGGTTTTTGGTTTGGGTTCTGTTTATGTGGTGAATCACATTTATTATTTTGTATATGTTGAACCAACCTTGCATCCCAGGAATAAAGCTTACTTGATTGTGGTGGATAAGCTTTTTGATGTGCTGCTAGATTTGGTTTGCCATATTTTGTTGAGGATTTTTGTATCAATGTTCATCAAGGATATTGGCCTGAAGTTTTCTTTTTTTGTTGTGTCTCTGTCGGGTTTTGGAATCAGGGTGATGCTGGACTCATAGAATAAGTTAGGGAGGAGTCTCTCCTCCACAGTTGTTTGAAATAGTTTTAGTAGGAATGGTACCAGCTTTTCTTTGTACATCTGGTAGAATTCAGTTGTGAATTCATCTGGTCCTGGGCTTTTTTGATTGGTGGGCTATTTATTACTGACTCAATCTCAGAGCTCATTATTGGTCTGTTCAGGGATTTAATATCTTTCTGGCTCAGTCTTGGGTGGATGTATGTGTCCAGGAATGTGTCCATTTCTTCTAGATTTTCTAGTTTATGTACATAGAAGTGTTCATAATATTCTCTGATGATTATTGTATTTCTGTGGAGTCAGTGGTAATATCCCCCTTCTCATTTCTGATTGTTTTTATTTGGATCTTCTCTCTTTTCTCCTTCATTAGTCTAGCGAGTGGTCTATCTATTCTATTAATTTTTTTCAAGGAAAACAGCTCCTGGATTCATTCATCTTTAGATGATTTTCTGTGTCTCAGTCTTCTTCAGTTTAGCTCTGATTTTGGTTATTGCTTGTCTTCTGCTAGATTTTGGATTGGTTTGCTCTTTGTTCTCTAGTTCTTTTCGTTGTGATGTTAGGTTGTCATATAGAGATCTTTCTAACTCTTTGAGGTGGGCTTTAAGTGCTACAAAGTTCCCTCTTAACACTGCCTTAGCTGTGTCCCAGAGATTCTGGTATGTTGCATCTTTGTTCTCATTTGTTTCAAAGAACTTCTTGATTACTGCCTTAATTTCATTATTTACCCAAAAGTCATTCAGGGGCAGTTATTCAATTTCCATGTAATTGTATGGTTTTGAGTGAATTTCCTAGTCTTGATTTCTAATTTGATTGTATTGTGGTCTGAGAGGTTGTTTGTTATGATTTCAGTTCTTTTGCATTTGCTGAGGAGTGTTTTACTTCCAACTATGTAATCTATTTTAGAGTATGTGCCATGTGGTGATGTGAAGAATGTATATTCTGTTGTTTTGGAGAGTTCTGTTGATGTCTATCAGGTCCATTTCATCCAGTGCTGAGTTCAGGTCCTGAATATCAATGTTAATTTTCTGTCTCAATAATATGTCTAATATTGTCAGTGTTGTGTTAAAGTCTCCCACTGTTATTGTGTGGGAGTCTAAGTCTCTTTGAAGGCCCCTAAGAGCTTGCTTTATGCATCTGGCTGCTCCCGTGTTAGGTGCATATATATTTAGGATAGTTAGGTATTCTTGTTGAATTGAACCCTTTACCATTATGTAATGCCCTTCTTTGTCTTTTCTGATCTTTGTTGGCTTAAAATCTGCTTTGTCTGAAACTAGGATTGCAACCCCTGTCTTTTTCTGTTTTCCATTTGCTTGGTAGATTTGTCTCCATCCCTTTATTTTTAGCCTGTGTTGTCATTGCATGTGAGATGGGTCTCTAAAAGACAGCATACCAATGGGTCTTGGTTCTTTATCCAGCTTGCCACTTGTGCCTTTTAATTGGGGCATTTAGCCCATTTACATTCAAAGTTATTATTGATATGTGTGTGTTTGATCCTGTCATCATGATGTTAGCTGGTTACTTTGCAGACTTGTTTATGTGGTTACTTTATAGTATCACTAGTCTGTGTACTTCAGTGTGTTTTTGTAGCAGCTGGTAACGGTCTTTCCATTTTCAGTGCTTCCTTCAGGAGCTTTTGTAAGGCAAGTCTTGTGGTAATAAATTCTCTCAGCATTTGCTTGTATAAGAATGCTAGTGATTTTTGTACATTAATTTGGTATCCTGAGACTTTACTGAAGTTGTTTAAAAACTTGACTGAAGTTGTTTAAAAACTTGACTGAAGTTGTTTAAAAACTTGACTGAAGTTGTTAAAGAATCTTATTTCTCCTTTGCTTATGAAGCTTTATTTGGCTGGATGTGAAATTCTGGGTTGGAATTCTTTTCTTTAAGAATGTTGAATATTGGCCTCCAATTTCTTCTGGTTTGTAGGTTTCTATTGAAAGGTCCACCATTAGTCTGATAGGCTTCCTTTTGTAGGTGACCTGACCTTTCTCTCTAGCTGCCTTTAACAATTTTTCTTTTATTTCAACCTTGGAGAATCTGATGATTATGTGTCTTGGGGATGATCTTTTTGTGAAGTATCTTAGGGGGTTTTCTGCATTACCTGAATTTGAACATTGGCCTCTCTAGCTAGGTTGGGAAAGTTCTCATGAATGATATCCTGAAATATGTTTTTCAAGTTGCTTACACTCTCCCTATTTCTTTAAGGGACAAAAATGAGTGATAGATTTGGTCTCTTTACATAATTTCATGTTTCTTGGAGGTTTTGTTTGTTCCTTTTCATTCTTTTTTCTCTATTTTTGTCTGATTGTCTATTATCAGAAAGCCAGTCTTCAAGCTCTGAGATTCTTTTCTCCACTTGATCTATTCTGCTACTAATACTTGTGATTGCATTATGAAATTATTGTAGTGTGTTTTTCAGCTCTGTCAAGTAATTACATTCTTTTCTATACTGGCTATTTTATCTGTCAGCTACTGCATTGTTTTATCATGATTCTTAGCTTCCTTGGATTAGGTTTCAATGTACTCCTGTAGCTCAATGATCTTCATTCCTGTCCATATTCTGAATTCTATTTCTGTTATTTCAGTCATCTCAGCCTGGTTCAGAACCCTTACTAGAGTGTTGATATGGTTGTTTAGAGGAAAGAAGACACTCTGGCTTTTTTAGTTGTCATGGTTCTTGTGTTGATTCTTTCTTATCTTTGTGGACTTATGTTCCTTCTATCTTTGAGGGTGCTGACCTTGGGATTTTTTTTTCTTTTATCCTATTTGATGACTTTGAGGGTTTGATTTTGGTGTAAGGTGGATTCGGCCAACTGGCTTTGTTTCTGGAAGATTTTAGGTGGCCAACACTCAGATCCTAACTTTGAGACGGCGCACTCTAACTCTGGGGGACTTGTATTGGGCCCCAAATTTGTTCTCTGGCTCCTTGAGGTTAGGAATCTACTTTGCTGGTTGAGGGTGGGGAGTGAGGTGCTCCGACACTGCTGGTCACTACACTCCGATGGGTGGTGTCAGCCAAAGCATTTCTTAGTGCAGTGACAGTGGGACCCTTCCTCATTCATACATGCCAGCAGCGTCAGTAGTGGCAGCTGCGGCAGGGTGCTCACAGGTGCTGGGGTGCATGCCTCCCTGCAGGCGTTCACCACAGTGGCGGAGGCAATGCAGCTGTTGAGGACCCTGCTGGCAAATGTGTGAGCAGTCACATTGGTGGTGGTTTTGGCTTGGGGTGGGATGCCGGTGGGCACAGGTCTGTGTGACTTCTCTGTGCTCTGTAAGCAGGAGTGGTCTAAAATCAGTGTCATTTCAGTTTACAAAAGCAGAGTTTACTAAATTGTCATGGGTTAAAGAAGTATAAGAAGAGAGGGAAGTGGCTTTCTTATAGATTCAGAAAACAGAACATTAAAACAAAAACAATATTCCAGCTAACCCCAATAAAATTTCCCTTATCAGTATATTCAGTCCTATAATTAATTCTTGTTCCTCTGGATCTTGGGTTAGCAATCTCATGAAGCTGTCTGCTTCTCAACTAAAAAGAGTTTAGAAATCTTGCCTTAGCCCACAGGTGCAGTCTGAGTGTTGTCTAAGTTACGTTACATCAGAAGACTGTACCCAAGAGTCTATTCTTTGAAATGTCAATAGTTTGAAGTACCTAGTATAGTCCTTTTCCGGGAAGCTTTATTTAAGACATAAACTCTCGCCTTCACTTTATAGCATCGCCTCAGGGATGTATTAGAGTAAAACAAAAACCATTTGTAGGTAACAAAGACATATGGCTGTGGTTAATTTCTTTCTTTTTTCCTTTTTTTTTTAGGGCTGTTTTGCTTTTAATGAAGGCAGATACAAAATGCATCAATGCAAAAGAATCTTTTATATACTCATTAACATAGTGAGTAATGTAAACTACATTTTGATAATGTAAAATACAGTATGTTTGTTAGGCCTCAAAAAAGAAACCACAGAGTTAGCTGCAACTTAAGGTAACTAGAAAGGCTCCTTAGGTTGTTATTACCCACCACCTTTATTATAATAGTTCTAAATGATATCTGGGGAGGGGATTAAAAAATAATACAAAGCTCTTTTCAGCTGTGGTTCAAAGAACTCTAGTGAAGCTGTATGGCAATGACATTGTGGGACCATGAAATTTCCCCAGAAGTATTTCTAATAATATAGGCAGTTAAGAAGCTTAATAGTTTCAAAGTCTGGAAAGCAGCAAAAATATCTTAGAGAATTTAAAAACATTATAAACCTCTCTTCTCTCCTACAGAGACATTTTAAAGCATGGACATAACTTTAAGGATATTGAAAAAACATCAGTAGTTTTCATAAAGCTTCAATGAATACCCCAAGGCACAAGTGTTGAAAATGGTCTGTTCACAAAATGTCACTGCGTTGTACTTTTGGAGGTACAGATATACTGTGCTTGCAGTGAGAGGACAACTTTATCCCTAGTTAAAAGCACCAGATGTGTCAAGCTCAGCTTCCATTTACACAGGATGCACCCAAAATCCCTACGATAGTGAATGGTTCAAGTACTAGACCACATTTCCAACGTCTTGCCTATTTGCTTAGTCAGCACTGAGGTTCTTTTAAACCCTGTAGGTCTGTAGAATATTTTGAAAGGCCAGAACTACCCTGAAAATAGTCTTGAAATAATACGGAGCCCTTCTAAAAGAGCTCACTGGATACTTTAATAACATTTACAGAAAGAAATAGACAATAGCTGAGTTTCTTTCAAGTGAAGATGAAAAATAATGTAGAACTAGCATGTAGGCTAAAATGTTTGGTAGTTAATGTCAAAAATTGCCAAGATTGTTAATGTATATTTTTGGTAATCACTATTGGCCAGGTTAATTTTTTTTGTAAAATACACAATATATTAACAGAACAGAAAAATCATTATTTTGACCACTAACAGAAGAAAACCCACAGCAAGAGAAGCATCTATAGGGCAATTAAAAGTTACGGAAGTTTACTAGCTTTAGAATACATCAATACACTTCGATTATATAAATATTTCATTTTTAAGACTAGAGTGCTTTAATGTACTTTTAGTAACAACCCAATCTAAGGAGACTTGGAGGCTTGTGAAAAAGATGGGTCCACCAAGGTGCTGCATTTCTAGTGTAGGGTGGATTAATACTTCTGTAAGAAGGAAGGAACTGAGTCACCTCAGCATTGCTAAACAGGGTTTTTCTTTTAAACAGTAACTCAATCTCATGACTCACCTCACTTCACTAGTACAAAATTAGGCAGGAGAAGAACTAAGCTCACTGGTCAGACTCAGAAACAATGATTTGGCAACCTGTAGTCACTCAGCTCATGATGTGTGATGATCGGCAGAAAACTGCTCAACTCTTGCTGTCCATTCCTTCACATCTGCAGAGGAGTTTGGTGTAACCACTTCTCTTTATCAACTTAAGCTGCATACAGGCAAAAAGGTCACAAACTGCAGGGAGGCCGAAAAGGTCTAGGAGGAAATTATATTCCTCCTGTAGAGGTGAATTAATTAATACTTCCTGGGCCTTCTTTCCAAGCAGCCACTTGTCTTTGACAGAGGATAACTGGCTGAGGTTGCCCATCTTCTGTCCTGGCAGGACCCAGTCAGCTGTGTTAAAGGGACACCAGGAAGTGGTCATGGGGCTTTTAGGCTTTGGTTTGCCAGCTCTGTCTTCCTTGGGACTTCCTTTTTTGTATGGCGGCCAGATGAGCCACTCTGACAGCTGTTCTTTATGACTTGGAAGGAATCAGAAGTTCCAGAAGGAACCATTACCTTTAGTGCCTGTGTTCTCTTACTTCTTTTCTAGAAGGACAGAACCACATGTTCAGGGAATCTTTATGCTTCTCAGGCTCAGGTTTGGGTTCCTCAGGCATCCCATTTTTATCCTTTCCTTCTTTCTTCAGAAGCCACTTGCACAGAGCTTCCTTCTCACAATTCTCATCACACACACACTTTGCAAAGCTTGTGCAGGGCTCATTGGCTTTGCACATCTCCTCTACCTTACATGGGTCATGATGCTTCTGGACAGGCCAATCCCAGTAACCACGCTGGGGGTGGACAATGGTGTTTTGGCCTCCAAGTGGTCATTCAGGCAGTTCAGATTGCCAGGTTTTCAATCTCCACCCCCTTGGGCTTGTTGCCCTGACAGTTGGTGCGGGAGTTGGTCTTGACAAGCCAATCGTTCACATTGTAGGACTAGCACAAGTGCTTAAACTTCTCACTGGTTTCACGACTGCCATTCTCAGGCTTCTCCAGCTTCTGGGGTTCCTAGGGAGTCACCAACCAATCTGATAGATCTGTCTCATCTTGTTCAGGAAACTCTTGATCTTCAGTTTCAATGGAGAAAGAACTGGTAGTGGAATGGCTGTTACACTTTTGATAACTTGGTTTTTCAGGAACTTCCTGTCACTGACTCTTGAGGAGCCAGTTTTCTAAGCCCTTTAGGTTTTCCCAGACACTACTGAAGAAATTGCAGGCTCTTGCAGAAGTCTGACTATTCTCCAAGGTCTGCTTTTGGGTGAGTCAGTCCAGACAATCACTGGCAGATTTGTTTCCAAGGAGCCATTTGCTGAGAGGAACAGTTGTGATGCTGGATTCTGCTCTTGCATTGGGATATAGCCTCTTTTCTTCAGGAAAGGCCCAATATTTGATGAACTAGCATGATCCATCAAGTGCTCAGGAATTTGAATGGTTTTGAGAGACACAAATGTGGTGATGGTCTGATGCAGAGCAGTTGTGTCTGCTTCAAAGAGTAGGACAGTTGAATATTCAGGCTTAAAGGTCAAACTGCCCAGTCTCTCCAGGCACACAGAGACTTGATTGGCTAGAGCTTTGTTTTGGGTACACTCTAATCAATTATTCTTAATTATAGTCACCCTACTCTGCTATCAAATGCCAGAACTTATTCCTTTTATCTAACTGTATTTTTGTACCCATTAACCAACCTCTTTTTATGTCCCCTTCCCACTCTTCTTGGCCTCTGGTAACCATCATTCTACTGTCTACTGCTATGAGATCCACTTTTTAAGCTCTCATATAAGAGTGAGAACATGGAATATTTGTCTTTCTGTGCCTGAGTTATTTTGCTTAACATAATGTCTTCCATTTCCATCCATGTTGCTTCAAATGACAGAATTTTATTATTTCTTATGGCTGACTAATATCCCATTGAGTATATGTACCACATTTTCTTTATCCATTCATCTGTTGAGGGCACTTAGGTTGCTTCCAAACCTTGGTTATTGTGAATAGTGCTGCAGTAAACACAGTACTGCAGATATCTCTTTGATATACTGATTTCCTTTCTTGTGAACATATACCCAGCAGTGGAATTAATGGATCATATGGTAGTTTTATTTTTAGTTTTTTTGAGCAATCTCCATACTGTTTTCCATAATGGCTATGCTAGTTTACATTCCCAGCAACAGTGTGTATGTATGTGTGAGTTCCCCTTTCTTCATATCATCTCCAGCATTTGTTATTTTTTGTCTTTTTGATAACAGCCATTCTAACTGGGATGAGATGATATATTATTGTGGTTTTAATTTGCATTTCTCTGATGATTAGTGATGTTGAGCATTTTTTCATACACCTACTGGCTATTTGTATGTCTTATTTTGAGAGATGTCTATTCAGCACATTTTAAAATCTGTCTATTTTTAAATCTGATTTTTTTTGCTAAGTTGTCTGAGTTCCTTGTATATTCTGAATATTAATCCCTTGTCAGGTGAATAGTTTGCAAATATTTTCTCCCATTCTGCAGGTTCTCTTTTCACTCTGTTGTTTTCTTTGCTATGCAGAAGCTTTTTAGTTTGATATAATTCCATTTGTCTGTTTTTACTTTTGTTGCCTGTGCTTTTGATGTATTTTCCATAAAATCTTTGTACACATCGATGTCTTGAAACATTTTCCTCATGTTTTCTTCTAGTGGTTTCACAGTTTTGCATCTTACATGTACATCTTTAATCAATTTTGAGTTGATTTATTGTAGATGGTGAGTGATAGGAGTCTAGTTTCATTTTTCTGCATATAGATATTCAGTTTTCCCAGCACCATTTATTGAAGAGGCTATCCTTTACCCACTGAATGTTCTCAGCACCTTTGTTGAAAATCAGTTGATTGTAAATACCCAGATTTATTTCAGGGATCTCTGTTTTGTTCCATATGTGTCTTTTTATGCCACACCATGCCCTTTTGGTTACTATAGCTTTGCAGTATATTTTGAAGTCAAGTATGTTGCCTCCAGTTTTGTTCTTTTTGCTCAGGATTTCTGTGGCTATTTGGGGTCTTTTGTGGTTCCATATACATTTTAAAATTGCCTTTTATATTTCTGTAAATAATGCCATTGGAATTTTGATGGAGATTGCATTGAATCTCTAGAACACTTTTGGTTGCATGGTCATTTTCACAATATTAATCCTTCCAGTCCAAGAACATGGTACATTTTTCAATTTGTTTGTATTCTCTTTAATATCTTCCACTGGCATTTTATGCTTTTCCTTATAGTGATAGTTCACCTCCTTGGTTAAATTTATTTCTAGATATTTTAATTTTTTAATAGCTATTTTAAATGTGACTGTGTGCTTAATTTCTTTCTCAGCTGGTTTGTTGTTGGTGTATAGAAATGCAACTGATTTTGTATGTTGATTTTGTATCCTGAAACTTTCCTGAATTTGTTTATCAGTTCTAAGAGGTTTTCTTGGTGAAACTTTTAGGGTTTTCTATATATAAAATTATGTTGTCTGCAAACAGGGTCATTTGACTTCTTTCTTTTCAATTAAAGTGTCTGTTATTTTTTTCTCTTGCCGAATTGCCCTGGACTTTCACTACTATGATGAATATTTTTTTTCTCTTGCCTAATTGCCATAGGACTTTCATTACTAGGATGAAGTGGGCATCCTTGTCTTGTTCTAGGTCTTAGAGGAAAAGCTTTCAGCTTTTCCCCATTCAGTACAGCTGTGGATTTGTCATATATGACCCTTATTGTGTTGAGGTATGATCCTTCTATAACTAGTTTGTTGAGAATTTTTTTTATCATGAAGGGATGTTGAATGTCATCAAGTGTGTTTTTTACATCTAATTGAGATGATCAGTTTTTGTCCTTCATTCTGTTCATGTGATGTATCACATTTATTGATTTGTGTATGTTGAACCATCCATGGGTCCCTGGGTTAAATCCCACTTGATCAGGGTGAATGGTCTTTTTAATGTGCTGGTAGTTTTGGTTTGCTAGTTTATTTTTTATTTTTTATTTTTTATTTTTAGGATTTCTACATCTATGTTCATCAGGGATATTGGCCTATAGTTTTCTTTTCTTATTGTATATTTGTCTGGTTCTGGTATCACAATAATGCTGGCCTCATACATTGAGTTTGAAATAATTCCCTCCTCTTCAATTTTCTGGAAGAGTTTGAGGAGAATTAGTATTAGTTCTTTAAATGTTTAGTAGAATTCAGCAGTGAAGCCATCAGGTCCTGGGCTTGCTTTCATGGAAGACTTTTTATTACTGATTCAATCTCATTACTTTTAATTGATCTGTTCAAGTTTTCTATTTCTTCTTGGTTCAATCTTGGATAGGTCATTTGTGACCCAGAATTTATCCATTTCTGCTAGGTTTTCCAATTTGTTGACATACAGTTGTTCATATAGTCTCAAGTTATCCTTTGTTATTTCTGTGGTATCAGTTGTGATGTCTCCTCTTTCATTCCTGATTTTATTTATTTGGGTCTTTTCTCTTTTTTTCTTGGATAGTCTAGCTAATGTATTGTTGATTTTCTTTATTTTTCAAGACATTAACTTTTCATTTTATTGATCTTGTGTATTTTTTGTCTCAATTTTGTTCACTTCTCCTCTGATTTTTATTATTTCTTTTCTTCTACTAACTTTGGGTTTGCTTTGTTCTTGCTTTTCTGCTTCCTTGAGATGTACATTAGGTTGTTTATTTGAAATCTATGGCATTTATTGCTGTAAACTGCCCTCTTAACACTGCTTTGGTATATCCCATAGGCTTTGGTATGTTGTGTTTCTATTTTCATGATTCACGAAATTTTTAAATTTTCTTCATTGACTCATTGGTCTAGTTGGTCCTCTTGCTTATATTCTTCTATTTTATATTTTTAAAAATACTCCATGGGTAAGACTGATGTATATCCCCAGTTGAGAATTAATGATCTAGAATCCTCTAGATTCAAATTAAAGAAGTAAGGTTTTGGTTAAGTTAGCATTTCAAATAATAACTGAGTTTACAATTAATAATGCTATATGCTATACTGCTGTTGTCTAATATCAGACAAAACATTGCCAGGATACTAACAAATACAGAAAAACTTGAAAGAAACCATTTCTTAAGAGTTTTGATCAGTGTTTTCCCTGAGGTGAAAACATAGGCTAAAAAAGTGAGAACATTGACAAATCCCCAGGGACATCCCACAAATCATACAATTTCTGAAGTATTCACTTAACTTACACAGATTTCACCTGGGGCAGGATGAATGTCTCTTCTGATATCTCTTCCCATGAAACTCTTACACTAGTCACATATCAAACAAACCCACTTATTTCTAATACTTCTTTTTTTATAAAGTAAAAGAGAAAACCTTGTCATTTTTTTTCCCCGGAGCTTTCTGGGAAATCTCAAAGATGAAAGTTTTAGGTGTAAAAAAAATCTTGAAACTTTTATTTCATTTTTTTTCTACATTTAGGATCCTATTTGGGGAAGGTAAATTTTTAAAAGTTATCAGAACAGTTTGGACACTTGCTTACGAGAGGCCATGGATACCTAAGAAGCAATATTTGGTTACCTATTTAATTAAAGTGACAATAAAACATTTAAAAATATATACTAACAGCAATGCAGTTAGAAAAAACCCTTATGTCTTTCATAAATGAGGAATTTTTTTCTCCTTAAATAATCAAAGACATTATAAGGTCATCATATAACACAGAAAATTATTCTGGTAAGACACAGAATATTTTCTCTCTAGACAGAAAGAATTCTTCACTTTAATTTTGTAAAGTAAGCATAGTATTCATTACAGACAGTGAAGAATTACCATTCATATTGTAAACAAAGGCATGCATCAATAAACCAGGGAAGCAAACCCATCAAAATAGAATGAACTTTCCTAAGATTTTAACACATTTCATCACTTCTTTTCAGACTGAGCTATCATCCACAAAGGCCAAGCTGAATCCACATTCCAAGTGTGGTCTTTCCTTATGCTCTTAGGTATTCTGGGACAAACTGACACACGACATAAGGACAGATCTCAGGTCCAAAAGATCAAAACAAATTTTTAAAGTATTTCTAACATATTACTTACGTAAACATGCAATTTGTTCATCACTGCTATTCTCAAATTAGGCAATAAACCAATATTTTTAAAATTCTCAGCTCTAATTTCTAATATGATATTGATAGTTATAATCTACATACACAGATAACCTTTGAGATCTGCAACAAGCCCCAAGGGTGTAAAATGGTTTGGAGACCAAAAATTTGAGGACAGCCGCTCTTTTTCCATGAAATATCAAAACACACATGCAGTTGGATCTCCCTGTCACTATCGCTCCTTAGTGGCAACCACTCATTAATTATAACTTTTAAACAAAGTAACTAACTTCTCATTTACAGAGAAAAGTCAGTGTGGGATGGGTAATTGAGAACTTCCTGCAATACATGAGCATTACAGCAAACTAGAAAAGCTTGAAACAATTTTCTACAGCCATGCACATCTCTTTTACATGTTCTTAAAGTGGCAAAAGTGAACATGTTCACTAACATTACTCATAGATATAGCCCCTCTAGAGCTTTTAATTAATTAATTATATGGTACAGTAGTCTATCTTACTTAGAAATTATGTAGATATTCTCCATATATCTAATAATTAATTTAATACCAGTTCAAGGTTTTTCAACTACCTAAGGATCTTGGAAATTATCTTCAAGTTGGCAGGCTATGAAACATAATTATTCTTGAAATAAAGTTTTGGAAATCATGATTCAATTTTGTTGGACACAAATTTACATTATGTACAAATAATATTAGTGTGTTTGATCAGTAACCTGATAACTATAGGACAAAGCAAAGCCAAGTAGAATAAAATGTATGCTTCTATTATACTCAGCACAGATAAATCAGAGAAGACGTAACTGTTTTATTAAACCAAACATATTAAACTACAAATGCTCCTTGACTTACGATGGAGTTATGTCTTAATAAACCCATTGTAAATTGAAAGTATTGTAAGCCAAAAACACTTTCGATTTATGATATTTTCTTTTTCTTTCTTTTTTTTTTTGAGACAGGGTCTTGCTCTGTTGCCCAGGGGGAGTGCAGTGGTGCAATCATCTCACTGCAGCCTTGGCCTCCTGGGCTCAGTGGATCCTCCCACCTTAGCCTCTTGAGTAGCTGGGACTATAGGCGCATGCCACCATGCCTGGCTAATTTTCGTATTTTTTGTAGATACGGGGTTTGGCCTTGTTGCCCAGGCTAGCTTTGAACTCCAGGGCTCAAACAATCTGCCCACCTCGGCCTCCCAAAGTGCTGGAATTAGAGGTGTGAGCCACAGCACCCAGCCAGTATTTTCAATTTGAGATGAGTTTATCTGGATGTAACCCCGTTGAAACTGAGGAGTGTACTGAATGAATATCACTTTTGCACCATTGTAAAGTTGAAAAACCCTAAATCAAACGATGGTAAATCGGGAACTTTCTGCAGTCTTATTTGCCAAAGATTTGCTGTAATTATGTGAGCTTGGGCAGGGTGCAGTGACTCACACCTATAATCTCAGTGCTTTGGGAGGCCAAAACGAAAGGATGGCTTGAGCTCAGGTGTTCAAGGCTGCAGTGAGCTATGACTGTGTCACTGAACTCCAACCTGGATGACAGAACAGGACCCTGTTTCTCAAAGAAAAAAAAAAAAAGGTGGAAGGTGGGAAGGGTGGCTCCTGCCTATAATCCTAGCACTTTGGGAAGTTGAGGCAGGAGGCTGACTTGAGGTCAAGAGTTCGAGACCAGTCTAAGCAATATAGAGAGACCTGTTTTTGCTAAAAATTTAAAAAACAACAAAAAAAATCTGAGTGTAGTTGGCATGCATCTGTAGTCCCAGGTACTCAGGAGGCTGAGATGGGAAGATCACTTGAACCCAGGGGTGAGGCTGGAGTGAACCATGGTTGTGCCACTGCACTCCAGCCTGAGGGACAGAGCAAGACCCTGTTTCAAAAAAAAAAAATTACTTGGATTCTTAAAGGGTTTCTGAATTTGTTTCTGCAAGCATATTTTAGTGTAGTACATTTAAAGTATTAGAAATCCAATCTCCTCAGTTTATTAAAATTTTAGGAATAGTCAATTTATAAAAGCACTTATTTATGTCTTTAAGTCAATCAGAATAGAACTTCTTTAAGAAACCAAAATTTAATTGATTAATACTCTCTCGAGGTAGGAAAAGATTTTGTACTCACACAAGAGGTAAAGGCTTGAATTACAGAAATAGATGTCTAGCCACAAAGGAGCTTAGAGCTTCAATTCTACAGTTTTAGCCTCAGGTTAAGAGATAGAAGGCACAGAAACACAAAAACTCACTGGTACAGATATCAAAGGGCTACTCTCCTTCCCGATGGGCACTAACGTCTTTGAGCTAAAAATAGACAAATTGATAAACAAATTAATACTAACCAACCAGATTCTCTGTCATCTTTTTATTTAACAGAAAACAGATTTATATAACATATTAATCCATTTATAGAAACCGTTAAATGATCAGACTTTAAAACCAAATTCCCGCTCATTGTTGCCACCACTGGGGGATGACTTCTCAGCCATATGCAAAAGAAACAAATGAAATGAAATAAAACAAAACAAGACACAGAATTGGTGGAGATGGGGGAAAAAAAATGAGAGAAACAGTCAACAATGTTCTATTGCTGCCCATACTAGTCAGTGTTCTCTAGAGGGCAGGACTAATAGGATAGATCTATATGTGTAAGGGAGTTTATTAAGGAGAATTGACTCGCATGATCACAAGGTGAAGTGCCACAGTAGGCCATGTGCAAGCTGAGGAGCAAGGAAGCCTGTCCGAGTCCCCAAACCTCAAAAGTAGGAAAGCCAGCAGGGCGCAGTGGCTCATGCCTGTAATCCCAACACTTTGGGAGGCTGAGGTGGGTGGATCACGAGGTCAAGCAGTCAAGACCATCCTGGCCACCATGGTGAAACCCCATGGCACGTGCCTGTAGTCCCAGCTACTCGGGAGGCTGGGGCAGGAGAATCGCTTGAACCTGGGAGGCGGAGGTTGCAGTGAGCCGAGGTCGTGCCACTGCACTCCAGCCTAGTGAGAGAGAGAGAGAGAGAGAGAGAGAGAGAGACTCCCTCTCAAAAAAAAAAAAAAAAAAAAGTAGAGAAACCGACAGTGCAGCCTTAAGAGCTTTCAGTCTGTGACCAAACACTGAGAGCCCCTGGCAAACCAGTGGTCTAAGTCCAAGAGTCCAAAAGCTGAGGAACTCGGAGTCCCATGCTTGAGGGCAAGAAGCATCTAGCATGGAAGAAAGATAAAGCCCAGTAGACTCAGCCAGTCTAGCCCTTCCACGTTCCTCTGCCTGCTTTTATCCTAGCTTTGCTGGCTGCTGATTAGATGGTGCCCACCCAGATTGAGAGTGGGTGCCTCCCAGTCTACTGACTCAAGTGTTAATCTCCTTTGGCAACAGCCTCAGTGACACACCCAGGAACAATACTTTGCATCTTTCAATCCAATCAAGCTGACACTCAATATTAACCATCACACTACCTCAGGTTCCTCTCCAGGAGCCAAGAATTTACATACTGGGCCTTCAGCTTCCTGGGGATGCATTTCTCTTCTCCGGGAGTGCAGTTTCTCTTGGTCTGTCAGGTGAGTCCACTCTGCACATCGCTGGAAGATGTCTAAAGCTGCTAAAAAATAATTTTTTTAAAAAAAGGTAAACATAACATACAAATATAAAATGAACATGTCAATAATTTTATTTAACTTAATAAGAGAAATAGTATGATGTCACAATAGATGTCACAAAAGAGATTTCAAAGAGCAGAGACACATGCAGGCATGCAGGGGAGGAAAAATGTCTTTTCCTTGTACTGGTCTTAGAGTTGTAGGCTGGGGCCCTTGTAATGAAAGACAGGAACAACAGAAATGCTAACATATTTATTTAATAAAAGTTTTTTGTAACACTGGGGACTTCCTAAGGAAAGAAAACCCGAAAGAAACAGTTAAACCTGTGTTTTGATGCCAGGTTTGATGAAGAGGGGAAAGTTGTAGAAGAGTGTGTTAGGACAAAGGGAATGAGTAAATCGGGGGAACATAGCAAGGCCTGTTCACTCACATTCCTCTCTGTGTCCCTCCATCTTCAGAGGTAAGGATGCTTCTTTCCTCCGGATGTAGGGAGGGCACCTCTCACATGAGAGGTTTATGATCTCCTTCATGGGAGAAGGGCAGGGGAAAGTCAGAGAGACCTTTCTGCACTATGTATTTCTCAAATTCCTTCAGCTGCAAATACTCAGTATGCCAAGGTGGGTGGCATATTTTGGGGCGATGTGTCCTGAACTTGGAGTTACATGTAAGTTACACTTACATGAATTTACAAATAAATGTAAAATCTGCTTTTTCCATAGTGAGAGGGGGAAGGGAAATCAATTGTCTCCCCACCTAACAAAATGTGTTTTCATGTTTATAGACCAGAATGATTTGCATTGCCACCAGCTATCTACAATTTACAGAGTTGTAAAATAGCTCAAAGACTATGAAAGATGAAAACCCCATAGAGCAGAAAACCTAAAGGGGTGTGCTTTAGACAACATAGAGATTTCCATTGAAGATATACTCTCGTCTTTTTGTTTGTTTGTTTTGGTCCATTTCAAAGTCTTTCACAGACAAGGCTCAAAAGTATAAAAATTATAAAAATCACACAAAGTTTACAGCAAAACAGTTATATTAAATGTGGGCCATAGGTACATTTTACTATCTTTGATTTGACGTGGAGTGGAATATTAAAAAAAAAAGTGAAAGTGCCTAGAATCTGTAAAGGTCCCGTTGCTGTTTAGTAGGTGATAGCACTGTGTTAAGCGATTGGGTGATCACTGAGAAGAGGGGAGATTTGGGCCAAGCCTTCATGGGACTTATATCCCATTTCATCATGGTGTACAAAAACAAAGAAAAAAGTTTTTTTAAATTAGGTACTGATATGTAATCAGAAAAATTAAGTTCAGTAAAAGAGGATGGTGCAGAGGAAATGTAACTGACTAAATAAGGTGGTATAGAAGATATTGTTGGTTGCTGACTTACTATGTTTCACCACTTTTTTGAGATCAGACCCTTAATTTTTTTCTAGTAAAGAGGGGCTCAAAGTGTGCAGGGAAGGTAGGCCCTTTCCCTGGTTCCAGGCTATGGTCAAAGCCCATCACGGTAATTCTATTCTCTGTGTCTTTCTCTCCATTACTGCCGAAATTACTCTGTTTCTGGCACTATTATCTCTCTTTAGTGTTACCATTCTCCAAATAATTTTCTTTCTGTTAACCTGTTTAATTGTGAACTTAATTATAAATTAATTCATTTAAAATTAATTGTGAAATTGTGAAAACACATACACATAATGAAAAGCATATAAAATGAAAAGAAAAGAACAGCTTTTAATAAAATGATCATCCATGTAACTATCATGCAGGGAATAGACTAAGAAATTGTGAGCATCCTCCAGTCCATCCACATCTCTTTACCTGATTGTGGCCCCTTTCTTATTTCCAGAGACAATCACTATCTTGATACTGTGCTAATTTCATCTAGCCTTTTCGTCAGGGTTTTACCACCTATATATTCATCTGAAAATTTTGCAGTTATGGCTGTTCTGAACTTTATTATAAGTTGCTTCCTTCACTCAACACTGTATTTGTGAGATTCATTCATGTTGCTGGCAAAACTAATTTGCTAAGTTTCATTGCTATATAGCAGTGTTCTCAAAACTTTTTGCTCTCAGAACCCCTTTACACTGTTAAACATTATTGGGAAGCCCAAATACCGTTTGTTTATATAGGTTATACCTATCAGTATTTAGTGCATTAGAAATTAAAATGAAAATCTAAAAATATTTCTTGATTCATTAGAAATAATATTAATACTTCAAAAAAGTATTGGATATATGGTAAATCTAGAATTGCTGTATAATCCAGCAATTCCACTTCTAGAAAGTGGGAACACAAACACATGCTTGTGTACCAGTGTTTATTGCAGCATTTTCCACAATAGCCTAAAGGAGTGTACAACCCAAATGTCCATCAATGCAATGCTAAATACCATCAAAATGTGGTATATACATATAATGGAATATTATTCAGCCATAAACGAGAATGAAGTTCTGCTACAACATGGATGAATCTGAAAAACAGTATGCTAGGGGTGAAATAAACCAGATACAAAAGGACAAATATTGTATAATTACATTATATGAAATGTCTAGAATAGGCAAATTCATAGAGACAGAAAGTAGATTAAATGTTTCCAGGGCTTAGGGGAGGGAAGGAATGGGAGTTATTGCTTTAAGAACATAGTGCTTTTGTTTGTGGTAATATAATTAGAATTGCACACTTAAAAATTCTTAAAATGGGATTGAGACCATCCTGGCTAACATGGTAAAACCCCATCTCTACTAAAAATACAAAAAATATTAGCTGGGCATGGTGGCACGTGCCTGTAGTCCCAGCTACTCGGGAGGCTGAGGCAGGAGAATCGCTTGAACCCAGGAGGTGGAGGTTGCAGTGAGCCAAGATCAAGCCACTACACTCCAGCCTGGGTGACAGAGTGACTCTCCATCTCAAAAAAAATAAAAGATAAGGAGTCATTTCCAGGGTGGCTGAATAGGAGCAGCTCTGTTCTGTATCTCCCAGCGAGATCAATGCAGAAGACAGGTGATTTCTGCATTTCCAAATGAGGTACCTGGTTCATCTCACTGTGACTGGGACAGTGGGTGCAGCCCATGGAGGGTGAGCTGAAGCAGGGCGGGGTGCAAGGGGTCAGGGGATTTCCCTTTCCTAGCCAAGGGAAGCCGTGACAGACTGTACCTGGAGAAATGGTACACTCCTGACCAAGTACTGCACTTTGCCCATGGTTTTAGCAACTGGCAGACCAGGAGATTCCCTCCCATGCCTGGCTTGGCAGGTCCCACGCCCACGGACCCTTGCTCACTGCAAGCACAGCAGTCAGATCAACCTGCGATGCTGCAGCTGGATATGGGGAGGGGCATCCGCCATTGCCGAGGCTTGAGTATCTCACAGTGTAAACAAAGAGGCCTGGAAGCATGAACTGGGTGGAGCCCACCGCAGCTTAGCAAGGCCTACTGCCTCCATAGATTCCACCTCTGCGGGCAGGGCATAGTAGGACAAAAGGCAGCAGACAGCTTCTGTAGACTTAAACATCCCTGTCTGACAGCTCTGAAGAGAGCAGTGGTTTTCTCAGCAAGGTGTTTGAGCTCTGAGAATGGATAGACTGCCTCCTCAAGTGGGTCCCTGACCCCCGTGTAGCCTGATTGGGAAACAGCTCGCAGTAGGGGCTGACAGACACCTCAAACAGGTGGGTGCCCCTATGGGACAAAGCTTCCAGAGGAAGGATCAGGCAGCAATATTTGCCGTTCTGCAGCCTCCGCTGGTGATACCCAGGCAAACAGGGTGTGGAGTGGACCTCCAGCAAACTCCAACAGACCTGCAGCTGAGGGACATGACTGTTAGAAGGAAAATGAACAAACAGAAAGGAATAGCATCAACATCAACAAAAAGGACATCCACACCAAAACCCCATCTCTAGGTCACCAACGTCAAAGACCAAAGGTAGATAAAACCACAAAGATGGGGAGAAACCAGAGCAGAAAAGCTGAAAATTCCAAAAAAACAGAAGGCCTCTTCTCCAAAGGATCACAGCTCCTCGCCAGTAAGGGAACAAAACTGGATTGGAGAATGAGTTTGATGAGTTGACAGAAGTAGGCTTCAGAAGGTCAGTAATAACAAACATCTCCAAGCTAAAGGAGCATGTTCTAACCCATCGTAAGGAAGCTAAAAATCTTGAAAAAAGGTTAGATGAGTGGCTAACTAGAATAAACAGTGTGGAGAGGACCTTAAATGACCTGATGGAGCTGAAAACTATGGCATGAGAACTTCGTGATGGATGCACAAGCTTCAATAGCTGATTCAATCAAGTGGAAGAAAGGATATCAATGATTGAAGATCTAATTAATGAAATAAAGTGAGAAGACATGGTTAGAGAAAAAAGAGTGAAAAGAAACAAACAAAGCCTCCAAGAAATGTGGGACTATGTGAAAACACCTAATCTAAGTTTGATTGGCGTACCAGAAAGTGACAGGGAGAATGGAACCAAGTTAGAAAACACTCTTCAGGATACTATCCAGGAGAATTTCCCTAACCTAGCAAGGCAGGGCAACATTCAAATTCAGGAAATACAGAGAAGACCACAAAGATACTCCTCGAGAAGAGCAACCCCAAGACCCATAACTGTCAGATTCACCAAGGTTGAAATAAGGAAAAAATGTTAAGGGCAGCCAGAGAGAAAGGTCGGGTTACCCACAAAGGGAAGCCCATTAGACTAACTGTGGATCTCTTGGCAGAAACCCTACAAGCCAGAAGAGAGTGGGGACCAATATTCAACATTTTTAAAGGAAAGAATTTTCAACCCAGAATCTCATATCCAGCCAAACTAAGCTTCATAAGTGAAGGAGAAATAAAATCCTTTACAGATAATCAAATGCTGAGAGATTTTGTCACCACCAGGCCTGCCTTACAAGAGCTGCTGAAGGAAGCACTAAACATGGAAAGGAATAACCAGTACCAGCCACTGCAAAAACATGCCAAATGGTAAAGACCATCAATGCTATGAAGAAACTGCATCAATTAACGGGCAAAATAACCAGCTAGCATCATAATGATAGAATTAAATTCACACATAACAATATTAACCTTAAATGTAAATGGGCTAAATGCCCCAATTAAAAGACACAGACTGGCAAGTTGGATAAAGAGTCAAGACCCATTGGTGTGCTGTGTTCAGGAGACCCATTTCACGTGCAAAGACACACATAGGCTGAAAATAAAGGAATGGAGGAAGATCTATCAAGCAAATGGAAAGCAAAAAAGCAAGGGTTGCAATCGTAGTCTCTGATAAAACAGACTTTAAACCAACAAAGATCAAAAGAGACAAAGAAGTCCATTCCATAATGGTAAAGGGATCAATTCAATAAGAACAGCTAACTATCCTAAATATATATGCACCCAATACAGGAGCACCCAGATTCATAAAGCAAGTTCTTAAAGACCTAAAAGAGACTTAGACTTCCACACAATAATAATGGGACACTTTAACACCTCTCTGTCAATATTAGATCGAGACAGAAGGTTAACAAGGATATCCAGGACTTGAACTCAGCTCTGGACCAGGCGGACCTAATAGACATCTACAGAACTCTATACCCCAAATCAACAGACTATACATTCTTCTCAGCACTACATTGCACTTATTCTAAAATTGACCACATAATTGGTAGTAAAATGCTCCTCATCAAATGTAAAAGAACAGAAATCACAACGTACTGTCTCTCAGACCACAGTGCAATCAAATTAGAACTCAGGATTAAGAAACTCACTCAAAACTGCACAACTACATGGAAACTGAACAACCTGCTCCTAAATGACTACTGGGTAAATAACGAAATGAAGGCAGAAATAAAGATGTTCTTTGAAACCAGTGACAACAAAGACACAAAGTACCAGAATCTCTGGGACACATTTAAAGCAGTGTGTAGAGGGAAATTTATAGCACTAAATGCCCACAAGAGAAAGCAAGAAAGATCTAAAATTGATACCCTAACATCACAATTAAAAGAACTAGGAAGCAAGAGCAAACAAATTCAAAAGCTAGCAGAAGGCAAGAAATAACTAAGATCAGAGCAGAACTGAAGGAGATAGAGACACAAAAAACCCTTCAAAAAAATCAGTGAATCCAGGAGCTGGTTTTTTGAAAAGATCAACAAAATTGATAGACTGCTAGTAATAAAGAAGAAAAGAGAGAAGAATCAAATAGATGCAATAAAAAATGATAAAGGGGATATAACCACTGATCCCACAGAAATACAAACTACCATCAGAGAATACTATAAACACCTCTATGCAAATAAACTAGAAAATCTAGAAGAAATGGATAAATTCCTGGACTCACATACCCTCCCAAGACTAAATCAGGAAGAAGTTGAATCTCTGAATAGACCAATAACAGGTTCTGAAATTGAGGTAATAATTAATAGCCTACCAACCAAAAAAAGTCCAGGACCAGATGGATTCACAGCCGAATTCTACCAGAGGTACAAAGAGGAGCTGGTACCATTCCTTCTGAAACTATTTCAATCAATAGAAAAAGAGGGAATCAGCCAGGCATGGTGGCTCATGCTTGTAATCCCAGCACTTTGGGAGGCCGAGGCAGGTGGATCACGAGGTCAGGAGATCAAGACCATCCTGGCTAACACGGTGAAACCCCATCTCTACTAAAAATACAAAAAATTAGCTGGGTGTGGTGGTGGGCACCTGTAGTCCCAGCTACTCAGGAGGCTGAGGCAGGAGAATGGTGTGAACCCGGGAGGCAGAGCTTGCAGTGAGCCGAGATCGCACCACTGCACTCCAGCCTGGGCGACAGAGCAAGACTCCGCCTAAAAAAAAAAAAAAAAAAAGAATCCTCCCTAACTCGTTTTATGAGGCTAGCATCATCCTGATACTAAAGCCTGGTAGAGACACAACAAAAAGAGGGAATTTTAGGCCAATATCCCTGATGAACACCAATGCAAAAATCCTCAATAAAAGACTGGCAAACCAAATCCAGCAGCACATCAAAAAGCTTATCCACCATAATCAAGTCAGTTTCATCCCTGGGATGCAAGGTTGGCTCAACATACACAAATCAATAAACATAATCCATCACATAAACAGAACCAATGACAAAAACCACATGATTATTTCAATAGATGCAGAAAGGGCCTTCAACAAAATTAAACAGCCCTTCATGCTAAAAATTCTCAATAAACTAGGTATTGATGAAATGTATTTCAAAATAATATGAGCTATTTATGACAAACCCACAGCCAATATTATACTGGCTGGGCAAAAATTGGAAGCATTCCCTTTGAAAACTGGTGCAAGACAAGGATGCCCTCTCACAACTCCTATTCAACATAGTGTTGGAAGTTCTGGCTTGGTCATTCAGGCAAGAGAAAAAAATAAAGGGTATTCAATTAGGAAAAGAGGAAGTCAAATTGTCCCTGTTTTCATATGACATGATTGTATATTTAGAAAACCCCATTGTCTCAGCCCAAAATCTCCTTAAGCTGATAGACATCTTCAACAGTCTCAGGATACAAAATCAATATGCAAAAATCACAAGCATTCCTATACACCAATAATAGACAAACAGAGAGCCACAACATGAGTGAACTCCCATTCACAATTACTACAAAAAGAATAAAATACCGAGGAATCCAACTTACAAGGGATGTGAAGGACCTCTTCAAGGAGAACTACAAACCACTGCTCAACTAAATAAAATAGGACACAAACAAATGGAAGAACATTCCATGCTCATGGATAGGAAGAATCAATATTGTGAAAATGGCCACACTGCCCAAAGTAATTTATAGATTCAATGCTATCCCCATCAAACTACCATTGACTTTCTTCACATAACTGGAAAAAACTACTTTAAAGTTCATATGGAACCAAAAAAGAGCCCGCATAGCCAAGACAATCCTAAGCAAAAAGAACACAGCTGGAGGCATCACGCTACCTGACTTCAAACTATACTACAAGGCTAAAGTAACCAAAACAGCATGGTATTGGTACCAAAACAGATATATAGACCAATGGAACAGAACAGAGGCCTCAGAAATAACACCACACATCTACAACTATCTGATCTTTGACAAACCTGACAAAAACAAGCAATGGGGAAAGGATTCCCTATTTAATAAATGGTGCTGGGAAAACTGACTAGCCATATGTAGAAAGCTGAAACTGGATCCCTTCCTTACACCATATACAAAAATTAACTCAAGATGGATTAAAAACTTAAATGTAAGACCTAAAACCATAAAAACCCTAGAAGAAAACCTAGGCAATACCATTCAGGACATAGGCATGGGCAAAGACTTCATGACTAAAACACCAAAAGCAATGGCAACAAAAGCCAAAATTGACAAATGGGATCTAATTAAACTAAAGAGCTCCTGCACAGCAAAAGAAACTATCATCAGAGTGGACAGGCAACCTACAGAATGGGAGAAAATTTTTGCAATCTACTCATCTGACAAAGGGCTAATATCCAGAATCTACAAAGAACTTAAGCAAATTTACAAGAAAAAAACAACCCCATCAAAAAGTGGGCAAAGGATATGAACAGACACTTCTCAAAAGAAGACATTTATGCAGCCAACAGACATATGCAAAAATGCTCATTATCACTGCTTATCAGAGAAATGCAAATCAAAACCACAATAAGATACCATCTCATGCCAGTTAGAATGGTGATCATTAAAATGCCAGGAAACAACAGATGCTGGAGAGGATGTGGAGAAATAGGAACACTATTAGACTGTTGGTGGGAGTGTAAATTAGTTCAACCATTGTGGAATACAGTGTGGCGACTCCTCAAGGACCTAGAACTAGAATTACCATTTGACCCAGCAATCCCATTACTGGGCATATACTCAAAGGATTATAAATCATTCTACGATAAAGACACATGCACATGTATGTTTACTGCGGCACTATTCACAACAGCAAAGACTTGGAACCAACCCAAATGTCCATCAATGATAGACTGGATTAAGAAAATGTGGCACATATACACCATGGAATACTATGCAGCCATAAAAAGGATAAGTTCATGTCCATCCTTCGCAGGGACATAGATGAACTTGGAAACCATCATTCTAAGCAAACTATCACAGGACAGAAAACCAAACACTGCATGTTCTCACTCATAGGTGGGAGTTGAACAATGAGAACACATGGACATAGGGTGGGGAACATCACACACCAGGGCCGGTCTGGGGTGGGGAGCTGGGCGAGAGCTAGCATTAGGAGAAATACTTAATGTAAATCATGAGTTGATGGGTGCAGCAAACCAACATTGCACATGTATACCTATGTAACAAACCTGCACGTTGTGCACACGTACCCTAGAACTTAAAGTATAATTATAATAAAAAAGAAAACAAAACAAAAAAATTCTTAAAATGACAATTTTTCTGCTATATATATTTTAGCATAATAAAACAAACAAGAACAAAAATAATGATAATAAAACCATTACTGTAACATTAGTGCTATGGTCTGAATGTTTGTCCCCCTGCCCCAAAATTCACATGTTAGAATCCTAATCCTCAAGGTGATGGTATTAGATGAGGTGTTTGGAAGATGACTAGGTCATGAGGGCAGAGCCCTCATGAATCAGATTAATGCCCTTATAAAAGGGCTTAAGGGGACTCCTTTGCCTCTTCCCCCATGTGAGGACTCAGGGAGAAGACACCATCTGCGAACCAGAAAGCAACTCTTCACCAGACACTGAATCTCCCAGCGCCTTGATCTTGGACTTCTCAAACTCCAGAAATCAGACAAATGTTTCTGTTTTTATATGCTACCTAACTTATGGTATTTTGTTATAGAAGCAATCTGAACCGTCTTAGTCTTACAACAAGTTACATATTTTCATGAAAAATAACTGTAGTTTCCAAAATGAGAAATTAATTAGAAGAGTGGCATTGTTTTACTGTCTTCAACGTGTGGTTTAAGAGAAGACAGTTGAATTTACATGGGATTTTGCATTGATGTGTTGTAATACTTTGGTTTGGTTGAAGTATCTGAAGGAAATCTAGTTTCACGCAATTATGCAGTTGGAAAAGGGAGGAGTAGTTTAATAGGTTTTGCAGGTAATTGTGGGCATTCTTCTTTGATATTATGCCAGAATTTGATAAATAGTAGTTTCTTAAGAATTTTTTGAATGTGGAATCTGAAACCATATAGTTTTGTCTATCTTGCTCTTTGAGTGGATCTTTTACTTAAGTATGATTTTATAACATTATGCATCGGTCATTTTGAATATGTTGGCTCATGAGTTATACATGTCTTCTGAATGTTGACATATTTTATTATGCAATATAAAAAAAATCCCAACAGTTAAAATTGCCACCATCTCATCTGAAGATTCTTTAAGTTTTGGAAAACTCATAGTGGTGGGACCAGTTTTCAAAAATTCTAATTTTCATGTGAAAGCTCAGATTTCATAATTGGCAACAAATACTGTCTTTTTTTTCCCCAGGCTTACTTTGTTAATGTTTGAGAAAATATCTGCCAGATTCCTAAGTCTGAATAACTATTGCTGATGTCAGTTTGTTTTTTCAATTAAAAACTGCCGTGTCATTTTAAAAAATTGATAGTTTAGCTCACAACTCAATTATTTGCACAAATGCTTTTCTTCAAGGCAGCCATTGTACTTTGGAATGCAGCAAAAGTGCTTTATGTATACTTCGTATTTTGTCACACAGAATATTTAAAAATATACTAACTCTTTTGGAGAAAAATTTGGCAATACCATCAAAACAACATATTCACTTACTTTTGATTCAGCAATCCTACTTCTAGGAAACACCTTGAAGACATATCTCCAAGAGCACAAACATTTATTATATATGTTGGATGTTTTGTACCTTCCAAATTTCATGTGCCCTCCCGTGTTGGAGGTGGGCCTAGTGGAAGGTTTTTGTGTCATGGAGATGGATCACTCATGAATGGCTTGGTGCAGTCCTCACAGTAATGAGTTAGTTCTCACTCTATGAGTTCATGTAAGATATGGTTGTTTAAAAGAGCCTGGCACCTTCTTCCTCTCTCACTCTCTCTCTCACCATGTGACACATTGGCTTCCCCTCACCTTCCAACATGATTGTAAGCTTCCTTAGGCCCTCACCAGCAGCAGATGTGGCACTACATTTCACGTTCAGCCTGCGGAACCATGAGCCAAATAAATCTTTTTTCTTCATAAATTACCCAGTCTACAGTATTCCTTTTTAGCAATGCAAATAAACTAACACAATGCATATGTACACTTTTATTTGTTGCAGCATTGTTTAGAATTGCAAAGTATTGGAAACAACCTAAATGCCCATACATAGAGAACTGGTTGAATAAACTATATGACATCTACAAAATGGAGCATTGTATAGCTGTATAGAAGAATAAAGACAATCTATAAGAACCAATTTGGAATGATTTCCAGAATATACTGTTAAGAGAAGAAAAGGAAAGAACAAAAGAATATCTATAGTATGCCATTCCTTATATAAGAAAAAAAGGATAAAACACACATAGCTGCTTGTTTTCACAAAAAAATTCAGGAAGTATAAATGAGATTATCTTAGGGATGGGTAGGAAGTAATGGGAATGGGGCTGTGCTGATAGTGATGAAGAGGAGTGACTTTTTTTGGGGGGGGTGGAGGTGTACCAAATGTCTTTATTTGAAGGAATAGTACAAATCAAAGAACTTAAGTGAATGTTTTGGTACAACTTATAGAAAAGGTAAAGGAAACCCCAACATGCATGCACTGCCTTGGTGACCAGGGAAGTCACCCATGGTTATGGGAAAATTAGCCTAAAGCTTAGCTCTCATTATTGCTCTGTCCCAGGGTGAGCTTGCCAAAGAGATAGTCTGCCAAGCCAGATTCAGGGGCTCCCACCTTGTGTGACTTGGTCACATGGTCACCCAATTCTTTGATGGATTTCACTTGCTCATTCAGGTAATGTGTCTCAATGAAGTCAACACAGTGGTGGTCATTTTTGTCAGTGGCCAGTTTGTGCAGTTCCAGTAGTGACTGATTCATGTTTTTTATCAAGTGTAATACACCCTCCATTGCATTCAGCCTGCTCTCCCAGTCATTACAGTATGGTTTCTTGATATCCTGAAGGAAGATTCAGCCACCTTGCTGGTTCTGCAGCATCTTCAGTGTCTCGGCATGTTTCCTCTTCTCATGAGATTGGTGAAGAAAGTACTTGGAAAAGTTCTTCAAAGCCACATCATCGCAGTCAAAGTAGTAAGATATGGACAGGAAGAGTTAGGAGGTGTAGCGTGAGCTCCAGGTTGAGCTGGCAGTTGATGGCAGCCTCTGTGTTCTGGTGGTGAGGCAGGAGAATAGGGTGTGGAGGCTGGGAACCTAAGGCCAATTTGCACTGATGTCCTAGAACCGAATCAAAAGGAAACCCCACCTCCCCGTGCCCAAGTAACGAAAAGATCAGAGGCTACTCTCTTTGTGCTGCCTTGCAGATGAAAAATAGAAAGTACATCTGTAACTTCACTTCAGCTGCTGGTCCCCTCCCACAACCAATCAGACTGGTCGTGGGCCAAATCTTCTTTTACAAAGGGTGTAACCAAGTAACCAATGGGAAACCTCTAGAGAGTATTTAAACCCCAGAAAATTCTGTAACCAGTGCTCTTGAACTGCTTGCTCAGCCTGCTCCTGCTCTCTGTGGAGTGTACTTTTGTTTCAGTAAATCTGTCCTTTCCTTGCTTCATCCTTTAGTTGCTTTGCTTGTGCATTTTGTCCAATTCTTTGTTCAAAATGCCAAGAATCTGGATGACTCCCAGTCAAGACCCTCCAATAGTATGGTAGTGGTGGCTCACCTGCAAGGGGGATGTAGTCAACATGGAGGCTAAGGAGAGGTGGCAGCGGCTGTGTGGCACTGGAGCAGCCGGGGCCTTGGAGCTGTCTGAGGGCTTGGTGAGGAGGAGGCAGAGGGCTGACTGTGAGCCGCAGGGGTGGGGTGGGGGGTGGGGGTAGAGGACCAGCACTGTGTTACATGCAAACACTGTTGAAGCAGGAAACCTCGGCGACTCCCAGTGAAGAACGTCTAGATATATTGTTGAGTACACCATTTTGTATAGCCTTGACTCTTAGAATCAGCATCTTACACATACCCCCAAATATAAACAAACACTTCAAAGCAAACAGGATGTAAGAATAATCAAAATGAAATAAAAACCAGAACAAGCGAATTTTTTTTCTTTCTTTTTTCTTTCTTTCTTTTTTTTTTTTTGACAGAGTTTCACTGCTTTTGTTGCCCAGGCTGGAGTGCAATGGCGTGATCTCGGCTCACCGCAATCTCCATCTCAAGTGATTCCCCTGCCTCAGCCTCCCAAGTAGCTGGGACTACAGGCACGTGCCACCACACCCAGCTAATTTTTGTATTTTTAGTAGATTTCATCACATTGGTCAGGCTGGTCTTGAACTCCTGACCTCAGTTGATCCACCCGCCTTGGCCTCCCAAAGTGCTAGGATTGCAGGCATAAGCCACTGTGCCTGGCTGCGAATTTTTTAAAAAATGAAAAATATTGAAGAGGATGGGGAAGGAAAGAACTGACTTACGTCATTTTGAAAAACAGTTACTTTGACTAGATCTTATATGACGAAAGACACAAGAATCTGCACATGGGGCATAGGTGAGCAGTTCTGTAACTACTTTATGTTTATATACTAGGAACAAATAAGTATAGATAATGAGAACTGGGTTTCTCACTGTTAGTGAAAGAAGCCACAAATAAGGAAAGGAGAAACACAAATAAGCTTTGTGTTGTTGGACTGGAATCAGATGTATCAGTGTGAACTTATGTTTTTTTTTAATGGATACACAAGTATAGAATGTGTGTGTGTGTTTCTGTTTGTGGTTTACGCTTGATCTTAGCCAAAAGGCCGAGAAGCAATTGTGTCTGTGGTTTAATTCTAACTGTCCACTGAGTGGAACTTAATAACAATGAACATGCCTGATTTCTAGACCTTGGTTTCTCCAATAAAAAGAACCAGAGTTCCACAGGAAAAATGGTAGATTCCAGGGTTTGGGCACAGAAAATACAAAATGAACTTGGAACATCATATGGTACCAGAAAAGAAGGAAGTGTTTCAAAAGGATAGGGATATGTCAAAACGACACAGGAACCCATCTGAAGGAGCAACCAATGGTCAAATCTGAACAATTTGAGCAATAAAAAAATAATAGTACAATTGGGTTATAATCTATAGACTGAAATAAACATCCATGAGTCCATACTGATATAAATAAATAATTGAATAAATAGGAGAGAAGAGATAGTTTTTCCTTACAGAATATTTCCACATCTAGTAATTCAAGTCTAGAATCCTTGAATTTCTAGTTGTGGTAGACAGAAAAATGTCCCCCACTCCTCAAAGATGTCCATGCTGTAATCCCTAGAACCTGTAAACATGTTACCTTACATGGCAAAGGGATTCTACAGATGCAATTAAGGCCTTTGAGATGAGGAGATTATCCTGAATCATCTGTGTGGGCCTGAGGTAATCACAATCACTCTTGGAATTAATGTTGCACATTTAGGGAATTCTTCAAAAAAATAAAAAATAACATATTACATAACTAACAAACTAATGAGGGAGGCCAGTGGAATGGTAACAAACAAACAAAAACTTTGATTAATCCTAAAGAGGGCAAAAGAGAACAGAAAAAGAAACAGAAAACAGGTAGGACAAAATAGAAAGGTAGAAAAATTAGCAAAATGGTAGATTTCAACCCAAGACATGGAATGAAATGAATAAAGCAAGAGGCTGAACTCTACATCATTTAAGAAATTATTTTAGGCCGGTCGTGGTGGCTCATGCCTGTAATCCCAGCATTTTTGGAGGCTGAGGTGGGCAGATCACCTGAGGTCAGGAGTTCCAGACCAGCCTGACCAACATGGGGAAACCCCGTCTCTACTAAAAATACAAAAATTAGCCAGGCATGGTTGCAGCACCTGTAATCCCAGCTACTTGGGAGGCTGAGGCTGGAGAATAGATTGAACCCAGGAGGCAGAGGTTGCAGTGAGCTGAGGTTGCACTATTGCACTCTAGCCTGGGTGACAAGAGTGAAACTCTGTCAAAAAAAAATTATTTTAATAGGTTTGTCAATTCTGGGAATATCTCTGGAAGAATACACAGTGTTTCCCTAGGGGCTCAGATGAGAGGAAGGCTTCTCTTTCATTATTTACCTTTATTTGAAATTTTGACCATGTGAATGTATTACATTTCCATTTTAAAAATGTTAATTAAAATAAATATTTGTTGAATGAGTATACTGGATATGAAAATTCATAGAACAGACTTATCTTTTTGGTTTATATTTAGATTTTCTGGTCCTTTCCCCTGCACCTAATTTTCTCTCTTCTATTTCTGTCTTCCTTTTTCCTTTTAACATTTTGTGCCCAGTGAGGGATTACAATGGCTTACTGCAAATATTGCAATTTAAGAAACATAATACACTCCATCCTTTATCTGGACTGGACCATGGCCCCCTGGCTCTGGAACAAAATCTGTCCAGGGGTTTTTCCAGGATTCTGACCTGGAACTGGCTGTCAAGACCTAAGAACAGTGATGATGAAACCAGTCCTCTGGCCACCTTAGCCATAGCCACCAAAGTGTGAGGAAGTGCCCCCTACTTCCCAAGGAGCCTTCTTCACAGAACAGAAAATCCAGAGAATCTACTTTCACTTTAAGAAATTAGAAATTAGCAGAGAAGACCAGCTTAGGCAACATGGAAACATCCTGTCTCTACAGAAAATACAAAAATTAGCCAGGTATGGTATTACATACCTGTAGTCCCAGCTACTTGGGAGGCTGAGGTGGGAGGATTGCTTGAGCCTAGGAGGTCGAGGCTGCAGTGAGCCATGATTGTGCCATGGCACTCTAGCCTGGGCGACAGAGCAAGACCCTGTCTCCAAACGAAAAGAAAAGAAATTAGCAAAGGAATGAATCCAGAAGCTGCTGCCCTCAATCCAGGTCAAGTGTGTGTTTCTAGGATTTTGACTGTGTTTCCCTGGCTGTCAGCAGTAGCTGTGATTGGGAGCCTGCTGTGCTGGGATGATGTCTCCAGGAGCATTACTCAGCAACTGCAGAAGTGTGCAGTAATAGACAACAAGGAGACAGAAGTGAGGGTTTCCCGAACAGGTACCGGAAAACATCCTGTACAGCCTCAGAAATGCTTTTCTGTAGCTGATCCCTGGTGGTTTAGCACAGGAGGCTGCCTCACCAAGGAGTGGGCTGCCTCTCAGAGCAGGCAGAAAACACCCAGGCAGAAATCCTCTTACTTTAAGCTTGAAATGCTGTTGATTTGCAGGGATTGGTCTCTGGTGATCTTTAAGACCAAACTTAAATGTCTGCATATATGAAATTTTTTCATTCAACAAACTTAGTGGCTGTGTACTGTAAGCCAAGTATCATGGGCTTTGATTTATCAGTGTTTGGAGGAGAATAGGAAGAAAAGCATATCAGGGAGGAGAGAGTTTTATAACCTCAGCTTCTCACCAGTAGACAAGCAATATGGCAGTAAGACAAGGAGGAGTCCCAGAAGTAATCACCCTCATTTCTTTTCTGTGAGACCAGTTGTTATAAACTAGGGATGGTCAAACTACTTCCTGTGGCCAAATCTGACTCACAAACAAACCCAGCTCATGGTCAATCTAGTTCACTGCATCCTTTTATGAATAAAATTTTATTGGACTGCAGCCACGTACATTTGCTTACATATTGTCTATGGTTGCATTCACACTAAAATGGCAGAGTTGAATAGTTGAAACCACAACAGTATGGCTCTCAAAGCCTAAGATATTTATCCCCCAGCCACCAATGGAAAAAGGTTACTGAGTCCTGGCTGGGCGCGGGGGCTCACGCCTGTAATCCCAGCACTTTGGGAGGCCGAAGCGGGCGGATCAGAAGGTCAGGAGATCTAGACCATCCTGGCTAACATGGTGAAACCCCCGTCTCTACTGAAAATACAAAAAATTAGCTGGGCATGGTGGCGGGCACCTGTCGTCCCAGTTACTCGGGAGGCTGAGGCAGGAGAATGGCGTGAACCCGGCAGGCGGAGCTTGCAGTGAGCCGAGATCGCGCCACTGCACTCCAGCCTGGGCGACAGAGTGAGACTCCGTCTCAAAAACAGAAAAATAAAAACAAAAACAAGTTTAATGAGTCCTGTTATGAGCTCACATAGAGCAAGGATGGGTTCAATATGTCATCTGAACACATCCAAAACTAAACATTTCTTAGTAGGGATTGGTGGGCAGGAGAAACTTAGGGCCACGTAGATTGGTGGCCAGTTTAGGATTGAACCTTGGCATAACTTAGTGTGTACTTTTTCTAGGAGAGTTAATGCTTTATAGCTGTACACACGAGGCAGAATGAATGATGCAATTCAGCAGTGATTAAAGGCGGAGCAGGTTCCTCCCACATCTGCTTTTCTTGGCAACTGAATAGCAGTCAGTGTGAAAGGGGATGGAGAAATGTCGTGGATATTCAGGTCCATGGAGGCAGCAATTAGAAGCACTGGATGTGATGAACACCTAGTTACTACATGAATGGATCATAAAACAAAATGTTGAATGAAAAAAGTAGGAAACAAAATGAGAATGCCAAACTGTTTATGTCAATTAAAAATATATGCATGCAAATCAACAATTTGCATCTTTTATACCACTTATAAGCACAGAGATACACATTGAACACATTACAATTGCCTTGTGAGGGAAGACAAAGGGAGTGGCTTTGGGAAAAAAGAGTGAATCAATTAATAAATAGGACAATGGAGAGGCCTTGCATGGACAGATGATGATACTGTGATAAAGTGGTGATAACAGCTGAGGACTTTAACTGACAGCACCTGAAGTCCAAGGACAACAAAGTAACAACTGAAAAGAAAGGAAGGAGGAAAGGAGGGTAAGGGAAGGAGGGAGAGAGGGAAAGATGGGAGAAAAGGGAGGGAGAGAGAAGGAAAGAAAGAAGGAAGGGAGGAAGGGAGGGAGGGCGAAGGAAAAGAGGGAAGGAGAAGGAAGAAAGGACAGAAAGGAGAAAGGGAGGGAGGGAGAAAGTGAGGGACAGAAAGAGGGAGAAGGAAGAAAGCAAGGAAAGAAGGGAATGAGGGAGAAGGAAGGAAGAAAGGAGGAAACAAGGCTGGAAGAATCTGGAGACATACACTGCTTCTGTTACAGCTTTGACAACTACATGGGTTTGGGACCCGTGACGACCTGTAAGGACTCAGCTTGCAAACAATCCAGCGTCTTAATGGAGGCAGTGGTGGTAGTGATGGTGATGTGTGCATGTGTGCGTGTCTGTGTGTGTGTGTGTATGTGTGTGTGTGGCATAAGTAGGGTAGGGGTCAGAGCTGGGAAACCCAAGCCAAATGAGTTCAGTCTAGGGCTAGATAGGATGTAAGAGTCCCAGGAAAGTTGAGGTTCAAGCCCCAGTTGGAATTGACAGCCCAGTCAACCTGCTGCTCTGGCAATGGGGGGTGAGTGTAGTGTGGGTTGGGGAGGGCTTTCGCGCTCTGGACACTCACATGGGGCATGTTGAGAGTGAGCTCTAATATAATAACTAGGTTCTGCGTGGCCCAAGGACAGAGTAGAAGCCTTGGGCAGCAACGGGTTAAAGGACTTCAGAGACAATCACCAGAGTCTATAGGTGAATGTTCTCATCCTGTGCTTAATCTCCACAACTTGGTTTAATAATTTCTGTTCTAATACTTATGGGTTGTTTTGCTGGTCAAATGAGATGGCTATGCATAAAAGAACCATGGAAAAATAAAGTACCCCTTACTTCAGTTATTAATATATTTAAGCAGTTTCTTAGAATATAATTTCTTCTTCCTATCCACGCATCAGCCCAGTTTGCTGGATAGGAACTAAAAAAGGGAGCTAGTAAAAATTCCTAGGAGCCATTTTACTCCAAAAGATGTGAGAAAAAACATAATAGCTTTTATGTTACTTTAGTTACCTTTTTCAAAAGGAACATGTATTATTACACATAATTTTGTCCTTAACCCTCAAAAACTAAATTAGCCTTTCCATGGTTTTCAAACATTTCTGAGGTACATCTCAGAACTGCCCAACCTACTGTTAATGTCAATCATGCTGTCCTAGCTGCTGACACTAGAACTTTGTCCAGTCGTAATATATCAGCGCTGGAAAAGAAGAAAAATTGAGACATTTCTAAAACTCACAAGTCAGTGGACTTTAGGTGTCAGGAAAGAAAAGGAAAACCCATTGTGAGAATTGTTCTTGCTAACCCAACTAAGATGGTATTTTTAAGGAATATGATAAATATGCTGGTATCATTTTCTATTATCAAATAACTTAGATATGTTTCTAAAATAACCTTTTTCTCATTTAAAAATAATTTGGAAATTATGTAGGATCTAACAAAAAAGTGAAACTCACCTGTAACCCACCAAACATTCAGGGAATACACATAGACACACACACGTATATATGTATATATATGTGCATATATTGCATATATTATACTCATTTTTTGCAACAACAGGTTGCAAACTATATACACAGTACTGAGTTCTGCTATTTTTAAAATATAGCCTTACATCACTAGCCCCTTTTCGTGTTACTAAGTTTTTCTCGGTAACATGATTGTTAAGTACCAAGTAACATTTCATTGTACAAATATGCCATGGTTTATTGGACCTTTTCTATAGTTAGTTTACTTATAATAGTCATTCCTATTGCTAATAGTAATGACTGTTGTAAGTAACATTTTCATAAACTTTCTTTTATATAAATCTTTAATAGCATTGCTAATTGTTTCCTAGTATAGATTCTTGAAATTGGAATTACCCGGACACGATATGTTATCACTTCTAAGTCTAGCGATATATGGTTCTAAGTTGCTTTTTCGAACCATTGTAATAGTGTACTCCAATCAGCAGTCTATGTCCTTCCACACCCTTACCAGCACTGAGTTTCATCTTTAAAAAAATCGTGGCCAATTTGAAAAGTGCAGTGGACAAATTGCTTAATTCTTCCCAGCATACTTTTGGGGGACATTCTTTCTCCATTTCATAATCATTCGTATCAGACCTTAGAAGCATAGGCAGTATTCAATGATGGCATGTATATTGTATGCTTCCATGTGACACCACCACATATTTTATTGCTTAAATTGTCTTTGCATTATAAAAAAGGAAAACTCCCACAATCCATGTTATTTTAGAAAGTATCTTATGCCAACAGCATCTTGCATACATATTACTATTCTAGAGGAAGTCAAGCTTCATTGGGTCAGGACTTCCCTTTCAGTGATTGAAAAAAAAAACAAAACTCCCTAAGGCCTATTTTCTTTTTGGATATTTGACTCCGCACAGTGTCAGCCCTCTTATAGCTGATGCAAATTAAGGTATTTATAGCCCAGAGTGTGACACCTTATGGAAGGCATATAGGAAGAACAGGGTGGGCAGCCAGGATGAGGTAGGGAGGGATGTGGCGAAAAACACTGTGTGACTCCACCCAAAATTGCAGGAGACAGAAATAAAAAAAGAGTGCATAGAACAAAGCAAACACCAAGTAGCAGGAGGTGATATTTTCCAGGGCTTGAGGTGTAATTCACTTTTAAACAAAAGCATTCCCTTACATAAATGACACATTGCTTTTTCACTGTCCAGCTTTTATTGAGGAGAGACGCAAGAATAAACTCGGAAAAAAACACCCAGAAATCTTTGGAGAACAGGATGAAAGACCTATGTGCACAAAAACCTGGGCTCAGGGATTTAGGTTCCAGAAACCTCTAGTTAAGACTTTTATATCTCTTACTGGATGAAAGTGGGCTCCTTCCAGGAGGCACCTGTAATTTACCTGTTCACATATTACTTTGTTCTGAGAGTCAACAACAGTAGAGTCAAATAGTTTTTTTTTTTTTTTTTTTTTTTTTTTGCTTATGAGTACAGGAGATAATACCCAACATGGTTGTTTTGGTTGTTTTACTAAAGAGTTACGATGTTTAGGGGGAAAAACACTAAACATCATAACTCTTTAGTAAAGAGTTTGGAGGCAAGTGCCTTCCGTTTGGAGGCAAGTGCTTAAATCTCTCTCAACTAGCCATTCCTGAAAAAGAGTTTATTCATAACTCAAGGCTCCATGACTTCCCTTTGGCAGCTCCTGGAATTGTTTGCATCACGTCTGGATGGAAACAGCCAGTCTCTGCAGGGTTTCCCTGGCAAACATTACAGAATAGTTGCTTCTGAGTCATCCCTGAGAAGGGATGCTGCAGAGGAAAGAAAAAGGCATAAACCAACTATTATAGGCTAAGAGAAATACCCCAATTAATTTGTTGTTTTTGCAAAAGTATACACTCTTTTAACCCACTATAATGAGCTAACCAATTATTCAGGTATTATCTCTCACTCCAAACCCGCTCCCTACATAATATTTTGTAATACTGAACCTGAGACTCTGCAAAGCACACTTCTGCTTTGCTGGATGGCTCTCTACTATACTTTGCAACAGGGGATGCTACAGGGAGACTGTGATGCTGAGCAGGCAGGGGACTTGCTTTTATTTACTTTCTGCTGGTTCTTTTTCCTATCAGGGTTATCCCAGCCAGTTGGGCACCTAGCGGGGCTGCTTTCTGCAGTTGCTACCTCTGTGATACCACAGAATTCTCTTACTGTTCTTTCAGATGCCGAGATAACAATTGTACATCCAGTTAACAATTCTTTAGCGTGTGCCCAGCACAGAACTAGACTATGGGGACATGGTGATGACGAGACATCATCACTGCCCTCGTGGTGTAACTGTTTAGTAGCTGATGAAAGATGATGCCTGTCTTAGTCCATTTTGTACTGCTATAACAGAATACCACAGATTGGGTAATTTATAAAGAACAGAAATTTATTTCCTCAGTTCTAGAGGTTGGAAAGTCCAAGATCCAGGTGCTAGCCTCTGGTTCCAAGATGGTGCCTTATTGCTGCATCCTCTGGAGAGGAGGGACGTTGTGACCTCACATGGCCGGAGAGCAGGAGAGAGAGAACTCACTCCCACACATCCTTTTTATAGCGGCATTGATCCACTCAGTAGGGCAGAGCCCTCATGACCAAAACACCTCTTATTAGGCCCCACCTCTCAATACTGTTGCATTGGGGGTTAAAAATACCCATGACAGGAAGTACAACCAGGGCAGTAGGCTCTGCATGTTTCTGGTTGAATGTGGCGTGTTCCACTCTTTAATTACAGTTTAAAGTCCATCTGTCTATCCTATCTATCCTATCTATCTATCTATCTGTCTATCTATCTATCTATCTATCTATCTATCTATCTATCTATCATCTTATCTCACTTATCTGTCTTTCCCACTAGTGTGATATGATGAGAGGTTAAGAGCCCCAGGCTCTGGAGTCAGACCACCAGTATTCCTGGCTCTGTTCCTCACGAATTGTATGTCTAAGGCCATGCTGCTTACCCACCCTAAGCCTTGATTTCCTCTTCTGTAAAATGGGAACATCAGTATCTACTTCTAGCTCCTGGGGCTTTAAGGACTGTATGAAATAATGCATTTTACATGCTCAGCCTGGTACTTATTACCCACTAAGTACACATCCAACTTTGGCTGTCAAATCTGAGACTCTCCCAGATTCCCAGGGTCAGCTGGCTAACTTTTCCTTTTGTGTTAAGAAGCAGCTTGGGGGAAAACATGGTTGTGAGCAAGATAGGAGGGAGAAAAACAGAGTTCTATCATGTGGTTCTCAGTAATAGTGACAGCACTACCACCACTAACAACAGCAACAATGCAGTAATTTCAATACCGGCATTATTTATCAGCCAAGAAGCCAGCACAGAGAATAGAAAACTAGGCCGGGCTCTCCTTTCTTAAGGCATCTATTGGACTGGAATTAGGCTGAGAAACATCACAATCAGAGATGTTAGTGGTGGGAGGTCAGAGCTGAGCAAATGAAGCATTAAGAGCTGGTGGGGAATAATGGAGACTTATAAAACAAACAAACAAACAAACAAACAAAACAAACTGGGATGTGCCTGTTAGTCATGATGAGCTCTAAAGAAGTGGAAATCAGGAGCCTTGGAGTGTGAGCCCAGCCAACAGCTAGGGAAAGCAGCCCAAAAGAGGAGCCCAAAAGAGTCCCCAAAGAGGAGAAGCAGGCTACTTTTCAGTCCATCACTGGAAAATGTAAAAAAAGTTTTTGAAGACTGTTTTGAAATGTATATTGCTAATGCCTCACAGCAGAAGTATGCAATTCCTGTCTCCAAATAGTTGTAAATCTCTAAATCTCAATTTTTGTACCTTACATGTTTGTCAGAGGGGTTTTATGAGTCCATTTCCTTACTCTGTGCACAGTCTTCTATCAAGGTTCTTTCAAATTCAGTACTCTGCCATTGTCATCACTATCTATTACAGAATGCCCTCTAGAGCATTTGGCAAACTCTTAATGATCAACTCTCATGGCATCCTGTGTTGTTGAATTACCTTGACTTCCCAAACAGTAAGTGGAGGGTAAGTGACTCCCTCTAGGGCTATGTTAGAAACAGGTCTCAAGAGATGCTGGAGCCCTGGGGTTGTCTGAAGATTACTTGGCTTGGGAGGACATCAAGAAGAGTTCCAGGAGTCCCCTATGCATGAAATACGTGTTGATGAAGGAAGATGTGGCTGGGCAGCAAGAGCCGAGAGAAGGAGAGAAAATCTGATTCTCATGTTTTAACAGTGGGATGGATTGGAGGAAGAGTGTTTGCCCAGTGGTCTCAGAGTGTGGCCTCAGCATCAGCAGCACCTGTGGACTTAAAATGCACGTTCCTGGGCTCCACCACAGCCCACTGATTCAGAGACTCTGTGTGTGGGGCCCAGCAGCTTGTTTCAACAAGCTTTTCAGGGGATTCTGATCCATGAACGTGGAAAACCATGTGTCAGCGTATGGGTGGCTTTTACGACCAAACTTGTAAAGTAGCTGAAAGGGGCTCGGAGGGTGTGCTGGCCTTAAAATGAGGATGTGATGGGAAATATCAAGCCTGCCTTTCATAGGAGGATAGAAAGGAAAAGGAGGAAATGCTGTTTCTCATTGTCCTTGAAACTACAGCTTCGAACTGTGGAAAAGCAGAGGTGGAAGGAACCTTCAGTTATGGAACCTAACTCCCTTGTTTCACTTGCTGAGGAAGCTGAGGCCGGGTTGATGGAAGGAGCTGCCCAGGGGAGAGCCTGGGTCAAGACTGGAACGAGGGCTCCTGACTCCTCGCCCACAGCCCTTTCCCAGCACCAGCCATGGGGTTCCTTGGAAGGCCACCCACAGGCTCACCTCCCTGTCTAGGACTAGACACCAGGATTGTTTGCAAATCCTCCCGGGCTGCTCTTTTCTTCACACCTCTCCTTGCCTTCCATATTCCTGATGTCACTCCCTTCTGGGTGTCCTATAATGGCTCATTTATTTATTTCATTTGTGTCAGTTTTCTCAGCCTCCATAATCTGATTCCTCTATTTCTCTTCCATTTAATATCCCTTTGCAAGCTTGATTGATGCTCTTCTTCCAGCAGGCCTACCCCTTTCTTTTCTAAACCAATGGCCACTACATTTTTTCTGTAAAGTTCCAGATAGTAAATATGTAGGTTTTGTGGGTCATATAGTTTCTGTAACAGCTGCTCAACTCTGCTGCTAACAGTGCAAAAGTAGCTGTAGACAATATGTAAATGCATGAACATGGCTGTGCTCCAATAAAACTTTATACAAAAAGAGATAGTGGTAATAAAAATGTTCAACAAACCAGGGATAGAAGAGAACTTCCTTAACTTGATAACGAGCATCTACAAAAAATCCACAGCTAACATCATGCTTATGCTTTCCTTCTAAGATCAGAAAAGATCAGAAACCAGAGTAAGATGTCTGTTCTCACCACTTTTATTCAACATTGCTCTGGAAGCTTCCGCCTGGGCAATTATGCAAGAACAGTAAGTAAAAGGCATCCAGACTGAAAAAGAAGAAATAAAACTATCTCTATTTGTAGATGACATTGTAAATAGATATATGACATTTGTATACAGAATATCCTAAATAACATGATTAGAATTAATACATAAATTTAACAAGGTTGTGGCATACAAGATCAATTTACAGAAATGCACTGTATTTCTATACACTAACAATGACATTCCAAAACCAATTTCATTTACAACAGCATAACAAAGGATAAAATGCTTAGGAATAAATTTAACAAAGTAAGTCCAGGACTTCTGAAAACTGTAAAATATTGTTGAAAAAATTCAGAAGATCCAAATAAATGGAAAGACAGTTCATATGTATGAATTGAAAGACAATATTGTGAAGATGGCAATACTTCCTAAATTGATCTACAGATTCAAGCAATCTCTGTCAAAATATCAGGCAGCTTTTTTTGTTTATTTTCAGAAATTTACAGAGTGATCTTAAAATTTATATGGAAATGTCAGAGACCCAGGTAGGTAAAACAATCCTGCAGAAAAAACTGAGTTGGAGGACTTACACTTTCTGATTTCAAAACTTACTACAAAGCTGTAATAACCAAGACAGTGTGGTACTGACATAAGGAGAGATATGTAGATCAATACAATATAATTGAGAATCTAGAAATAAAACCATGTGTCTATGGTCAACTAATTTTTGACAAGAGCGACAAGACCAATTAATAGAGAATGAAAAGCCTTCTAAACAAATGGTGCTGGAACAACGTGGATAACCACATGCAAAGGTTGAATTTGGACCCTTACCTCTAACCATATACAAAAGTTAACTCTAAATGGATCAAAAATACAAATGTTACAGCTGAAACTATAAAACCCTTAGAAGAAAACACAGGGGTAAATCTGCATGACCTTGGATTTGGCAATGGATTCTTAGATATGACACCAAAAGCAGAAGCAACAAAGGAAAAAAAAAAAAGATAAATTGGATGTCATCAAAGCTAAAAGCTTTGTGCTTCAAAAGGTACTATCAAGAAAGTAAAAAGACAATCCACAGAGGGAGAGAGAATATTTGCAAATCATATATCTGATATAGGACCTGCATCTAGAATATATGAAGAAGTCTTAACAAGTCAACAAGAAAAAGACAAGTAATCCAATGAATAAAATGGGCAAAGGATTTGATAGACATTTCTCCAAAGAAGATATACATACCAACAAGCACAAGAGAAGATGCTTAACATCATGAGTCATTAAGGGAAATGCAGATGAAAACCACAATGAGATATTATTTCACACCCACTGGGATGGCTAGATTAAGAAAAGACAATAACAAGTGATGGCAAGGATGTGGAGAAATTTGAATCCTCATACACTGCTGGTGGAAAAATAAAATGATGCAGCCATTTTGGAAGAGTCTGACAGCTCCTCAAATAATTAACAGAGAGTTACATATGATTCAGTAATCCCACTCCTAGGTATATACTCAAATGAAAATATATGTTCACACAAATATTTACACATAGAATTTCATAGTGGTATTCATAATAGCAAAAAGATAAAAAACCCAATATCCATCAAATGATAAATGAATAAACAAAGTGTAGTGTATTTATATAATGGAATATTATTTGGCTTTAAAAAGCAATACTGCTACATGCATAACATGGATGGATTTTTAAAAATTATGCTAAATGAAAGAAGTCAGTAACAAGGGCGACCTATTATATGATTCCGTTTTCATTCACTTTTCAATTCAAATTTTTAAATTTTTAGAATAGGCAAATTTATAGAGATAGAAAGTAGACTAGTGGTTGCTTAGGATGGAGGTGGGGGGAAGAAAGGAGAAAGAGGGAAATGGGGACTGACTTCTAATGAGGTTTCTTGTATACGGAATGAAAATACCAAAATTAGATGGTGGTGATGGTTGCACAACTGTGTGAATTTACTAGAAGACTGAATTTTATACTTTAAATGGTGAATTGTATGGTATCTAAATTATAATTTAAAAAGCTATTAAAAACAAACAAACAGATGTCAGGCTTTATTTGACCTGTAGGCTATACTTTGCTGATCCCTGCTCTAAACTTACCCATCATCGAAGATTCTGTTAAGTCTTTCCCATTGTTCTCACCAATTTTGCAAAGAGTGTCCTGGCTCATCTCCTTGACCCGTTAGCTCTCTTCAACTTTTTGATAGCTAAAAATCCATAAGTCAGCATTATGCTAAGTTCTGCTTTCTGCACTTGACCAAGGACAAGTGCTTATCAGAATTCCAGAAAGATTCATTCTTGTATTTTCTTCCTAATGTTTTGATCTAATCAAGAGGACAGAGTGAGGGGGTCCTATGGCCAGGCCATCCATTAGACATGACTATCATCTTGTGGTTCCTGGAATCTGCCAGGTCAAGTGCCTTTTGCATGGATACTAAATTTGTCAAGTGAATGATGTGGTCCTCCTGGTCAAGAACTTTTTAGATTCTGCCCACTGTGACACTGGCGCCTCATCATTTTAGACCCAGGAAACCACATACCTTGGCTCTGGAATTACAAAACAAACACATCTGGCCCTGATATGCTGCTGCCAAAGTTTATTCTACTCCAAATCTTATTTCTGACCAAAATAAGAATATTCTGTGGAATTAAGAGAGAATAAGAAGAGAAGTGACAAAGTGGCAGAGAAGGGAAAGAGTCATGGTAATCTAGGGGAGAAAAAGAGAGTTTAGGAATGTAATGCAATACTGTGTATGCCAAGACCAAGATGTCTGTAGGGGGAAAAAGTTGCTTTACTGTTGCTTTTAATGCTTCATGCCTTCCTAAAGCTGGTCATAAAAACTCTTGGAATAATAGTAAGAAAAGTGAGGTTGATGTTTGTTGGGGATGATGTTGGGGTGGGCTTGCTGGTGTGACAGTTCAATAGATCCCCGGACCGGACCAGAAGCCTGGCTTAGCTCACTGCGGGTGGCCTTGACACCCACTTCAAGGAGGGGGAGGGTGAGGCCGCTGGTCACAGGAGTGCATCTCAGCGCAGCAACATCAGGCTTTTAAAAAGGTGCCAGGTCAGAAATGTGCATTGAATAGCTTGCTGCTATTTCATTTTAATTTTTTTCAATAAATCTCCATATCACAATCATTATCAAAAATTACTTATAGAAATTAAAGTTTCTTTTTAAGTTGGGTCCCCAGTGTATTTGTCAGCATTATGAAGTGATTTTTTTTTTTAATGGGTTTTAAGAGGGTGGTGAATGGGTGATCTCCCAGCTTGGAGAGGAGGAGCTGGAGGCAGTGGTGGAGTCATTCCCTGCTGTGTGTGTGAGAGCTAATGGTTTGAGACTTTCCTTCTGCCAGCAGCACTGTAGGGCCTACGCTGACTGTCTCTGTTTCCTTCTCTTTTTTTTTTTTTTCTGTCAAAAAGATAACACTGATCATCTCAAATATCTCTTGGCCTGTCAGATTTGTATCACATTCTAAGTACAGAAACTCTGAGCCAGAAAGGGCATCACACCTTTCCCTGGTCTTCCTTTTACTTGAATCTCCTCCTCCCCACCCCCGCCTCCAACTCCCTCTTTTCTCAGGAACCACAGCAAAGCCCTCAGTCACCAAGCAAGAACTCATGAGCTCTCATGGTGACCCGAGCTGGGGGTCGTCTACAGCAGCAGGGTCTGAAACCCAAATTCAGTCAGACAAATGTTTTGCTGGGTCTACCATCTCTGATTTTACTTTCCTCTATCCTTAACCATGAAATAAACCACCCTGTGACAAACCGAGGCTTGCCTCCAAATGTGGCATCAACGATCCAAATGTGGCATCAACGAATGGATTTAATTTCTCCCACTGCCAAGCTGAGGGCCTTCCTGAATCTCTGAAAACTAAAGGCTCAGGGCCTCGAAGAGGTCATGTCTCTCTTCCCAGGGAGTTGTTGACATAATATTTTTTTCAATTATTCTGCAAGGGCTACAGCCCAGCATAGCCCACTGGGAGGGTGAAAATCTTGTTTTTGAATTTCTAATCAATATTTCTTCTCACCTTCTGGGGGGCCTCCTCTGGGAGGCTCCATCAGTTCTTGTTAGAGGGCAGCTGGCCTCACTGCGTGAACACTGCCTGGTAATGTTGTGATCCCAGAGCTGACTTTGGTGGAGTTCAGTGACGAGCTGTATCATGCGAAGTGCAGCCTTATCCAGGACGCTTCCCTACTCACCAAGAGCTGTAACTGAGGAGGCCACTAGATCCATTAAAAGGAAACAAAGACAGGAAGCCTCCCTATTTCCAAGGGCTCTGGCAATGCCTCTAGTCAAATTCCCTGTCCTGCCCACCTCCCCAGTAGGAGGGATTCACTGGGCAGTTGTCATCTCATGAATATTTCTTGCATGAAATTCATTAAACTTCAGATTCCTCAAGGTAAACAGCAAATGGGGAATGAGAGTTTCCTGCCTGGAAGACGCTGAGGTTAAACATGGAGCAATAAAGCCATTTACCGATTCAAACTTTTCTTTCTTGTTTCTTTGGCTTTTGCTCAAGACTTCCATATGCCTAATGCAAGATGTGGGGATGTGGGGATTCGGGGTGGGTGGTGTGTGTGTGTGAAGGTCTAGGGAGGGAATATAGGGTGGGACAAGTTGGCAGGTCCTGGCTCCTCTTTTATTACAACCCCAAGACTAATTTGAGGCACTTCATGGGGAGCCATTAGTAGACAAAGCTGCCCCTAGGTCTTCAGCTTCTCTCTGAAGCAGGGGCTGAAAGTTTGCCTACAGGTAACTGATCAAAAGGAACAGACCAACACTGCCAGGGTGTGGCATGGATGTCAGGCTGACTCCTGCCGGCACCCTCAGATTTACAGGATGAGGGCTGGACTGTCGTCTTGTCCTGGACCCTGAAGCTGCTTTCCAGTGTCTAAGGCAGTGCTTAAGGTACCTCACTGCTACACAGCTGCGAGATGTGTGGCAAGTAATTTCTTATAACATTTATAATGAAATTTGTTGATTGTTTACTTAAGAAATAAAATGTTTTCCTTATTGTCCCTAGAATATTGCCCCTGACATTTGCCCGCATTTGAATATGCTTTCTGGTATAGGAGAGGGCAGTCGAGTTATAGTTAGCATACTAGGAGTACGACGTGTGTGAGTAGCATCTGTTGGACAGTAAGGCCTAATGATCCATGATAGGTATTTCACCATTCACCATGCAGGATATTGAAAAGGCTAAAACAACCACAAATGCAACTATTTGTTGCATGGGCAAAGACAGGCAAAGGCTGAACATGGTAAGGGGATTCTGTCTCTTATCCCAACTCTGATTGGTGGAGGCTCCTGTAGAGAGGCATTTTGGGGCTGTGTCTGGGCTTAATGAGCAAGCACATTATGATCTATTGATGAGGATGGTGGTCACCCTCATGTATTTGACATAAACATAAGCAAAGTGTAGGGTGGAGTTTCCTAATCAACTCCATTTCCACTTGCCCTAGTCCCTTTTCTTAAACTGCTCCCCCAGGAAGAGACAAACAACAGGGAGACTCACAGGTATCCATCTCTGTCTCCACCAGCCCAGGAGTAAGAATTTCCATGAACCTTTGCCCCCTGTGCACTGCGGCAAGCATGACAAGAGCCTCTCAGGCAACAAGGCAAGTCCTTAGTATCCCTTCCTCCCCATCTCCCTCCCACCTCTTGTGGTCCTTTGTTGAAATTAAAGCCTAGGAACAGGCATATCTTCTCTGGAGCTGTAAAATCCTGAGGAAAGTTCAGTAGTGGCACCAGTGACAGTTGTGCCAGGCTTGGGGAAGACATTTTGGTTTATATATATATATATATATATCACATACAAATTATATGTTCATATTTTAGCTCCAGACTTTCTTTGGTAAATGCCCACAGAGATAAGTAGAAGGACAGGGAGTGATAAATTGCTTCAAATACTCAAAAACCTCCAAATTCCTCATCAGATGAAAGGCAAATTAAAGATCCTTGACAGGTTAAAATGCAAGTGTTTGGGGTTTCTCCACTGGAGCAAATGAATTTCCAGTTTAATAACTGTCTTAGAATTCCCCCTGCTACTCTATACTGTGATCCTTTCAACAACATAAGCTTATTCTTGGTATGTGTCATGAGTTTTAAATATGATAGTGGCTTTTAATTAAATCCTTGTTTATCATGCAGTTAATGGGCTAAAACTAATGACCAAAGGAAAAACAGGCTTTCAGTGATTTTCTCGCCTATCATAGGATAGGCGAGAAAAACAGTAAAGTTATTTACTTGAGGGTGAGTCCGTATAAATGCCATTTCCCCTATTTGTTCTTCTACGTGAGTTCTGGAATGATTCGCGACAGCCAATCACTCTGCCTGGGTACATCAAGAAATTACTATAGATCCGTCCGCAGGAGCTGAGAGATTCAACATCTCCCTTTAGCCAAGAGCTGCTGCTAGGTCTGGGCATGCCACCATCTGCCATGCAATCCTTGAAATTTGAGATGACAAATCACCAGGGTCACCTTTCTCTCTTTTCTCTTTTTCAGTGATGGAAATAGAATTAAAGTGTTTACTTTAAGAACTTTGAGCACATACCTGCTAAATGCACAGTCACTAGCCTGATTTACCTGGCCTCATTTCTGTATGTGTCTGCCTTCTGCACCCTTCCGCGTCATTGACCCCTCCTCATTCCCAATTTCTAAATACTGAATAGGATTTTGAATGTCGTGAGCACTGAATTACCTTCTCTGCAGTAATGCTGTGTGACCTTGGGATGGTCACTCAATCACTTGGTATTTCATTTTTGCTTCCAGCTATAAAACAGGGATAATAATACTGTTCTTGAACAACCAAAATGAGGTGTTCTGACAATCAGTTATGGAAGTGAATGTTTAAAATGAAAGGAAGAAGCCACAAGTTCCTGACTCTCTTGGATATTCCTGGATGTAATCCCCTGAGTCCTGGGCAGGAAGGTGCCGCATAGACACAAGGTAGATGGTGGGGATGCTTATGGTCATTAGCATGGGTACACAGAAAACTCATTGACTCCAGGGCACTGTAGTGAGAATGCACTAGAAGTAGAGTTCCCAAGTTGACTGTCATGGCCATCAAAATGTTTCTAATTTTCCTTACTTAATCCAAGCCAGCAATCTCAAATTTCTTCGTTGGTCATGGAGGAGGGAGATATGATTCAGTCTTGAGGATTTTTGAAGCCTCTAGACTGAGAGGTCTACGTGGGTGGTCCTATGGATTCTATGGATAAAATTAAATGGTTCTGTGAACTTGGGAAAAAATGTCTTTACTAGCCTTTAACTGAAATTAAGTATTTTTCTGTTATTATAAATGTGGGCAAAAAACCCCACAATAGTATTAGCAGTACCTATGTCTTTCTCACTATCAGAAACTGAAGAGATTTTCATGACATTACTATCGTTGCACATACCTTCAAGTATCATTTACACTGATCACTGGTTTGAAACTGCAAAAGTTATTAGACCAGCTGCTAGATCGGGTTAATAAAGAAGCACATGTGTAACAGTATTTCACACATTTGATTAAAAATATTTTTAATTTCAGTGTAATTGGTTTCCATTGAAACCCTATGTATTTGACTTTGTGTATCTAAAAACATTACTCTGGCTGTGTGCGGTGGCTCATGCTTGTAATCCCAGCACTGTGGGAGGCTGAAGCGGGAGGATTGCTTGAGCCCAGGAGTTTGTGACCAACTTGGGCAACATAGGGAGACCTTGTCTCCACAAAAAATTAAAAAAAAAAATTAGCTGAGCATGGTGGCACGTGCCTGTAGTCCCAGCTACTAGGGAGGCTGAGGTGGGAGGATGGCTTGGGCCCAGGAGGTTGAGGCTGCAGTGAGCCATGATTGCACCACTGTACTTCAGCCTGGGCAACAGAGTGAGACACTGTCTCAAAAAAAACCATTATTCTATAAGTGGTCATAGGAGTTCAAGGCACGGAAAGGTTAAGATTGCCTGTCTGCATCTATCTGCTGCCTCTGAGGCAAAAGCTTTGAGCAGGAGACACAGCCCAGGTCTCCCAGTCAGAAGGCCTGGGTCTGAGCCCTGGGTCCATTTCTGTCTAACTGGGGGCTCACTTAGTTTCTATGAGTTACCACCCCCCCAACTTCATTAAAAAGAGATAATAATTTCCCATATGGTTGACGGGAGTGGGAATTAAATGAAATAACAAATGTCAGGATGTTTTGTAAACTGTAAAGCGCTGTGCAAATGCCAGGTATTAATATTCAGTGGTTCCAGGCACTTCTTTTACTTAGCATTTCTAACATCAAGCCAGTAATGACAGAGATGGGGAAAAAAAAAACAACAATCTGGAGGCCAGATGCTTTGTGTGCAAGAAACAGGAGGAGAAAAGTACATTTGTGGCTTGAATTATGGAACATTCATGTGTGTGGTTAAGGATGTAATGAAATCAGATAGATCTGGGTAAAAATCCTTTCTTCTGCTGAGCGTTTCTGGCAAGTTTTTAAAACTCTCTGAACCTTAGTTTGTTCACCTGGAAAATGGGAATTCTAGCTATCTCATAGTGTTACTGGTAAAGATTAAATAATACTTATGCCTATGCCCACACAAAGGGTTTAAGGGCCATGTTTGGATACTTTTCCAAACCCATTGTTTTTTTTAGCAATCTGAGATGGAGCAAATGATAGAGAAAAAAAGAGTACAAGAATTGTAGAATTTCTTCATGAGTTGCAGGTCCAGAAGCTTTAATTTTCAACAATGTGTTTCAGATAAGTTTTACCAAGAATATCTGTAGTGCCCCTGATGAGCTTGACCTTCCTTCCGGTGGGCTGGAGAAAGCTTAAAGCTCTCATGATGCCACTGGTAACCTCACCACACCCTAATTCACATTGCCATCCACGATCGTAGCCACTAGTCACATGTGGATATTTAAGCTTAAATTAACTAAAGCAAAATTTAAAATTCAGTTTCTTAGTTGCACTAGTCACATTTCAGATGCTCAGTAGCCACATGTGGCTAGTGGCTACCACAGAATTGGAGAACATTTCCTTTATTATGCAAATGTCATTGGACAGCACCGTGACTCTGTCTGTGAAGGGCTAAATCTGCCCTGAAAGCGCAGCCTAGACTACAGTGGGTTAAATTTTTTTTTTTTTTTTTTTGAGATGGAGTCTTGCTCTGTTGCCCAGGCTGAGTGCAGTGGCACGATCTCAGCTCACTTCAAACTCCGCCTCTGGGGTTCAAGCAATTCTCCTGTCTCAACCTCCTGAGTAGCTGGGCTACAGGCACATGCCACCACACCTGGCTAATTTTTATATTTTTAGTAGAGACCAGGTTTCACCATATTGGTCAGGCTGGTCTCGAACTCCTGACCTCAGGTGATCCACCCACCTTGGCCTCCCAAAGTGCTGGGATTACAGGCATGAGCCACCATGCCCGGCCTACGGTGGGTTAATTATATAAAACGAGGCAACAAACAACCTGGGATCTACCCTTCCGACACCCTCCAACCTTCCCCACTAACCCTTCTAAATCTTAGCAGGCTCCAGGTATGGAAAGTGCCCACTCAAGGCCTGTTTGCACAGAGCATTGAGCGTGTCTCCAGTGCCCCCAACACCGTTCCTGGACCTCATGATGATTCTCAAGGGATGGTCAATGCAAGAAAAAGGAGCATTCTTTCTGTCAAATCCTGTTCTTCCTCTTCTACTCCTACCCATTTCTTCACAACGTCTCTGATTATTCTCCCAGGGTGGAGCTTCGTCCCCATCCTCTGTAATCTCCCCTACTTCTGGATTTATCTAATTAGAATTTAAATTAGGAAAGGATTGTAGGAAAAGTGGTGATTTCGGTGTGCCTTTTCTCTTTGTGTGTTTCACGGTACAGTAGTCCCCCCTTATCCACAGTTTCACTTTCCCAAGTTTCAGTTACCTTTGGTCAATCATTGAAAATATGAAATGAAAAATTCCAGAAAAAAACAATTCATAAGTTTTAAATTACATGCCATTCCAAGAGTGTGATGAAATCTCCCACTTTCCCTCTCTGTCCTGCCTGGGATTGAATCATTTCTTTGTCTAGCACATCCATGCTCTGCATGTCCCCTCCTACGAATCACTTAGGAGCTGGCTGTTATCTGATCAAGTGTCAAGGTATCGTATAGCTTGTGTTCAAGTCACCCTTATTTTACTTAATAATGGCCCCAAAGCGCAAGAGGTATGATGCTGGCAATTCGGATATGCCAAAGAGAAGCTGTGAAGTGCCTACTTTAAGTGAAAAGGTGAAAGTTCTTGACTTATAAGGAAATTTAAAAAATCATATGCTCAGGTTGCTTAGATATTAAATAAGGATGAATATTCTATCTGAAATTGTGAAAAAGGAAAACGAAATTTGTGCGTAATATATATATATAGGTTTCAATACTATCCATGGTTTCAGTCATCCAGACTAAAACTTAGGCACTTCAGACCCCCAGGATATGGGGGTCTTGGAACATATACGCCATGGATAAGGGGGATTACTGTAGAGGAGAATCTGACACCTACTTCCTTTTTTTTTTTTTAACCTACTTTTTTTTGTTTTTGTTTTTGAGACGGAGTCTTGCTCTGTCGCCCAGGCTGGAGTGCAGTGGCACAATCTCGGCTCACTGCAAACTCCACCTCCCGGATTCAAGTGATTCTCCTGCTTCAGCCTCCCGAGTAGCTGGGACTACAGGTGCACGCCACCATGCCTGGCTAATTTTTTGTGTTTTTCATAGAGATGGTGTTTCACCGTGATAGCCAGGATGGTCTCGATCTCCTGACCTCGTGATCCGCCCACCTCAGCCTCCCAAAGTGCTGGGATTATAGGCATGAGCCACTGCACCCAGCCACCTACTTCCTTTGATAGTGTTACCGGGGGTCCTTGCTCACAGAGCTCCCAAGATGGTGGCGAGCATCTTCCAAGATGGTGGCGGGCCACTTCCAAGATGGTGGCAAGCCTTGTGTTCTCTGACTTGGGGTTCTTGGCCTCATGGATTCCAAGGAATGGAATCTTGGGCCATGCAGTGAGTGTTATAGCTCTATTAGAAGCCGTGGGTCACGGAAGAGAACCGTGGAAGCCAGTGACTAGTGTTCAGCTCGATTAGGATGGACCCGGGCACTTAGCCGTGCAGGGACAATAGCAAGCCTTTAGCCCTATCAGGAGCGGCAATGGGCACCTCGCTGAATCAGGAGCACAGCGGACACCCTGCCGGATCCGGAGGGTTGGGAGTCAGCGGCAGGTCTGTGATGGTGGCAAACAGCAGTGGTGGACAGCGAGTGAACTCGAGCTGTAACAAACATGGACCAGAAGAGTGCAGTTGCAAGATTTAATAGCGTGAAATAGAGTGAAAACAGAGCTCCCATAAAAGAGGAGGGGACCCAAAGGGGGTTGCCGTTGCCAGCTCAAATGCCTGGGTTTATATCCCGATCCTTGTCCCTTCCACTGTGCTCTCGGGCAGCAGATGATTGGCTATTTCTTTACCTCCTGTTTTTGCCTAATTATCATTTTAGTGAGCTCTCCTTACTATCTGATTGGTTGCGTGTGAGCTAAGTTGCAAGCCCCGTGTTTAAAGGTGTAAGTGGTCACCCTCCCAGCTAGGCTTAGGGATTCTTAGTTGGCCTAGGAAATCCAGCTAGTCCTGTCTCTCAATAGGGCTATAACACTGGTCTTATTTGCACAGTCTCATTAAGCTGGTAGAATGGGGGGTCACAAACCCAGCAGGTCTGATTTGAAGGATTTCTCAGCAAAGCATTCACCATGCCTCAGTTTCTCCTTTATAAGATGGTAATGCCACTTCTCACCACTCATCACTTTCCATACATACTGGAAGCACTATAAAGAAGAGGCTTATAATATCACTCTTACCAACTAAGAAGCTTAAAATCTCTTTCAAGATGCTTTTCATCTGCTTTCCTTTTCTCAACATATTCTTGGAAGAGATAAACTTCTCTCTCACTTAACTTCTGTGTTTTCTAGAACTAATGAACTAATTTCCATTCATTCCAAAGACATCTTTGTATATACAAGATATGGGTCATTGGAAGGGAGGAAGAAACTATAACTTAGAGAAAGCTGTTCCCTATTACTTCCTAAATATGAAGATTTATTAGTTAAGTAATGCTAGCTGTTGTAACAGACGAATTCCCAAATATCAGTGGTTTAACACAACGGAAGTTTATTTTTTGCTCACACCTGGTGTTTCATGAGAGGCTTTCCATGATCAGTCTTGCATACACAAAAGAACCTTCTTTAGTGTCTCTACCTGTTAGATCTTCTAATAGGCCAGCACATTGGATAAGAGAGAATGAAGGCTGGAGCAGAAGGTTTATGCAGGTGAGGCTGGAAGTAAGGCACAGCACCTCTTCCTTGCTGAACACACTTTCTGCTGTCCCACTACATGGGGACTTGCTGCGATAGGAGGTATTAAAAATTGTTCTAGGCAGATAGGAAAAGCGGTCCTTGGAAAGTTTTCATCTCTTTTAAAGCAGCTCCAGAAACATTTCTTGTCTAGCAGGAAAGCCCTGGCTCTTAGAGCTGGGCAGGCAATCTTTCATATGCAAATGTTGGCCATTAGAAACTGGGTCCACCCCAACAAGAGGATTCCTGCTGCCTGCCTCCTTCTTCCCCTTGCCCCACATGTTCCTGGCAACATGGCTGCCCCCACATATCCCCACGTGTGTAGAACATTATGGCGCCCTGTATTTGCATATTAAAAGGCTAGGGTGGGAGAGTCAGTTTTTTCAAGGGCTACGTGAATGACATGCCTGGTCAAACCAATCCTCTGAGCCCTATGCAAATCAGATACTGCTTCCTCCAGCCTCTCCATATACCTGGCTGGTTTCTGCGTACTTGGGGTCCCCTCTCTCGCTTTGGAGCCGCCCCCTACCCCCCCCATCTCTGTACAGGGGAGCTGCTGCTTTCTTTCTTTTCCCTTCTTTCTTACCTATTAAACTCTCCAGTCCTTAAAACGACTCCACGTGTGTCCGTGTTATTTTATCTAATTCGACTTGAGACGAAGAACCCTGGTGTTCTTCCACTCATGGAGTTGCATCATTGCTATGGCAAAGTCTGGCTTTCATGCACAGGCTTCCTCTTTTGCCAGCACAAGGGCTGGGAGGGCTTGTAAAACCCCAACAACCTCAATGTTTGTTGCTCATTTAGACCAGAACTTCAAGTCTTAGCTGGGTGGAGTTAGTAAGATCCACAATTACTGATGAAGCTCCTTATCTCCACAAGAGAATCCTGGCTAAAGAGGATGCAGGGTCTCCGGCCAAGCACAGAGACCCCATCCTAGATTTCATTTCTCTGTTGATAAAGTGATCATTAGGATCTGTGAGTTTGGAGAGACACCTTCTTCAGTGAGCCACAATAATTCCTCCTGAAAACTGATCAGTGACATCTTTGCCAGCCAGAAGTACCTTCTGTAAAACTGAGGGAAAGGAGCCCCAAGTAACCCTCAGCTCTTTGAGTCCTCAAAGACCATCCCCCTACAGGACCTTGGCCCCAGATATTTCATATCAGATCAGCTTTTCCTCCCCGCAGGATTCTCTCTAATCATCTCTCACCACCCAAGGCAGTGTCAGCTCAGGCAAAGCAAACTAATTTTAATCTAAGGACAAGTAAAAATATAATTAAGAAGGTAAATCTATTTCCCAAATAGCATACAGTTCTCTGTTGACTATGCATTTTTTAAAGTATCTGTAAAGACAAAAGACATTCATTCATCAATACAGATACAGCTGCTCATTTGTTTGTGGAGTTTGCAATTAAATACAATTGCTTGTTTTTAAGAACCCAGCTTCTGCTGCCCAGTGAGATCTATTTTGGAGGGCAAGAGAGGAAAGAAGAATTCTAACTCAAACAGAGGGAGTTTGCAGAGGGAAACAAAACCCTGCGCAGGCACAGAATTCCTTTTAAATAGGAATGTTCATGAGAAAGACCTAGGATCTAAATTTTCCCCCAGGGTGGGGCTGCTTTTCGCTTGATGTTATCTCAGCACCTTCACTTCACTGATGAGGCCAACAGATCAAGATGAATAAGCTTTCTCAGTTGCCGTGTTATTTAAACCCACAAGCAGGCCCCTGCCCCTTCCTGGAAGGCTGCGGTGTAACACCTTAGCTGTCGCCTGGCGCGCTGCTGTATAAACACACCAGGCTCCAGATCCTTTATTTCAGCAGGTGATTCACAATGAAGGAGCGGGAGGCTGGGTCCCCAGAGCACGGAGTCCTTGCCTGTCCACCCCCCTTTTCTGGAGGGCGGGAAGCTCTTTAGTATGCCCTACTTAGCTCCAAATACAAAGAAGGCCACTCTGTTTCCAAGAAGCCATTCAGTCATAATAGATATGGTTAGAATGATAGCCCAGAGGCTGTGGGTTAGGAAAACACATTTATTAGAGAAGGATCCCGTTCACAATAATTAAGTGACACAAATGAATGCAAGTTAATGAAATCTCAGTGGGATTGAATGTGCTCAATCACGGCCCCCACCCCCTGCCCTGGGCAGCAGTAGTAGAGCATGAAGACTCAGGAAGCACAATGGGACCCCATTCTTTGGTCCTGAAATTCTCCCCATCTCCTCCCAATGCTGATCTGAGAGGTAGACCTCTCAAACTCTCCTGGAAGGTGAATCCTGAAGGAGAGGGGTGCAAGGACCTGGATTGCTGCATTCTGTCCCCTTCTGGCGTGATTCTTGGATGGTCTTTCTACACTTCAGCCTCAGGGTTTGCCAGATCCAGAATCCTCCCCAGGATATTTTGAAGAACACGAAGTGATTTTTAAAAAAGGCATTGAAACGAAAATAAAAAGCACTGAGGATGACTGCAATAATACACAATTTTATCATCCATCCATCCTTCCATCCATCCATTCAACAAAAACTTATTGGATATCTCCCTATATCAGGCACTGGGGTTATAGCAGTCAATGATAATAATAATGATGGTGATGATAACAGCAATAAGAATAATAGAACTAACAGTTGCTCCTGATGTTTTCCAGGCACTGTTCTAAGTGCTTCACCTACATGCCACTCATTCATCCTCACAACAACCCAATACTACCCAGGACAAGTAAACAAGGCACAGACCCTTTTGGGAAAGAGCATGTAGCCCACAGGTGAGGCAAGACCTCTGCAGGGAGAAAGCCAGGAGCTGAGCGCATGTGGGAGCCCTAGCCCTCTGGAAGGCTTTGAAGGCCTCTGGAGGGAGTGGCACCAGCTGAGCTGAGGCAGGAGGAGGAATGGCCTGGAGCCCAGGAGAGTGCTTAGAGGGGACTGCAGAGACCATAGTCCCTCTGGCTGGAGTTTAGGGTAGTGGTAAGAGATGCTGCGGGGTGGAGAAGAGGCTGGGAAAGACTTCCTAAAGGAGGCGACAAGTGACCTAAATGATGTGTAGAGTTGGCCAGGCAAAGGGTTTGGGGCTGGGGAGGCTGAGAGCCCTGGGGGGTCGAAAGGGAGCTGGACCACAGGGTGCTCAGCCAATGGGTCCCATCAGGTGGTGGGGTCAAGAGAAGTGGCTGGGGGGTGGGAACACGCCCACCACACAGCTTTGAAGCTGCACGCAGGAAGCTGGATGTGATTCTGGAGAGCACTCTGGCTGCAGCGTGGATCATAAATCCCAGAGGGCTAAAGGGGCAGCGATGGTGGGGATGCGACTCCTAGGAGTCTGGGTGACTGTTGAGGGCCAGGGTGGTGGGAAGGAGGCAAAAGGGAGATGATGTGTGGGATAACCAGAAAGCAGGGCGGGGAGAGAATGGGGTCCAGGGCGACTTCTAGGAACCCAACAGATCTGCAGAGCGGTGGCAGGCACACCATTGTGAGGTCTGCAGCCTTCCTCTCTGAGTTCAGGTCACACTTCCCTGACTTCCCTTTACTTACAGGGGGAGGGCTTCTTCACCAAAGGGAAATGACTGCTGCCGTGGGCTGCTCTGCTCCTTCCCTGCTCCTTCCCTGCTGTCCCCCAACTCCAACTATACCCCACTGCCCACCTTGGTCCTTGGAGTCCAGCACATACCATTGGTAGGTGTCCACATAACTCTATAGCCACAGGGGGGCCACTTTCAGATATACATTCTACATGGCCAGGCTGGGGCTATGGCCCAGGTGGCTTCCTTAGGGCCCATTTGGCCGGGCTCAGTGTCTGAGCTTTATGCGCATGCTTCCAGATCTTCTCTGACATCAAGCCATGTCATCTGTGGGCTTTTCCTTCTATAAGAGATTCTTAATCTGGGGTCACAGGTTCCTTCAGGATCTAGGGAGTCCAGGGTCACCCTGGGATTATATCTAGAGTTTTATGTGAATGTGAGGGGTTTTTGGGGAGAATGTTTATAGCTATCAGATGCTCTGAGGGATTTGTGATCCCCAAAAACTTAAGACCCATTGTTTTGGGCTCTGATTTTCAAGGTTAAAATTTTCCTGGCTAATTTTCCTTCTTATTCTCACCATCACCTCCCAATGCTAAAGCCCCTGGATAGCGTTCACCTCATCTCTTCACAGTATTTCCAGGAATTCAAAATCAGCATTTGCCTTTTAAAGCCTGTCTCCATTTTGCCCTGAAAAGCCTCCACTATTCTGCATTATGTATTTTTAAATGCTTGGGTGGGCACAGTGGCTCATGACTGTAATCCCAGCATTTTGGGAGGTCCAGGTAGGGGAATCACTTGAGCTGAAGAGTTCGAGACCAACTTGGGCAAAATGCAAGACCCTGTCTTTATCAAAACTACAAAAAATTAGCCAGGTCTGGTGGCATGCACCTGGGGACCCGACTACTCGGGACACTGAGGTCAGAGGATTGCTTAAGTCTGAAAGGTGGAGGTTGCAGTGAGCCAAGATCATGCCACAACACCCTAGCCTGGTGACAGAGTTGAGACCTCATCTCAAAAATAAATAAATACTCATTCTGCATATTTATATTTTATTGTATTAATAGAAAAAATTCTTATTATGGGTCCTTCTTCCTGCAGATCTCCATCACTTTTGAAGAGAGGCAAGCTTGCCATGCTCTTGCCTGATTTCAGGCCTTCTGACTTGGTAGACCCTTGGGAATGACAGCGGCTAACATTGGCTGGGAGCTTGTTAAAAGTCAGGCATTATGCTAAGAACTTGTATTATCTCATTTAAAACCCTTAACAATGCCATGAAATAGACATTACTGTTATCCCAATTTTAAAATAAGAAAACGGGGCATAGAGAGTATAGCAGGAAGGACGTGGCCGACCCAGAACTGGAACTCAGGTGGCAGAGTTCCAGAGCCTCATGTTAGCCTCCCACCAATCCACTGATTCACTTCATCTGTTCATTATTGGAGACGGTCACTGTCTAGCTTGCTCCCTAGCCTGGAATCAATAACTTGGAGTCAACATCATCTGAAGTCAGATCCTAACCCCTCTCACTGATGTCCCTTTTGGACAAGAGTTGTTCCACAGAGGAAGTGGTAGCTTTTGAATGATAGGAATACTGTAGCCAACATCAGTATCTCTTGTCCAGAGGTGATTTGAATGGCCAAGGAAGGTTCTGCTACTTCTCAAATAGTTTCCTAACCTAGAATTTCCTAGTATCTGAAATTCCAGCATTAGAGATTAACTCCTTTGGATTGGTTTTGTCCTACCCCACCCCACCCCACCCCAACATACACTTGAGTCTCTTAAAAAGTAGGAATCACCTGGGCATATGAATCATGGAGGCCCGTCCACTATGGCATTAGCCCTGAACGATTTTGAAATTAGAGGATGTTCAAAGAGGGAGGCAAATATGTAAAAGGATACTATTGAAGGTGTTGCCAAGGACCAGCCCTGCCTCTGCACCATATTGGAAGGAGTTTCATGGACTAGGCTCATCACGGGATCTTCTGATACTAACTCCTTAGTGCCTTGGCTTGTGCTTCTGCAGCTGAGAGAGACTGAGGAAGGACCAGCCAGGACTGTCCAAGGCTCTTGGGGAGGAAGTTCTCTTGCCTTTCTCCTTTGTGAGGTTGGGGAGCAAGTGACCTGTCAGCTCTGGGAAGTCAGCCAGTGGCCTGACATTACCTGACATTAGAAAGATCAGCTCTGGCTTCTGAGAAAGGTGATCCTATGGTTATCACAGGGGCAACATTACCCCCGGGGGGTTGCAATGCAAGTGCATGTAACTAATGGTGTAAGGACAGATAGAACCCCAAGACACTTCCCCTGGGCACCAGTGTCAAACAGCAGCTTCTCCTTTTTTCCTGTGGGAGCATCTGGACTTTCATATGTAAGAGGCTTTAGTATGGGCTGCATTGTGTCCTTCCCCACCACCACCAGATTCATATGTCCTTATAATAGAAGGAAATGTGGGCCGGGTATGGTGGCTCATGCCTGTAATCCCAGAACTTTGGGAGGCCGAGGCGGGCAGATCACTTGACGTCAGGAGTTTGAGACTAGCCTGGTCAACATGGTGAAGCCTCATCTCTACAAAAAATACAAAAATTAGCCGGGTGTGGTTGCGCATACCTATAGTCCCAGCTACTCAGGAGGCTGAGGCATGAGAATTGCTTGAACCTGGGAGGCGAAGGTTGCAGTGAGCCAGGATTGCGCCACTGCACTCCAGCCTGGGCGACACAGCAAGACTCCATCTCAAAAATAAGTAAATAAATAAATAATAAAAGGAGATTTGGACACCAGAGAGACACCAGGGGTGTGCAGTCACAGAGGGAGACCATGTGAAAAGGCAGCAGGAGAGTGCCCTTCTGCAAGCCAGGAAGTACGGCCTTACCAGAAACCAACCCTGCTGGCATCTTGCTCTTGAACTTCCAGCTTCCAGAAGTATGAGAAAATGATTTTCTGTTGTTTAAGCCACCTGCTCTATGGGATCTTGTTATGGTAGCCAAGCTGATTAATGCAAGTTCCATGAGATTTAGAGCAGGGGTCTTCAGAATGAGTTGGACCTAGACAATCTTTTGAGATGAAGGAAGAAAACATGGTATTATTTACTTCTATTGATTTTTATCTGATTCTGTGCTAGTTTCAATTTCTTGTATATGTTTTTAAATGTACCTAATAGGTGAAGATGGGAAGACATGCATAAAATGCATAGACACATGACATACTGGGGGATATGTGCTGAAACAAATTTTACAGATGGGGTAAATAACCCAAAAAGTGTGGAGACTACTGAGCCCAGATAGGTGGCCATCTGTATATCTCTAAATCCTAAAGACAAATAAGAATGATTTCTTTTTTTATAATTACAAGTGCCCTGAAGAGTTTATCATCTATTCCCTCAGCTTACTAAACATGTCTGGGGAGCTACTCCTTGCCCGTATCAGGGGAGATTTATGTTGTTGTTACTGTAATTATTATCTATGAGTGCTCGTGAATAATGGTTCATAGAATTGTATTCTTTCGAACAGACTAGAGGCAACAGAAAATTGATCCATTAAAAACTGTGCTTTTCTTAAACTTCTCAATTTGGCCCCTCTCCTTTTTTCTTTCTGCACTCGAAGACAACAATTTAGGATCCTAAAGTTGCCAGAATTACTAAGCACTAATAATATTAGGGAAAGGCATTTGGCAGATCTCAGCAACTTTCCCTCCCAGTCCTACCCAGTTGTATTCAGGCCCAATTTCTGGTCTCAGACCAGACTTCGAAGAGCCTGGCCAGACTGAGGGAAGTGAGTCTCATTAACCCCTGTCTCCAACCACAGGGACTCTGCTCATGACCCCTTGAAAACCTGTCAATAAGGAAGGCTAGTATACGCATCCCCATTTTTTTTTTTTTAAAGTAATTGTGGATCTAAGACCCTGGAAGTCAAAGAGAAATCCTGTCAGGCCTCATGGTCCCCTGAGGAGGTCATGGTCTACTTCAGGCCTGACAGCAACTTGGCCAAGTTCACTCTGCTTGGCGATTAGGCAAGACCCATTTATCTCCATTTTAAGGGGGAAAATCCCCTACTGGGATGCTGAAGTAGGCCAGTTTGTCCTGGCTCAGCTGAGCTCAGACTCATTCAGTGGTCTTGCAATTAAGCAGGACTTAAAAGCTCTTTGGAATGACTTCCCCTGGCAGATATTGCTGAAATGTGAGAGAGTATTTCTGGTATACATGGTAGCCTTGCATCGAATTATCCCAGCAGAATGTTTGAAATGGAAAAAGTCAATGCTATGTTGGTGACATTAAAATTGTCTCTTTGGCTGAGTGGTTAATCTTCTTTCATTGTTTAAATGTGCCTACAAGGCCCAGGAGAGTCACAAATCTGCGCGAAGGGGAACACTGCTCTTAGAATTAGCTGGCAGATATATGGCTTTTCTGACTGCTGGTGAGGAGGCCGTACAGGCTGTGCATTACTTATGCCATCAATACTTGGGAGTCACCATGACCCATGTCCTGAATAGGTGCCCCTTTGACAGGAGCATAAGCAGAATTGGCCCCCAAAGGCACGTTGCTTTTGAGACCAATCAGGCCATTTCTAGTTTGGCCTCTCCATGGTGAAATGAGACATAATGTCATTTTAGGACAACATCGGTCACCCACAGAGCCATGTAAAAGGCCTGATAGCCTTGCTCAGACCACACATAGTTAGATTTGTTTCTCACCTTTCTGGAATAAATGGAATGTGACTATGTAGCAAAAGCAAAAAGGTACTCTGCCAGCAGATAGATCTGGTGTGGGATACCAAGTCTTCTTTTTTATGGATGTGAGATCTTAGGTTAAGTAACAACATTTCTCTGGGTCTTGGTTTTCTCACCTAAAATGGGGCTAATAAGACCTACTCGACAGGTATTATTGTGGTGAGGGTTAAATGAAATAATGTATGCAGAGCACACAATGCACACTCAATTGTGTTTGCTCCCTCCCTTTCCTTCTCAGCAAGGCAGGAAGCTGACATGTTTGGTCATTATATTGTCTCTATTTGCAGTCATCAATAATAGTTGTGTTTCTCTTTGTGTACAGCCGAACAATACTAAGGCTTGCTTTGGCTTCTTTCTCTCAATAGTATTAATTCATTCTTTTATTCATTTATTCAGCAAACATGTATTTTTCTGGTGCTATGCAGGTGCTGGGGACACAAGGTTGAGCAAGTTAGACTGTACCTGTCCTCATAGAGCTTCTAGCTGATGACCAAGGCAAACAGAGCCCCTCTAAATCCCACCACCTGGCTTAGCAGGTGGCTGGGGAGGCTCCCAAAGGAAGTGGTGTTTGAGTGAGACCTGAAGGAAATAGGGATATTTGGCCACATTCCCTCCTTCTGTTGACTTCATGACCAATAATGGACATTTATAAATTGGCTGGAAAGGACCACTCAAGGCTTATCAGACAGAAAACAAATCCACAAAGAAATTGCCTTTGTTATTTCTGTTCTCTAACTAACTAAGATAGCCAGCCATGTCCTCAGTGTCAAGTTTGAAGTGGAAGTAGAAAGGAACTCAACTAAGCCCAGAGTTTGGCAACTGACAATAGATGAAATTGGCATTGCCAGTTTTACACACATCAAACCTTAAGATTTTGCATATTGCTTGACTTGGAAGTTCCACTTCTGGCTAATTATACTATGAAACTAATAACATTTGTACAAAGATTTGACTACAGAATGTTGTTTGCCAGATTACCTTAACATGAAGTTTGAGATAATCTAGACCCTCCGAAATAGTAGATTGGAGAAATAAATCCTGTAAATGCATTCAGAGGAATGATATGCAGCCATATAAAATAATATTGTAGAAAATATGTATTAACATGGAAAGATGTTCATAATATATATTCAATTAAAAAGGGAAGTTAGTAGCACATGCAGCATGACTATATTCTTTCTTGGAAGAAATCTGAAAAGAATAAATACCTTTATATATATATATATATATATATATATATATATATACGCACACACACTCATATGTGTATATATATATACACATATAAATACCTTTATAATAAATACCTTTATATATACTTGTAACAATATTATGTATCACATATAACGTAATATATATTAATAACTATATAACATATTTTGTATATAATATAATTATATATCATATAAGGTATATTTCTTTTATATATAAAGGTATTTATGGACATGTATACACATATGTATATGTACATACATATGTGTATACATATTATATATAAAGGGATTTATTATAAAGGTTACAAAGATTTATTACAAAAATTTGACTACAGTATGTTGTTGCCAAGTTAGCATAAAGTTTGAAACAATCTAGATCCTCCAAAATAGTAGATTTTTTATATATATGTATATACATACATATATGTGTATAAAGGTATTTATATACATATATACACATATATGTACATATAGTAACACCTTTCTATATATAAGATATATAATACCTTTATATAATATATACTTTTATATATACACATATATATATAAAAGTATTAGAAATCATCTCTGAGTTATAAAACTAAGAATGATTTTTACTGCCTTTTCTTGTTTATTTTTACCACACATTCTGAGGAAAAATCACAAAAAAATAGAGCTTTCATATGAAAAGATGGTCAACATTATTAGTCATTAGAAAAATGCACATGAAAACCACAGTGAAATACCACTTCACATCCACTAGGACAGCTATTATCAAAAAGATAGATGATAACAAGTATCTTCAAGGATGTGAAGTAATCAGAAGCCTTATACATTGCTGGCACAGCCATCTTGGAAAACAGTTTGAGAGTCTCTCAAAAAGTTAAACATAGAGCTTCCATATGCCCCAGAAATTCCGCCCCCAGGTATACATCCGAGAGAAATAAAAGCATACATCCATACAAAGACTCGTACACAAATGTCATAGCAGCATTATTCATAATAGCCAAGAAGTGGAAACAATCCAACTGTCCATCAACTGAAGAATGAATAAACAAAATGTGGTCTATCTATACTACAGAAGATTTTTTGGCTGTAAAAGGAATGACATATCAATGCATGCTACAGCACAGATAAACCTTGAAAACATTTTGCTAAGTGAAAGAAGCCAAACACAAAAGGCTCCATACTGTAGGATTCCATTTATATGAAATGTCCAAATATGCAAATTCATGTAGATGGAAAGTAGATTAGTGATTGCCAGGGGCTGAAGGTAGGAAGAACAGTGAGTGACTGCTAACTGGTACAGAATTTCTTTCTGGGGTGATGAAAATATTCTTGAATTAGATGGTGGTGATAGTTACACAATTTGTGAGTATGCTAAAAACTACTGAATTGTACACTTATCCCCAAACCCCCCAAAAGTAGGGCTTTCCCCTCTGCCATTAACTCTTTCACATACTGAAGAGTCACAGTCAAGGTTTCCCCACATACATGAGACCAGTACCCCGGAAGCCCTTTCTCTGTCTTCAGAACCACAGGAAGTACAAAGTTCAAAATGTATGAACACTGTGTTTTTATTTTCTGTATTTGGATGCTTTGACATCTTGGGATTTTGCTAACCCTGTAGGGACTGACTCTCCCAGGGCTACCTAATTCCTAGAGATAGTAAACAAATAGCCTGAGAGCGTGCCTTTCATACGCAAACCAGCCCATCCAGAGCCCACACCCCAACCTCTTCCTTTATGGCTCTCACATTCTGGGCCACTCTCCCCTTCCCTAATCATCCCAGAGCCAAGTACCAAAATACCAGGCAATGCTATTCCCCAGAGTCTGCTGAAATTATTCAAACTAGTGAATCCTAAACCTGCTCGCCTTGCCTTGCTTGTTTCTTCCCGCGGAAACCACAATAGAAATTCTTGCCCACCACATATTCTCTTGCTCCTGTTTCCTCCTGTTCCGCCAGTGCCTCCTGTTTTTAGAGCTCTGTGAGTATAACAAACTTCTCCCTTCATGGCAGTCATTTCCATGTCTACGTGTCTTACCATACCTGATTAAAACAAATCTTGGGTAACCTTAAGTCAATGTACTTCTGGAAGCCTGTTAAGCCCTGGCCTGATACATTGCAGGAAGTCACATGACAGTCATAGACATCAGTGCTTCTAGGAGATAAGTAACAGAAAAGGCAATAATTGGTATGGTTGGAATCTTCCTCCAGGACTCCTGAATCCCATGGTTAGGGACTGATTTTTCACATCCACTTTGTCCACACATAGCAATTACACATTTCTACCCCATTATGTGTTACTCATGGAAACCCAGGTCTTAAAGTTTCCAGTGTCTCATCTACCATATAAACACACACACACACATGCACACATAAATCTATCACACACATATATATCCCATTGTCTTATTGGTGTGTGTGTGTGTGTGTGTGTGTGTGTCTCATCTGTGATGGAGTAGGAAGTAGGAACTGGTTGATTTGGGTTTGCTCTGAATTACCACATCTAACTTGACAAAATTAAAATGGTCCATCTTTCATCCTCTTCTTTCTCAAAGTCTGACTAGCCATCTCAGACATAAAATGGGATCAACCCTTAAGGTACTAGAAACAATCCCCTGACAAAGGTGATTGTCACCGCAAATATGTAGCACACAGCCACACAGTAGACCTCAGCTCCCTTTCCCTCAAACAACACAAGAAGTTTAATTTTTATTGAACACTAGTATGTAAGTAAGATACAAACAACTGAATTTGTTGAGCACGGAAGTTGTAAAAGTGCCCTCAAGGTCTTGAAGAAGTAAGTGCAAATTGTGTACCCTGGGAGACAGGGAGGAGAAGAAAATCAGCCTTGAGAAGGCAAACCCAAACCTGGGTTGAGAGACAGCCATTCCAGGCTGTTTGTGGTCTGATTTCTGCTGATAATACATGAGTACTCTGTGCATCCTGCCTGTTTTTCCCATTGCCCTTGGAGAATCATCCTGGCCTGACCAGATCCACTAAATAGGAATAAAACCAAACCACACAAAATGCAACACCAAAACTGGGTAAGGCTGTACTGTCTTTGATGAAGATCTTTCTTCTCAGACTTACTAAATGAATATGGATCAGTGGAATCAGAAACAGTCACCAAGATCTCACAGAATTCTTCACCTGAGGTCAATATAGTAGGTCTTCACTTGACATCCTCAGTGGGTTCTTGGAAACTGTGACTTTAAGTGAAACAAGATATATTAGAAACCAACATTTTTTCCCTCATCAACGTCATGATGAAATCCAATGACATTATTGCAGGAAACGACATTATTCAATGACCTGCTGTATCTTTGCTTTAAGTCACATTTTCCAAATAAGGATTTACTGTATCTTTGTTTGGAATATGAGATTCCTTATCTGTTAAATAGGGGTAATAATAATAATGATTTTGTAGAAATATTGTGAATAATAACAAGATAATGTATCTAAAACCTTGACATGAACCGAAGGAAGGAAAGACAATGTCCCAAACTCATAGGACCTTGTTAGAAAACTGAGACTCATTTATGCTCCTTTAAGAAAAAAAAAGATAAGAAGAAGGTACAATCTATTTCAAATGATTAGTCATCACATTTTCCTTCTAAAGAACATTTCTCCTTCTGGTTTTATTTTGGATCCACTACTAATGTGCAATTCCAATCCAGTTTCCCTTCAGCCACTCTCCAGAAGTGCAGTATTGGTTCTTTGTCTTAGGGATATTTCATTTCCTCAATCATGTTAAATCAAACAAACCTCCCATACCAGCAAACAGAAAGGAGCAGCTCTGGGCCTCTGAACTAATTTGCACTAGCAAAACTGATCAGGTCTTCCTCCAGTGTCTTAATTAGGAGTCTTAATCCCTTTGATTTAAAACCAGAAGAAATACAGGACGTGATAGAAAATTCTTAGCATATTTATTCAATACAGACAAATAGGGTTTAGAAAGTTCACTTAATATACAGTATCAACAGAAATATATGTCCCTTTCTTTCTAATAATTCTTCCAGGATAAAGTGTGGCTCACTCTCAGGTTGGAGCCATCAGTTTTCATGTTCTCTTTCATTTAAAGAGGCAGCTATTTCCAACCCACTCCGTGTTTCCAGAGATTTTTGACTGGTTTGCTTTAATTTCTCCTCTGACATAAGGAGAGAGTGGCTCAGAGAATATATGCAATATTATTCACATTGAATTTTTTAAAATGTGATGAATGGGTGGTGGTTGACGGAGGCTGAATGTGAGAAAATGAAAATAGAATAACAATGATTATGAACTATCTCTGCAGACTCGAATAAGTCTTTCAATACAGATGCTAAAATGCCTTGGATTTGGTATAAGGTAAGTTCTTCTTGAACCCTATCCAAGCTGGTTCAGTTCTGGAGGAAACAAAAGGATGATGTCAAGATAGACTGATATGGTGCTTCCAAGGGCGTGGCGACATGTATGTTCAGTAAAAGGACAGCAGGGGGCCCAGGTCAGCATCAGTGACATCATCCATTTACATGATTGTTCAGGCTTCCACGCAGCTTACTTTTTACAAGACCATGTGAATACGGGTATTTATTAAAAACTAGGGGAGGGTGTTGATGACTGGGGGAACTGCAGACACTTTCAAAAGGCTTATGTATAGGAGATTCTACGGCTGTGTAGTTCCAGTGCCTTGCCCAGGCCGTCAAGCCATTTTCTCCTACAGAAAAGTGGTCAGATCCTCAGAAACCACAGCTTCTTAAGAAGAGCACCCATAATTTTGGATGCATCTCAGCACTGAACCCAAGGGATAGTCATTCATGACGTCATTCCTAGGATACTCTAGAGGAGCCTCAATATGTTGATCTAGTATAGTCTCTAATCATACTTAATAATCAGTGCTCTTGGTGCAAGCTACCTGGGCTCAGGTTCACATTGGAACCAGTGGCGTCATGTTCCTTTTCATGTAAAAAGGCAGTCTTTTCAGATCTAATTGTTCATAAATGGAAATATAGCCTAAGTTAATCTATGTTAATAAATCTTAAAAGAATTAATTTGACTACTTTTAGGAACATGGGGAGTAAGCCTAAATAGGCAAATTATAAAAAAGAAAATAAAACCAAAAATTAACCACAGGTGTTTAAAATACTCTCTTTAATGTGTGAAATAATGAGCTGACACTATTTTTTACATTTAAAAGCCACTGTCATATCTTTTATTTCCTCTTATTATTCTTACAGTACCCCTAGGAAGTTGACAGGCCATATTTCTATTTTGCAGAAAAACAAAATAAAACAAAACCGACTCAGAAGGAAAGCTAAGTAACCTGTCTAGAGAAATACAGAGGGAGGGTTGGAGTTTTTTCTTTCCACTATCAGACTCTAGAAGGATTTGCAAGGAACATATTGGCTGCCTGTGTGTAACTGGGCACTTCTAAAAGACTGACAGGTGATACCGAAAAAATGTAATCCTCTGAAATATCTTAAACATCCACCCCTGCAGTTTTGTTTACAACCTGAAGCTGCACCATCCGTTAGGCAATGATCTGCTTGAGAAAATTCAAACTTCAAAAATTCACATTCCATCCGAGTTATCAGTAATTCTGAAACTGGTAAAATCTAAGCTAATAAGATTTTATCGTTTACTGCTCCTTGGCACATAACCACTACACACAATCTAAAGCCTGATATTACACAATTATCCTATAAAGTGGGCATTTTTTTGTCTCCCAAAAGTGCTGCTCAGCTCCGCATCAAGTGGGTAAAAGCAGGAACATAAAAAAGAGCCTCATGTAACTGTGGTTAACATCTCACCTGGAGAGATGGGGAGGGGAGCAGGTTTGGATGTTGGCAAATACATTCCCCAGTTTCCCCAACGATGCTATTGATTAGTCTGCTGCAGAACCCAATCATGGGAAGAGACCAGCCGCATAAGCATATGAAACAATTACAGATCAGCACACCCAGCTGGCTGTCAGCACAGAAAACTGCAAGCACCACTGAATAATTATGGCTTGAGCTATTGATTGGGACCACAGAAGAGCTTCATCCAAATGCTTTTAATTTGCCAAACAGGGAGAAGTGTGCTGGAGAGAGGCTGCTTCCAATAACTGCATTTCTTCCTCTGCTAATTAAGGGGAGAGCTTAACAAGGTGGTGGGGATTGTTTTTAAATCTTGCCAAGTTAAATCAATGACCAATTGAAAGGTGGTGAATGAGAGATGAGGGGCTTACCTTACATGACTTAAATCATGTGGTCTGGGATGAGTGTGGATCCTATGGAAGGCCCTAGGCTGGTCAAGAACCCAAGACCATCACTGGCCAGAGGGCTCATGCCACACTGGTAAGAGATGATGGCCCTAAGGCTGAGACAGCAGCTGGAGGCTGAGTAGAGTCAAGGTCTCCTCCTTGGGTTCATACAGTTTTGCTGCCCCACTGTGAGGTTCGTCTATCCCTTAGTCTCATCCATCCTTGGGCCTCATCCTTGGGCCTCATCCTTGATGAATAACATTATTACCCAATTGGAGCTGATGGGTGATTTTTTAAAAAACATTCTTATTAACTGAAGGTTATAATTTATTTAGACTGCCTTAGTTTTGACTTAAGGTCCTTTTTCTGTTCCGCCCATGCAGGATGCCGCAGTACATGTAGTCATCATATCTCCTTAGGATCCTCTAGGCTGTGACAGTTTCTTTGATAATGTTGGCAGTTTTGAGGATTACTGGTCAGGTATATTGTAGGATGCTATTGGAATTTTTCTGATGTTTGTCTCATGCTTAGACAAATAAAAAGTACAGGATAAAGTTGGCATAACCAAGGCGAGGAGGTAAAGTTAACTATGGATAACAAATGGACTTAGTAATTCCCCTTCCTCAAGCATACCACCCCCTTCCCCTGACACACAAACATTATGTATTCCAAACGGTTTTGTTGGCTGGATAATTTTTTTCTCTACTGCCACCTTTCCTACCATTCTTATGTATTAATATCATTTTAAGTCTTTCAAAGGATATTAATCAAGTTTTTATTACAACACAATAAAACTCATGGACAGTATGTCTTCACTTTTAAATAAAGCACTTCACATGTGACCCCACATGGTCATAATTATCTTAAGATCCCAGTACTACTGGGATTTTAAGATTTGAACAAACTCTTCTCAGAGGTTACAATATACAAAGCTCCTAAGACAACTCCACCTATTTGTACCTCTCAGGAATAGCTTTTAAACTTTAAAAACTGTCAGATATTCTATCAGATGAAGTGTCCATCATAAAAAGAATAAAAAATTAAATAGAGCTGGAGTTGCTTAACGTAGAGAAGAAAAGACTATGGGTGACCTAATTACAATCTTCTTGGATTATGGAAGATTGAAAAGAGTCACACAGACCTGGGTTCTAGTCCTGCCTCTACCACAAACTAGCTGTATGACCAAGGGCAAGTTACTTGACCTCTCTGTGCTTCAGTTTCCCATCTGGAAAATGGGTAATGTAATGCTCACCTGGGAGGGCTGTGGTAGGTTTACAGGGAGGTAATGTATGTAATGTGCTTAGCACAGTTCCTGGAACAGGCTGTTATTCAATAAAATTTAGCTTCCACCTCACCTGCTACATGATCTTACCTATGATGAAAACAAAACCACTTAATATTTTCATAAGACTTCATAGCTTAGAAAGCATTTTCTCATAATTTAGGGTGACAAACACTGTCCTACCCCTTCAAAGCCCAAATAAGAGGAAGTAGATTTTAATTCAAGGTAATACTGATTTTGGTTAGACAAAGAACATTTTTGGCCATGGAGATAATAAAACTCAAGAACAAGTTTTCTGGGGGCTGTGGACTCTGTCCTTGGGGGAGATTCAAAAGGGAGTGGGTATCTCAGCGCACACAGCCTTGACTTCACCCCCACCCAACAGCCATCACATTCCTGGCTGGCGGGAATAACATTGCAAAGTTCTGGGATGCAGAGGAGGTAAATGAATTGCTCGCTGTGCATCCTCTGGACACTCTAAACCTATTTCCTGCCTCTGGGAATCTTCCAAGTTCTGCCTCCTGAGCCCACAGTTTCCTGGAGTCACATTTGTGTGGTGGAAATAAATCTTAGTGTATAACCCAGCGTGCAGATAATATCTTTTTTCTGTATTTTTAAAAAATAAATCTAAATCCAACTCTGATCCTCCCAGCTGGGCTTGTGAGAAACTCAATTTTAGTCATTTACAGGCTGCTCCCCGGGGTTGCACCAAGACTCTGGGGTCCCACCTGGTGTTAAAGCATTGGGAAGGCTCTCTGGTCCTGCAAGACTTCCAGGCTGTGTTAGGGGTCCCTGGCCTTATCACAATCACAGTATTAACCATGCGGATTGCAGTTGTCTGGTTAGATGTCTGTCTCTCCTTTTAAAGAGTGAGTCACTTTGAGGGAAAGAGTTGTGTTTTTTATCATGAGATCCCTGGGACTGGTGCATGGACTATTATGTAGCAGGGGCGTGGTGAATGAACAAATGTTTGCTTTATAGCACTTAGTCCATTATGTGCTACTGTAACAAAATACCACAAACAGAACAATTTATTAAAAAAAAGTAGTGGCTCACAGTTCTGGATGCTGGGAAGTTCAAGATCAAGGCGCGGGCAGGTTTAGGGATTCTGATTCCAAGATGGCACCCTGAATGTTTCGTCCCGGGTGCGGGGAGGAATGCTTCATCTTCACATGGCAGAAGGAGGGAATGCAAAGAGGCAAAAGAAGGCTGAACTCCCCCTTTTATAATGGCATTAATCCCACCCATGAGGGAAGGTGGAGCCTTCATGGCTTAACCACCTCTTAAAGATTCCACTCAATACTGTTACATTTCAACATGAGTTTTACAGGGGACAAACATTTAAACCATAGCAAGCACCTAGTACATTAGATGATTTTTTCCCCTAAGACCATGAGCCCCTAAGACCGTGACCTTCCCCTAAGACCATGACTGTGAGGGAGAGGACTGTACTTTTACATCTATTTCCTGAATGCGTGTAGGCCTTAATAAATGTGTTCCTTGAGTAAGTGATTGAACAGTGCTGCTTTTCTTGCCCACTGCGTTGTCGTGGTTCGTTGGTCTGCACACTGTGCATTCCTCATGGGCAGGGCTCTGTCTTAATCCTGTAACAGAGACTGTCAACTGTTACCACACCTGTTTTCTCTTTCACAGAGCCCCTGAATTTTAGCTGGGCACTCTTACAGAGACAATGTTTTCCAGACTTTCTTGAAAGGTCACATGACTAAGTTCTGGCGGAAGAGATACCAGCGCAGTGATGGACACAGCTCACAGGATTCCTTCCGCCCACTGGCTAGGGTGCAGATGTTATGGGAATTTGTCCTTGACCAAATTCCCCTTGTCCTTGAGAGGAACACCCTAGGAATAGTGGAGCAACAAGAGAGGAGGCGGCTGGGTCCCCAGCACTTTGGGTCATCCATGTTGGACCTAGGCTGTTGGATGCAAGAGAAATCACTTCTATCTTATTTAAGCCGCTGTACTTGCTGCCTCTGTGACAGCAGCCAAATCTTAATCCCGAATAATACCTTCATCACGGTACCCTCATTGCCCGCAGCCCAGTGCCTGGCAGCAGCAGGCCACCGTGGCTCAGGACCCCTTCCTGTCCTGTTCACCTTCATGTTTTCATCCCACCATGGGGAGCTCCCAGGGAAGGCCACATAGAAGCCAGGAGGCAGCACCCTTTGCAGCTCCAGCCTGAGTCAGCAGCAGTTTTCAGTTTAATGAGATGACAGTAACGATTGTGCCTTTCTGGGATGAGTGGGCCTGGCCTCCCTAGAGACCTGTGGAAGGTGTGGCATTTTTATCATTCCTGAACTTGAAGGTCAAGGGGAAGGCAGGCATCTCAGAAAGGAGCAGGACCCACAGAACATGCATTTGCTGCCCTAGAATTAAGTCTGAACTTCAGTGAAAGGGGTTGAACAGTACCTGGGACTTCTTCATTTTGGCAGGTGCCACTGAAAATGCCCCTTCTCCATCCTCTGCATTTGCCAGGACATGCCACACAGGTCTCCTAAAAAGTGCTGTTTGCTTGGCCTCTAATGATTCTTACGGCTTTATCAGCACACATGGCCCATCAGCTCCTAGCCCTCATGCAGCCTCTGCAGCCCTGATGCCCTGGGGGTGAGAGCTGTGGTTCATCCTGATTTCTTCCCTGCTCTGGATTCTCTAGGCAAGCCATGGACCCTACTTCATGGGTCCCTGCCCCACAGACCCCTGCCCCACAGGTCCTTACTCTCCAATCTCTACCCAATGAACCCCCATTCCTCAGACTCCTTCCCTAAGGACCCCTGCTTACTCCTCAGCCACACTGCAGTCATTCAATTCATGGACCCTCCCTGGAGCTTTGCTTCTCTTTTCTGAACCCAGGTGTCCAGGACGGAGAAAGGCACCATTATTCTAACCATCTTGATTTTGTATTTTTGGAGGTGTGGGGAGTAAGCATCCATTTCTCACTCATGAAGATCAGTAGGGCCTTGGGGGCTGACTTTCTTATTTTATCCAGCATCTATTGAGCACTTACCATGGGTCAGGTGCTTTGCTAAGCACTTACAATGTAAATCAGCTCAGGGAATTCTCTCAGCTACCTTGTGAGGCTGGTGCTATTATAATTCCCATTTTACAGATGAAGAGGTATAGGCTGGGGGAGATTCAGGAACTCACCCTGGTAATCCAGTTCATAGCAGATAAACCCCTGGACTAGGATTCACACCCAAGGAGTCCCACCCAGGCGCCTCCTCTTTCCTGGCTGCCTCAGGTGCATCCCCAGCATTCTAAAGCAGGCGGTCTGTGACACAGATGCAAATGATCTTCAGCAAGGGGAGTAGTCCTGGAGGGACAAGCTGATTAGTGTCATGTGTCAGCTACACCAGACAAGCAGTAGAGTGGGACACAGAGCGAGAGGTCAGAGGTCAGCTTCCAGGGTGACCAGGAACAGGTTAGACTAATGGAGTGCAAGGCAGGTGGGACAGAATGGGGCAGGATGGGGCAGGATATAGCTGAGAGTAAGGCAGGAGGTTAGGCACTCTCTGTTACTGGGTTTTGGCTACCTGGGACAAAGAGAGGCCATATGAGTCAGGGAGCAGCCACGTGGCTTGCAGGTACTGGTAGGGGCCTGGCATGAGGAAGAGCTGGGGGGTAGGTGGAATGTTAGTACCTCTCCCCAGTAGTGAAATTAGCGGCTTCTTACTGTTCCTCTCCCCGCAACCCCATCCTTCAGATTCCAGGAGAAGCAGAAGAAAGTTCCTGGGTGTGTGACATCAGTGTCTCCTCCAGTGAGGACGGAGGAGGCCTGAGGGTGTGAGTGTGACGCCCCATGTGAAGCCCTTCTCTCTAACCTTGTCTTCGCTCTCTGCTGCAGTGTCCTGCAGTGTCAACGCTAACTCACAAGCAGCAGTCCTTGCCAAACCAGCCTTCCTCTGCCACAGCCCTTCTCCATTTATTTTCAGATTTTATGTGCTTTAAAATAGCCTTGCTGATAGGTGCCAAAACCCAGCAGACCTGAAAAACGTTTACCAGGATGAAAAAACTGAAGGACGTTGGCTTCTCGACATGACTCAAGGCTACACCCACTCTCTCTGATGATTCCCTTCTCTCTCCTAGAACACATCTCAAGGCACAGAGAACACCCCCCAAAAAAACCTTTCCCAACCAGGTCTACCAGACACTCCCTATTAACACAAATTCTTGTAAAAAGTTCATTAAAAGTTGTCCAGGCATGGTGGCTCATGCCTGTAATCCCAGCACTTTGGGAGGCCAAGGTGGGCAGATCACCTGAGGTCAGGAATTTGAGACCAGCCTGGCCAACATGGTGAAACCCCGTCTCTACTAAAAATACAAAAATTAGCTGGGCATGGTGGCAGACACCTGTAATCCCAGCTTCCTGGGAGGAGAATTGCTGGAACTGCAGAGGTGGAGGCTACGGTGAGCCGAGATCACGCCACTGCACTCCAGCCTGGGTGACAGAGCAAGACTCCATCTTTAAAAAAAAAAAAAAAAAGTTCATTAAAAGTTAATAGAAACAATGGACCCTGAGGGCTGCAAAACGGCCTGGCAAGGAAGAAAATGTCATTTCCATCATCCAGATGCTGAACAGATTCCCACTGAATTTTGATTTGCACTGTTTTGGGGGACAGAGGGAGAGAGGCAGGATGGACGCCAAACACTTGTTTGTTCAGCCTCTCTGCTCCTTTCCTCTTCTCCATCAGCCCCTCCGAAGTTTCAGATGCCCAGGCAGGACTGCTGAAGGGTATTTATACCTGGGGAGAGCTCAGCACACCTCATGTCACAGGCTGGACTGGCTGCTTCAACTATTCATTTCATCAACAAGTGATATACTAGCCTCAGATACTGTGTTATGCCCTTGAGAGACAGAAATATATAAAGTTAATATAAAACATGGTCTCTGACTTCAAGGAGAGTAAAAAAAAAAAACCACAGTGCTAAGGGTGCACATAGCAGGGGCAGCCAGTGCCTTTGGGGGTTAAGGAAGGCTCCCTGAAGGAGGTGACCTTGAGGCTGAGACTGGGAGGGTGAAGAGGAGCTGGCAGTCAAGTGGCAGGGATGATGCGTAGGGAAAAGATGCTCCGTGCAGAGGGAAGGGCATATGCAAAGTCCCAGAGGGGAGGAAGAGCAAGCTGTGTTGGTGAGACACGAGACTCAGTGTGACTGGAGTGGAGAATGCCAGAGGAATGCGGGGAATAAACAAGGCTGGGAAGCAAGGAGGGCGGAGACACCGGTGAACTTTCTAAACAGCCTTTGAAGATTTTGATCTTCATGAGGGCAGGCTTCATTTTGTTCACCACTGTATCACCCTGGCTGCAATGTCAAGAATTCAGGGCAATCAATGACACTGGAGGCAGGACGCAGGGAAATGGAAGAGCTCTATCCGCAGAGGGCAGAGGGGAGGGAGAGAAGCGGATGGTAGAACCCACAGGCTTGGTGATTAGTTGAGCGGGTGGGAGGCAGGAGTAGTCAGGATAAAGGGCATCTCAGGGCCCTTTCTTCTGCAAGCACCTGGTGAGGTACAGACTCCAGCCCTGAGGCAGGGCAGCCCCCACAGGCACAGCACACTGTGGGCTCTGGGATTGAACTCAGCTCAGAGACTGGGCTCTGGGATTGGCAGGTCTGAGAAGCTCCCAAAATGGGTTTTAATTTACTTGAAAATATATGTTGTAGAGTATTTGAAAGCTCTGTGTGTGTGTGCTGGGGGTGGAGGGTTGGGACCTAAACATAGAGTTTCCACTTTTTCAAAGCTTTATGTAGACAAAACGATCAAGTGATGTCACAGCATTTTGTTCCCTCAGCCTTTAAAACATTTACTGACCAACTGTCATGTGCAAGGGAGGAGGAACCAATTATTGAGTGCATGCTCATTTGCCAAGCTTCATTTGTTTTATTTCATTTTGTTTTCCAATCATCCCATGAAGTGTAACTCGGTTTTGCGACGTGGCTTGCCTAAAGCCACACAGCCACCAGAGTTCAAGCTAGAGTATGGAAACAGTGTTGTTCTTAAAGGTGGTCTTTAGCCGGGCATGGTGGCATGTGCCTGTAATTCCAGCTACTCGGGAGGCTGAGGTGAGAGGATCACTTGTGCCTGGGGGGCAGAAGGTGCAGTGAGCTGAGATCGCGCCACTGAACTCCAGCTTGGGTGAGAGAGTGAGACCCCACCTCGATTCAAAAGAAATTAAACGAAAAAGGTAGAGGGCTTCTTGTCTACCCATATCTCCTTCATCATACCCCACAATTCTAATAATGCTATATATCCAGAGAGGTGCCAGTCTATATTGAGAAAATACGGGAGGAATTCAATTCATGTGTAGGCTTGGTTATGAGGGAAAGTCAGTTGAAGGAGCAGGTAGTCTGGGGTTGTAGAAAAAATACAGGTTTTAGCATCAGCTAGATCAGGATTCAAATTCTGGTTCAATCTCTTGCAAGCCAAGTGGCCTTGAGTGTGTTACCTAACCTCCTTGATGCTCCATTCCCTCATCTGCAAACAGAGATAGTGCTACTCACTTTGCAGGGAATAGAGATTAGAGAGTATGCAAAGCATGTGGCATGGTGCCTGGCACATAGCAGATGCTTAGCATAAGGCTTCCAAGATTATTTGAGCTGGACCCTGAAGGACAGGTGCCCTTTTCATCAGGAGGAGATGGGGTCAAGAAAGGACATTTCAGGTAGAAGGAACAGAATGAGCAAAAATGTGTTTGCAGGAAACCACAAGTAGTAGTGAGTCATTTAGCTTGATTCAAATGTAGAAAAATGTACATGAGAGATGGAGGTTGTAATGGCAAGTTAGAGAACAATGAGGACCTCAAATGCCATCTGCTTCTCTCCACTCCCACTGTGCTTCCTTGCCTCAGTCTAGAACAGCTTCCCAGGTTGCTCACCCATCTCCTCACCGTCAGTCTTGTTGCTTGCAATCCATTCTCCACATTGCAGCCCAGGTTTGCTTATAGTTTGGACTTCATTCAGCAGCCACAAGAAGCCCCTGAAAGTCTTGAGCAGGGGAATGAATAGGTCAGCACTGTGCTTTAGTTATGTTGTCCAGACAGCAAGTCCGTGTAGTGAGGATCACAGTGCAGCTTAAGCAGCATAGTCACCTTGTCTGGGCAGGCTGCCAAGGACTCTCCTCTACTTACCAAGTACAGTCCAAACTCACTCACATGCTCTGTGAAGTTCATCACTGTGTGGCTCTGGCTGCCCGGCCGTGATCAGCCACTGGACCACCTCACACAACACCCTGATCCCCAGATTATATGTAAACCAGGCTTCTCTTCCTTTCCTTCAGAATACCCTAAATGACAGATGAAAGAGACACAGACCTTGGGATCTGGGTCTGTAGCAGAAGGCAGAACCCCCTAACCCCGCTCGCACACAGTATTTTATTTTATTTTATTTTTGAGGGCTAATGATTTATCTTAAAAATTCATGTCAGCTAGGTGCAGTGGCTCACACTTGTAATCTCAGCACTTTGAGAGGCTGAGGCGGGAGGATTCCTTCAGGTCAGAAGCTTGATAATAATGTGGGCAACATAGCAAGACACTATCTCTAAAAAAAATTTTTCTTTTTTTTTAATTAGCTTGGCATGGTGGCACATGCCTGTAGTCCTAGCTACTTTGGAGGCTGAGGTGGGAGGATCCTTTGAGCCCAGGAGTTCGAGGATGCAGTGAATTATGATTGTGCCATTGCACTCCAACTTTGGTGTCAGAGTGAGACCTTGTATCTAACAAAACTCAATCAAACAAAAAAACCAAAACCAAACAAAAGAAAAAAGTTCATGTCAATTTTGTCTTCTATTATGTAACATTCATGCTTATTTTAATTTAAAAATGCCTTTACTTCCTTCTTGTATAGCCTATTTTACCCAAATATTTAAGCAAAATTAACATCCCTGAAAAGGCACATCATCCTTATTCCATGGCTTTGAGTACGCCTTGAACCCCAGCAGTGGCTTCCTGAGCATATCTAATTTGGAAAGCACCACCTTAAATGGTAGCTGTAGCTCAAATTTTCTCTCTGCTAGGGGCGCCATTCTCTTTTTGAGCTGAAGAATTCCTATTTATACTTCAAGATCCAGCTTCAACGCTACCTCCTTATTTAAAATTGATCAACTGATTAATTCAATAAAGAGTTCATGAGAGGCTCTTCCTGCTAGCCTGCCTGGCCCTACCCCTCCCATGAGAACTGACCCAGCCTTCCTTTGTATTTCCATAGCACTTTGTAATACCTCCACTGTGGTTCTTATCCCATGGCGTTAAAACTTAGTTTGGATGTGTCTGTTTGCCTGCTCTACTAGTTCTGTGAAGGCAAAAGCAAAAGAGAACCTTACTTATTTTTGCTCCTTGGTGCCCATTACAGTTCCTGGAACGTAATAGGAGCTCTTTTCACCATGGAGGGAGAGGCCAATAAGGTTTTGAATGATGTGTGCTGTTGAACTCTGATGGTGAAGAGATTCACCTGGATCACTGTGCCCTACCTCAGAATCACCGGGTTGGCTTGGGTAAAGTCTCCCACTCTTGCCTTTACTCAGGCTGAGGATGTTCACAGGCAGTATCAGAACCTTTCCTCTAATCCTAATTAAACACACCTCTGCTGCCAAATATATACCAAAAGCCATAAGCTGGGAGGAAGCAAGTGTCTTTAAAGACTTAAAGAGTGATCTACGATTGAGATGCTGTCTCCCTTCCAGGGGAGGATTGTGGCTTTCTGGCAATTTTACCATCCTTCATGGGGGGTGGGGGTGGGGGTGATGGGGAAGGAATCTACTCAGCCTCCAGACCACACCTGGTCCGGTGGTTTTCCAACTGCTCACATGTCCCCTCTGTGGGGGTGGTGGAGGGAGTGGGTCCAGGAGCCCCACTTGGAGGAGCAGAGATGTCAGTTGCAACCCTCCAGATTCAGCTCAGGGACACCCCCTCCTTGGTCCAGGCTTCCTTTTCTCTTTCCTCAGGAGTTTCCCAGATCTGAGATCTCAAGGCCTGGACTCCTGGTCTCCCACACTTAAGGAGCCTGCCTTCAGCAGTTTCAAATGAAGACGGTTTGGCTCCACCACACTTTCAAGGTCTGGGTTTTGACCTTGACGATATTTATTGAGTGAGGTTATCCAAACAAGGACTTCCGAAGGCTGTAGCATCCAGTGGTTTTTGTGAGTGTGACTCCCCTGCTGCTGCCTCTATTTATAAAGTTTGAGCTCTGGTTTCTGATGGTTCCAAACCTAGTGGGTGGGGGTGGCAGTCTTTTCTTTACCTTCTATTTGCCTGTTGGCAGCTCTAAGAGACTAAAATATTCTCTTCCTACAAGCAGGCTATGGAGACTTTGGAGCACAGCAAGAGTTGTTTTAGCCAGAGCAGTTATACGACAGGAATCTCTGCCCAGAAAAGAGGAGATAAATCAATGTTTGCTTAAGGAATAAAGACCAAACTCCTCTGGAAAAACAAAACGTGATTTTTAAATGATCAAAGTTGGCTTTAGTAATCACTGAGGGAACTGAACTCCTTGAAGCTCTCAATGGGTGTCTGATGGTATCCTTGCGGTCAAATATCAGATTTATTTGGCCATGATTAATTGCTGATGCCAGATTCCTGTCTTCCCCTTGGCTACATCTTCTTCCCAGCTAACCCCAGTCACTTGCTCCATTTTCATCTTTATGCTTTTATGACATTTGCATCAGCCACCGTATTATCACTTACATATGGATAAGGTGGAGAGAAAAGGAGGAAACGATGAAGCCTCGTTTTCAAGACATACGTTCATGTTACATTGAATAACATGATATATATCATTTCTTGCTTCAACCATTAAAACAGCAGCTCTAAACCAACCAGCTGTTGGTCCTAATACTTCTCTAAAGAGGAGATTTGGGCCTGCTTGGTGCTGGCAACAATAAGTGGCATCATTGTCCATGCAGGGCCTCCAGGATTTCACCCTGCCCCTTGTTCCTGCCATGTGATCCACCACCAAAACATCCAGTGTGATGTGGACTTACTCCACAGACCCAGGTTTCCAACACCATGACAGTCTCAAAACTTCCCTCTAATTAGGCCTTCCAAAAGGGGTAAGATCTAAGTCCAAAAGTAAATAAAAAAGGGAAAGGAGAAAACGCAACCAAGAAAGGATGTGCAGTGGGAGGTAATGAAGGGGAGAAGAAATTTTCCTTTTCTTCTTCACTTCCCAGGCTGCACCTGGTTGGATAACAGCAGCGGTGGAATTAGAAATGCTGGTAAATTATTTTTTTCCCTTAAAAAGGGTTTTTGAGCTGGTTGTTGATGCCCAGAAAGGAGGAGATAAATCACTGTTTGCTTAAGGAATAAAGACCAAACTCCTCTGGAAAAACAAAACGTGATTTTAAAATGACCACATTTTGTGATCATTGTGCTTGTAGTCCCAGCTACTTAGGAGACAGAGGTTGGAAGACTGCTCTAGCCCAGGAGTTTGGGGTTGCAGTGAGCTATGAATGTGCCATTGCACTCCAGCCTGGGTGACAGAACGAGAACCAATCTCTAAATATAATAAAATAGATTTTAAAAAGCTGTTTTGGAAGTTTAAAATGGATTCAGAAATATGCACAAATCACAAATGTACAGCTGAAATAATGTTTATAAACTGAACACATTCATGTAACCAGCACCCAGATCAAGAAACAAGACATGATAGGCACCTCAAGAATCCTCCTCATAGTCATTATCCCTTAAGGGTGATGATATTAACTTCTAACACCCTAGCGTAGGTTTGCCCACTTTTGAACTTCCTGTAAGTGTAGTTATATAGTATGTCCCCTTTCAACTTCTTTTGTTCAACATTACATTGGTAAGATTCACCTATGTAGAGGTAGTTTGTTCATTTTCATTGCTGTATAATATTTAATTTTGTGAATGTGCCATTACTTATTTAGCTTACTATTAATAGACATTTGGGCAGTTTCCATTTTGGGGCTGTTCTAAATAATGGTGTTCTCAGCATTCCAGTTCATGCCTTTTGGGGTGAACACATGTGTGCATTTACGGTGGGTATGTACCCAGGTATAGCACTATTGAGTGATGGGATATGTATATATTCAGCTGCAGTAGGGGCTGTCAAATGGTTTTCTGACATGTATGAATTGTACCCGCTTCTAGAGTGTGAATTAGTGTCCTCTATTTTAGCCATTCCAAAGGTATGAGATGGTAACTCAGGTGGTTTTAATTAGCACTTCCCTGACACTACCAAATTTGAGCACCTATTGATATGCTTATTGTCCATTTGGATATTGTTTTTGTGAGGTGCCTCTTCAGATATTTTGCTTGTTTTTCTATGGGTTGCCTTCTTCTTATTGATTTGTAGGGGAAGCCATGTTTTTTTGAGTAATCATCTTCTCCACTTTGTCCATCTCACATCCTTTTAGGGTAATTCAATTTAGCAAGCTGTAACTGAGTGCTACTTGCATGGCCATATTTGGTAATTGAGATACCAAGAGGAGTGAAGCCCAAAACTCAGTCTGCCCTCAAGCTTGATCCTTGCCCTTGAGGATTTTGGAATCTTATGTCCCTGTGCTGGCTAGAATTCTTAGCTGCATCTCAGCCTCTTCTCTTGCTCCCATCCTATCCACACCAACGCTTGGCCAGATGGGGGCAGGAGTCAGATTGCATTTCTGGAAGGTCAGTGGTTAACTATTCTGCAGGTTTTCATAGAAGGAACCAAGAGAGGTGGTCAAATGACTTGAGAGAGATGAGGTATTATTGACTGTGTCGAGCTCCACAGATCCCAGCAGGGAGCCACTCTGCGGAGCAGTCTGGCTGTGTCCTCCTTTCTTAGGAGTGGACAGCAACAGTAAGTAGCAACAAATTGATATTAATGTTGCCTTACTTCATGGCTTCCAGTAATAGCTAGTACTTTGTTTGGCTTGGAAAACATGAGCTTTCCATGTGATGCCTCTTTTGGAATTCTATTGCTGTGTCTTCACTGATGGCTTCTATTTATACAGACCCCTGGTGTTGTTAGACACTGACATGTATCAGCCATAGAAACTGGCTAATGGCTGGGCAGAAAATTCTTTGTGGAATCACTGAGGCCTTGTGTTGATCTCATTTTGTGATCTGATATTGTTCTGAAAGATATTGTGCTAGAACGATCAATGAACTGGTTGATCAATGACCTGGGTTCTGACAACCACCTGACCAGGTTGCTCTGTGACCTTAGGCAAATTGCTTAACTTCTCTGAGCCTTTCTCCTGCTCATCTGCCAAATGTAAATCCTAATCCCTGCTATGACCAGTTGTCAGGTTTCTGAAAAAATAAGGTGGTTATATATGGAAAAACATTTTGAAAACTAAAGTTCCACAGAAAAATAATAAAACCAAAGTACTGCTGCTCACCAGATTTCATTCCAATACAGCAATCAGAGCCCCAGGTCTTCTTTTAACCATCAACTTCCATTTTACCTGTATTAGTTGGTGTTTGGACCTGTTAGTGACCTTTTGCTGGGAATTCTTTCATGTAAAAGGCACCTCTTTGGTCTCAATAAACTCTTGTACTTTGGCATTTCACCACATAGCTATTTACTCGGTGACCTTTTTCTTTCTTTGTTTCTTCCCAGGATCTAGCAGACCTTTTGTCACCTGGACAGGATCCACTTAGGCAGCCTCCAACCTACATCAAGGGATTTTAATTTCCTCATGGCTTTGTTAACATTTCACATTGGTACAGGTCAAAACATAAGGTTATTTACTGGGAACTAAGAAATGTCACTAATCTGAGTCACAGGAGCTCCATGAGTTCCCCGTAGGAAGTCAGAACAGCAACCATCATCCCAGTGAGTTGAGCATGAGACTGACTCTTCCAGGCTCCTGAGCCCAGTGTGCTTGACTGAGGTTCCATGAGAGGGCAGCCCTCCTAGGCTGGGAAATGCCAACGCACGTTAGATTTGTTCAAGGAGCCTCTACCTTTACTGGCTGCCATTCTGTTAAGGAAAATTCTTTAAAGAAGATTCAAAATCTATTTCCTAACCAAGAAGTCGGGAATGAAGATCATCCTTCACTTCTTCAAAAGTCACCCATTCATCTTTTTACTTACTCCTTTAACAATGAGTGTGTAAATACTAATGAGAGTGACTGTAATGGCTGTTGATGGATGTGTTTTTATCTTTCGCTCATCTGCTTTATCTTTCGCTCATCTGCTTTATCTTTCTATCATCATATATATAGCAATAAGATAAGGTAAGAGAGGCTATGACGAGGAGGGGACTTCCAAGCTCTCAAGGAAAAAGGATGTATTTGGTAATTGTCAGAAATAGAACTTTTTAACGCCTTCCCATCTTTTGGCTTGCACAGCACTGGCTCTTGCTTGTTTTCCGTCTTTGCTGCCTCCTCTTCTTCTAACATTGAAGTGCCTCAGGGGTCCACCTCAGACCCCTTTCTCTTTTCACCAGGAAGGTCCCAGCTACTCTCATGGCTGCAAATGCCTCCCATAGGACTTTGACTACCTGCTCCCTTCCATTTGTAGCCCTGGCCTCTCTTCTGAGCTGCAGATATGACAAGTACAGTCATATCTCCTAGTTCCAGGACTCTCATGAGTACTAAAATCTGTGGATGCCCAAGTCCCCTATACAAAATGGCACAGTGTAGCAGGACGAGCCGCAGACAAAACCTCTCAGACACCGAGTTGTAGAAGGAAGGGCTTTATTCAGCTGGGAGCATCTGCAAGCTACTGTCTCAAAATCCGAGCTCCCCGAGTGAGTAATTCCTGTCCCTTTTAAGGGCTCACAACTCTAAGGATTTCACATGAAAGGGTCGTGATTGATTTGAGCAAGCAGGGGGTACGTGACGGGCTGCATGCACTGGTGGTCAGAGTGAAAGAGAACAGAGCAGGGAGTTTCACAATGTTCTTCCATACAATGCCTGAAATCTATGGGTAACATTGGGTTCTAAGTCATGAGTTGATTCTTAACTACTAGGTTTAGGCCAGGCAGGCCCAGGCCTGGTTTTGAGCCTGGTGCCGGGCTGCCTGTCTTTGATTTCACTTCCTTGTTTTTTTTTTTTTTTAGAACAGGTACTGAGTATAAAACAATATAAAACAATATGAGAGGGTCTCTCTCTTCCCTCGATGGTATTTGCATACAAGCTGTATACATCCTCCCATATACTTTAAATCATCTCTAGATTACCTACAATACTTAATACAATGTAAATGCTACTATATAAATAGTTGTTTCATTGTATTGTTTTTTATTTGTGTGATCTGAGGTTGGCTGAATTCATAGATATGGAACCTGTGGATACGGAGGGCCAACTGTTTACCTACTTGCTCCCTTGAGAAGTCCATTCAGTGGTATAAACAGCACCTCCCACTTAACACATCAACAACTGAAGTGTCCATCTTCTCCCAAGCCTGCGTCTCCTTCATATTTTCTCTGCTCAGCACAGCCAGAAACCCAGGAGCTGCCGTCAGCACACCCCTATCTCTTGTCCCTGCCCCATCCCCTAGCCCTTGCACAGGCTTCTCAAAGCTGTGCCCTTCTCAACATTCCCTCTTCCCAGAATGACTCCACTCCTTCCGAAGTCTCCTCTCTCTTCCTCTTCCTCTTGCCACATCCGCTCTGCAGGAAGAATCAGCAAGTGTGAGCTTTTCAAATGAGAATTGGATCATATTCCCTCCCTTTAAAAAACCCTGTGGGAGTTTCCTGCTGCATTTGAAATGAATGGGAGCTGCTCACAGGCCTGGCCGAGCCCCCTCCTACTCACCGCTGGCCCCTCTCCTGCCCCAGCTCAGGGTCTTCCCTCAGGAGGTTCCTCTCCTCTCTGCTTCACCCAGCAACTCCTAGTGCTCCTTTGCGTCTCAGCTCAAACCTCACTTCTCAGGGTTCCTCCTTGCTCCCCGATTAATTTGTCTCCACTGTTACTCTTCTTTTCTTCATGGCCCCTCTGCTTTGTAATGATTATTTCTGTGTGAATTTGCACATTGGTGTGATGTCTGCCTCCCCTGCATAAGCCCCATGAAGACAGGGATTATGCCTTTTTTCCCTTTTTGTCTGGCACCATTGTGTATCCTTCAGTACCTAGCACATACAGGAACTTGACAAATATTTGTTGACTATATAAATGCCCAGACTCCAGAAAATCAACTATATAAATTGGAAACATAATATTCTATTTATTATTTGAGAGCACGTAATTGTCATTTTAAAACCACAACTGTCCTCAGGCCTGGGGCAGCGTAGCCCTGACCTACGGCCTGTGCTTTAGAGGCCCCGCTCTGGCCTCCCTCAGCGTGTGGCCCTCCCCATGGGTAAGGAGTGCCCAGGGTCAATGGGACAGTCCCACCCTCTGCTCCCACCCCAGCTAGCATGGGCAGATTTAGCAAATAAAAATACATGATGCACAGTTAAATTTGAATTTCAGATAAACCATTTTTTTCTTAGTATAAGTATGCCCCATGCAATATTGGGGACCTACTTATACAAGTATTCAGTTTATCTGGAATTCAAGTTTAACTCTGTGCCCTGTATTTTATTTGGCAGCCTTAGCCCCAGCTTTTAGACTACTTGCCTACAAACCATGGCCTGTGGTCTGAATCCACCTATGTTTGTACCTGAAGTTTTATTGGAACACACCCACACCCGTTCATTTTATGTATTGTCTATGGCTGCTTTCGTGATACGGTGGCAAAGTTGAATAGGGGTGACAGAGACTGCATTGCTCACAAAGCCTAAAATAGTTACCATCTGACCCTTTATAGAAAAGTCAGCTGATCTTGTTCTAGATGACTTCCCCTCACAAGTCCCCGCGCAAGCAATCCTGAGCATACTTCCAGATCATGCAGGGGCCTTTCCCCTGGTCTGGCCTCTGAGGATGGCCCAAGGCTGAGGGGCACAGGGATGTGGATGGGGTTCAGAGGCATGCGTGCAAGGCCCTCACAGTGCACGATGGGCTGACGAGGGTGCTGGATGCTGACCCTCCCTCAGCCATCCTGTTCTGCCTGCAACCTGAGCCTCAGCTTTTGCAATTTGTACCTCGCTTTCCAATTCATTAGGAAGATATATTTTTCCAGATAGGAAACATATTTTATTTACTTTGTGTGTTAGATTGACTTAACTTTTAAATAATTAAACATGTGGTATTTAGGCCTTCTTTTTCCCTCTTGACCTGGACCCCTCAAATGTCAGGTCCGTTTTAATCAAGGCAAAGAAATGTCATCAATAGTGCCATCTTGTGGTGAGATATATACCATTATCATCTTTAAACTGTCCTGCTCCCCTTAAAACAGCACCGAAGTCGTCTAAGTTTAGGAGCTTGCGAACTCTGTCTGCTGTAACAAGGGAAGTTCAGAATTATACCACCAAAGCATTGGGAGGTTTTAAAATGTTTTCTGAGACATTAAAAGGATATTAAATGATATTCAGCACAGTTCTGTTCAAAATTAGTAGTTTATGGGTGGTCCATAATAATAACTTCTCATATTTGTACAGTGCTTTACAGTTTCCAAAGCATGTTCACACACTATTTCCTGTGGGCTCCATTGGCAATGGAGACTCTTATAATCATTGACTTGCCCCAGCTGTCCGGCAAGTCAAGTGCTCTGTCATATTAGAGCCATCTGCTATCAACCACAATGAGGGTTCAGTAGAAAATTAGCAGAGAAGTTACACTTCAGCAAACTGGAACCCTGGTGATGACCTTCCCTTAGTGTTGCCAGGCCAAGATAATAGAGGGGAAGGAAGTTTCTAGAAGGGTATCGTGATCCATCCTTCAATATCAGGGATTTGTGCTCATCGCTTACTATCCGCAACATAGCAACAGAGTGGCTCTATAACATTTCCATCATTCCTTAAACAACTTTGAAGCCCCCTCTCTGCTCAGCAGGCAGAGACCATAGGAGATGCCAAAGATGGCTCCTAGGAGTTAACGTTCACTGATGCCTTCACTCCAGCACAGCCAGGGGGTGGTCTGAGCTGCTGGGATAACTTTTCATTCCAATCTGTCAGAGATTAGCACCTTGTCCAGGGAAAGCTGTGAAAACAGCTTTCCCCAAACAAGCCAGTGTCTGAGCTAGGGAGTTCACCATCATCAGGGCTGACACACAGTTGAATTTCACATTACAGCTGGAAATACATAGAGGGAATTCCGGGAACAAGACAAGCTGGAAGAAGCACTTTTGTTAAATTATACTTTTTTTAAAGATCAATAGATGCTTCAAAGAAGTCCACTGAGGAGGTCGTTGTGTGGCTTTGACAAAAACAGTTGTGTGTCTTGCTTTGGGGAGAGCCAGTCTGAACCACCCAAGAGATGCCTTCCCAACTTTTTCTTTGTGCATAATGTGATTTGAGGGAAAACAAGTTTACTGTGCCTTTCATTGTAGACACCTGGGTTATGCGGTTAGCTAGGGGACCAAGTTTATCAGATCCAGGCTGGCCTCCTGAGCTCCAGACTTATTCATTTATTCATGCATGCACTCAGTAATGTTTATTGTATCCCATCGATGCCTCAGATGCTGTGACTCGGTATCAAATTAATAAGACTTGACCATGCCCATGTGGCATTTATAAGCTGACACTGCTGGGTACCCATATTGCAGGGGACCAGGAAATGCTTTCTCAGGGGGAGACACTTGCACCATGCTTTGAAGGACCAATACCAGTTAGCAAGACAGATGGGGGTGAAGGAAAAGAGCTCAGGTTGGCTGATGCCAAAGCCCATGCTCATAACTGCCAAGCTGCATAGTCTTGCAGAAAACATTTTCTGTTTTGACAGAGAACGTCTCAAGAAGGGACTTTACCAAGAGAAGTTCAGTTCCTAAAGCCCCCATCTCCTTGAAAAGTACTAAGACTGTGTGTTTCACAAATGGCAAGAGAGGGAGGGATAGAGGCAAAAAACGAAACAGTGACTCATGGAGAGATGGAAGCAACCCCGGGACAGTACAGCATGTTCTGCTGACCTCGGCCAGCAGGAGGCAGTGCAGAGCTCTTGGAGGAGTTGTCAGACTACACTCTGGGTGGGAAGGTCCATAAGGGGAAAGCACCCTCTGTAGGAAGGCTGCACCTTCTTTTCGTTGTCTTCATAGTGCTTATTACTTTCCGAAGTGTTATTGGTCAGTTTTTATACTCTTATCATCTCTCTCTGCCTCTCCAGGACACAAGCTCCGCTGGCAAAGGCCACTGCACTCTTGCCTGTCTTGTCCTCTGCTGTGTTCTAAATGCCTGCATTAGAGCCTGGCATGTGCTAATTTCTTAATAAATATTTTTAAAAGTAAGTTAATGTTTGTGTGAAGCTATTCGCTATTGAGAAATGGGCATTGTAGAAAACCTAGGGCCTAGGTGTTGCCTTCTGCTCCTGAAACAGCATCTTAATTAAATGGTCTATTCCACTTTTGCAAGATGGGTAGCAAGCAACATGGGGAAACCAAGCACTGGAGAATTCCTGGAAAAATAGACACCCTTTGTATAATCTGGGCTGAGTCCTGCTGGAGGCAAGGTAGGCTGCCAATGCCTAGCCAGAAAGCCAAGGCCAAGGACCAGTGAGCAGGGAGGAGTGGGCGAGGTCCCGAAGCATGGCAGCAGAGAGAATGGAAGGCACGTATATAATGAGATGTCCACTCCAGTGAGGGCAATGCCAAGACCAGCAGCAGGGCAGTCTGAGGCTCAAGACAGACAAGAGTGATGAACAGAAAAGTGCTAAAGCCAGATCTGTGCTGTGGGACGAGCAGGACAACCTCCTGGGACAGTGAGTGTCTGTGCCTGAGAAACTTTGAAGGCCACGCACTCCCTTGCAGGCGAGCCCATGTTGACTCTAGGGTGAGATTTCTGGTTCAGACTCCTACTGTAATTTTGTGATTTGCTTTTAGTGTTAGCCTCGTGGCCTCGTTCACTTAGGGGCACCAGTTTGTCAACTAGATTTCTATATAATCCAAGAATAAACAACTAGGAAGAAATGCATGTAAAAAAAATACTAGTCCAGCCAGTCAGAGATACATATTGGTCAACCTTTGGTGTATGCTGGGAGCTTGATGTGTGAGAACAAAATGTTCCCTTTAATGGCACTTCAGAGAAGTATGAAGAGTGACACCGTAAGTGACAGCCTTCAAAGCTGAGCAGCTTGGGCTGCATCTGTGGCATGCTGTGGGATCTGCTTCCCGGGACAAGGGTGGCAGAGTCAAAAGAGGCGTTTTCAAATTTTAAATGTAACTGGCCCCAACGTGATGTCAGATTGCTCTTCAGGTTCTTCCCCACCTGCCCTGCATTATTAAAGCCCACCTTGGACTACCTATGGTGATCAACCATTCTGGTTTGCCCAGGACTAAGGACGGTTCCCAGGACATGGGACTTCCAGTTTCAAAACTGGGAAAGTCTCGGGCAAACCGGGACGAGTTGGTCACTAGGTTACCTGCATTGCCAGAGGCTCTTGATCCTTCCCTCCCTCCTTTGGCCATATTAATTATTTTTATTATTTATTATTTCTTTCTTCTCTGATCCCTCAGCCTCCTTTTACCCTTCTCTTGCTTTCAGATTTCCGTCTCCAATTCATGAGGCTGTTCCGTCTCTCCAGGTGTCTCAGGCACCACACTTTTGACACCATCTGGGTTGGTGACTGATGAATGGAATGTGCCTGCTGGGTGCTTAGTTACTGCTGAGGATCTTGCAACTAAATTAGTTTGGGACCCATCAAAACTGCTGCCAACTCAGATGAGGCAAGAAAGGGCTATTTTGTAGCCCTTTTTCCTATGATGTGAGGTCAGGCAGAGGCAGGGATAAACTTCTCTAAGTGTTTGTGTGGTGCTTAAGTCTAAACCATCATTCACACTGTCAGAGTTCTGGAAAAGCAGGTTGTTAACTGATGCATAAGTAGGGCCAGGCAAATGCAGCCCCACAGAGGAAGCTCAAATTCTGCTGAATGTTACTGATGGGCCGGCATACCCATTTGCTGACTAAGCAAATTAATGAAATAACAGCAGGCATGTCTGTCTAGTAAATCTTCTTGCTGCGATAAGCAAGCATTTAGAAAAGCCATTTAAGGTGCAAGTTGACGGAGAACATTGCTAGTCTCTGCCCCAAATATCATACCCTGGAGAGGATGAAATCTATTTTGTTTCCCCACCCAGGATGTCAGAATCTTTTCAAAGAAGTCTTTGACCTTGCCCTTCAGGGAAAGGGGAATAATAGTTCTTGCGCTATTTATATGTCAGAAATAAGAGAGAAAGGCAAAGATGTTGGACAGACCCAATAATCTGTATGACTGAGAGTTCATTCTGCAAGTCTGGGTTTGAAGGTGGCACTTCCATTGGCAAACATGACACCTTAATGAGAACAGAAAAGAGCTACAAAATGAAATTCAGCCAGGGTCGGTGGTGGGAGCGGGGTGGACTTTGAAATCCACTTTAGGTGTTCCTTTAACAAATTACTCAGAATATCCCATAGTTCTAAATACACCTGAATGACACATATCACATTTTTGTGTTATCTAAGGGTCTTGTCCCCTACATTTCTGACTTAAATATGTGAATAAAAAGGAGTTGGGATTCTTAAATATAGTCTTCCTATAAACCCTATTTGAATCCACTTTCTTCCAATGTATACATTTTATATATATGATTAATACCTAGCCCGAAGGAACTCCTAATTTAACGTCTTCAAAATCAAAGCCATCATGTTTGGATGATCAAGTTTCTGTAGGTGGAAATAGCACTTTAAAAAGTACAGGTTCTTTTCTTTAATAATAGAAACGTAGTTACATTTATGGAAAGCTAGAGAAATGTTGTGGAGATACCTGCTCTCTGTGTCTGTTCAGTATCTCCATGGAATTCTGGAAAGATGTGTGTCAGTCACCTTGCTCTGCCGTCCCTGCCCCAGACATGGCCTGACTCTGCAGGCTCGGATGGGATGGGTGATTGGTCCAGGGGTGGTTTGATCCAAGCACAGCCTACTCAGAATCCAGTTGTTTGGGGAGGGGCTTTCACCTCTTTTCTGGGAAATTGCTAGGGTTTCTTGAAGTTATATTGCTGCTGCTTACAGGAAGCTGAATGAAAAAAAGCTGAACAAGCAAAGGAAGCTAAGAGATTGTACCTGGTTGAATGGTCACACACACACACACACACACACACACACACACACACATCCATGTCCACCTGGAACCTCGGAACAAAAACTTATTTGGAAATAGAGGTGCTGCAGATGCAGTTAGTTAAGATGAGGTCATATTGGACCACAGTGGGTCCTAATCCAATGAAAGAGAAAAAAAAGAGGTACAAAGACACACATAGAAGGAGCTTGCCATGTGACAATGGCAGCAGAAGTTGGAGCAATGCCTCTACAAGCCAGGGGAAGCCAAGGAATGCTGGCAACAGCCTGAATCTAGGAAGAGGCTGGGAAGGATCCTCCCCTGGAGCCTCCAGAGAGAGTGTGGCTCTACTGACACGTTGATTTTAGGCTTCTAGCCTCCAGAATTGTGAGAATAAATGTCTGGGTTTTGTTGTTGTTTCTATGTTTAAAATTACTATAAAACATACATAACACAAAATTTACCATTTGGACTCTTTCATATGTACAGTTCAGTGGCATTCAGCACAATCACATTGTTGTGCAAACATTTCTATTGTTTTAAACCATCCCAAGTTTAGGTTTTTGTTATAGCAGCCCAAGGAAATTGACAAAGAGATGTAGCAAGAAAGTCCTAAAGATATTGTTTGAATCCATGGGTCCAATCATGCCTGAATTCCTTTGACTCACTGATAGGAGGCAATAAATGTCATTTATTTGCTTCTATTATTTTTTTTTTTGAGTGGGTTTCTGTCACTTCTGTCACATAAAGGAATCCTGACTAGTACAGATGGGGCAGGTTGGTGGCACATGTTTTTATTGCTGTTCTTTAAATGAAGGTCCTGACACTGCAAGATGAACTCAGGGATGCCTCATTCAGAGTTACACCAGTGCTTTACTCCCACTCTTCTGTCTTGATTCCAGTTCTCTTATTCTGTGAGTCTCCATGCCCACTGTGATATTAACAAGTAATAAAATGTTTTGGAATGTGAGCCAAGCCCAAAGACACAAATTAAAGAAGAATTTGCAAAGTTGCAGCCTGATTACAAGAAGCCTCACTACCATGCAGGGTAGGGAGATGTAGAAGTGAGGTATCAATCAGGGAATAAGGTGAGAACATGATGTGTCTCAGAGAACTACCCAGAAAGTTCCTCTATGCACACAGCTGCTCCAAGGCAGCCCTGGGTCTTAATTCTGTAAGATGGAATTGATGCTGCATGGCCAAGAATTAATTTCTGTTAAATACCAGCTAGTTAATGAAAAATATTTTTAAGTCCAGGATGATCCCAAGAAGCATGTACTTATAAATGGCACCAATATTTAGTCAACCAACAGTGTCAGTTGCAACATTTGGATTTAATGGGACTGGATGCTTTATATTAATTAACTACAGATTGATTGCTACCTAGATTTGTTGAGATTTCATACAGGTGATTATCCAATAATAGGAGAGCTGTTAAAACTCGTGCCACGATTCCTCTCAGAGCCAAGTGTTATTAAGCAGGAAATGAACAGCTATGTTAAAGCACAGTCAAATGGGGAAAATAAAATGAGGTTCAGATATATGTGGAGGAAGGATGAGGGTCACCACCTGCAGTTAGGTCATGGCACAGGTGGAGGATGAGTGGCCAGAATGGGCTATCCCCTATCCTCAGAGACACTGTGGCCTCCCAGATCTGGGTGGGACAGGTGAGATCAGAAATAGGGTAATAGCTAATCATTTGATCATTACCCAGCAAGACTCTCATTCAGCCTGTGAACCAAGGGTAATGAATAGTTCCAGCTTTCCACTGAAGCTAGATTGAATGGATACAACCATTGTATGGATACAACCAAGCTCATAGATCCAATATGGGATATACAGGACGGGGTAGGACAAGACCAGGCTCCACAACGTAAGAGCTGAGTGGCTTCAGGCAAGTCTCTTATCTTTATTATCCTGCAGCTACAAAATGGGTAGGAACAGTGGGTTTTCACAAGGCTTGAGTGTCATAGTGGATGTCAAATGCTTTGTGAATTCTCAGGTCCTAAGCACTGAAAGACTGTTAAGCTTGTCCCTGTGGCCAGGTGGGTTTGCTCTGACCACAGACACAGACTGCCTGTGTTGCCTTGGCCTGCCTCCTGCAGGCATGGCAGTAGAGTGACAGCCCTTGCAGTTGGGTCAACAGCAACTTGGTGAGATTTATCAAAGTTGCTCTAGGCTGATGACTCCCGTCTGCTGTGACTTGGCTCCCTTCTCATCACCAACTGTGGTTTTATTCTGTCCTCCACTGGCTCTGTGCCGGTCCCATTTGGTTTCTGATCCACTCCACCTTGACTTTGGGTTTCTGGCTCTCTCCTCAGGATGGCTGACACACAGCCTGACTCAACTCTGTCCCTTAGACGAGAACCACATCCACTGGCCAGCCTCTCACTGATAACACAGAAGAGCCCTGGACTCTGTTTCTGCCAAGTCCTATCCTATGGATGGACAGACAAGAGCATGTGGAAAGCTCGGCCAGACCTGAATCCCTCCCTGCGGCTGGAGAGGTAGCTCATTGTTCATCTCTCTTTGGAGAAACAGAAGCTCCATCTTCTGACATTCACTCCAAAGCCTACCACATGTACAGTAATGACCCCAAGGACACAAGAGGGGAGGTGATGGGAACAGGGGCGGGAGGGGGTGGTGGTGGTGAAGAGGATAGCAACATGGCGGTGGGGTGGGAGGATAAGAGGGAGGTCCCTCGCATCCTGGGAAGCCCCACGACCACCTGCACCTCAAGATGAGTTACCCTGCAGGATTGCAGAGAAACTAGGAGGCTAGCCCACATTTCCTGACCCAGATTCTGTAGTCAAGAGTATCCGTTCACTTGGCTGAATGAAGGCTCAGAAAATGACATCCATCCTCATGTAGGGATCTTCAAAGGAAGGCATGTGTCAAAGCCCCCAGCCCACATTCTCACCTTCCCAAACAAGGTCACACTTCCTGTGTCTTTGTCTCCTCCTTTCCAATTCCTGCAACTCTGCTCCTCCACCCATGGGAAAATGTGAATTTTCATCAGACAGGAAGGCTTGAGTCGTCAACTGTGAAATTACTCCCTAAACACCTTCAATGCCTAGTCATATGCACTGTTTAATTTACTTTTAATATTACAGATTTTTTAAAGTGCCACAAAGCTACAGCTCAGCTAAAGATGAGTTTATGTCAACGCTTGTTTAGAGTGGATTTTTGCAAAATTACCTTGAATGTCTGAGCTGTTTCTCTCTAGACAGCTGCAGGCTCTCTTGTTTGATGCTGAGCGCAGTTTGCTGTAAATTAATGCAACATTTTACTCTGCTTTTAGGTAATTCTCTAGTTATTTGATATTTGTATTCACTTGTGGATTTTAAGATCCTTACAAGGAAGGAGAGGAGATCTCAGTTTATATGAACACCTATGATACTGGTGCTATGCAAGGCCATTTACATATCATGATTCATGATTCTAATCACTACCCAGAGAAGAATTTTATTGTCCAAATTTTGCAGATAAGTAACTGAGGCTCAAAAAGGTTAAGCAACTTAACACTTGGCTGCATAGTCAACCCAGGTCTGATTGACTCAGGCAACATTCTTTTTATTATTTCTTTGGTTTGCCTTTTGGTGCCTAAAACACATTGCCACCCAATAAATGTGGGTCAAATGCAAGATAACTTTCTTTACCAGTTCTGTCCAACACCCAGTGAATCCCCGGTTCATAGAGCTTTCAATTGCAAGATTCTGCAGGGAGTGCAGGTTTGCCGTACCCACCCACCCACAGAACAATGAAAACTGGGCTCTTATTGGGGGCCCTGGAGGACCTCAAAGTGCTCCTAAATTCTCATAGAGAGTCAATGAATTTCAATTTGATTTGCTATTTTGGAAATTTCTGGTGATTGTAAATCCTGGATAATATATTGGGAACTTCTCAACTGAATTTCAAAAAAGGAAAAAAACCATGTGATTGTCAGCCATGAGTTATTAATCATAACGTGCCCATCACTTGTTTCTTATGCTGAGGGTTCACAGGAGCTGCTACTTAGGTAGAGAAGAGCCAGAGCCTTATCTGAATCTTGAGGAAATTAACTGAACCCATGGCTGTGCAGTGGAATTGAATCAGGACCGAGGTGAGGATCAGCACCCAGTCTAGGCTAAACTCTATGATTTAATGCCATGCCATCTTTAGACTAGAATTGTTCACTTGTGTGATTTTAATTGGTGTTTGTGTGTCTACAACATATCAGGAGTAAACAAAATGTTCACATGATACTGGCCGCCCCCCAAGTATATATTTTAGGCAAAATGTATAGATTAATCAATACATTTGAATTCACCAGTCTTCAATGGCTTAAACACAATGCAGGACACTGTTCTTGAGGCTGAATGGAAGAGCGGTAGAGAGATCTATAAGATGCAACATTTACCCTCAAGTGGTTTGTGGTGTTAGTGGAAGATAAGATGCATTCAAGGGAATTCCACTAATAAATAGCAGTCTTGCAAATGTCCATGTCTACACTTCAACACAAACACTCCTTACACTGCTGGAGCCCATGACCCACTGCCCATTCTTTTGGAGAATATGAGAGCACAGAAGTGGAGAAAAAGGCAACTGGGGGAAATAGAAATGCTTAGAAAAGCCTGGATGACTTTGGTTCTGACGTTCACTATTTCTCACCAAGGCTATGCAGTGCCCTCTGCCTGGACTCTGCCTTTGGCTGCTGCATCACCAACCCATGCCCTCTGGTCTGCAGCTGGACTGGATTCATCTCAGTGTTTCTCTGCCCAAAGCGCCTCCAACACCTACAGAATAAAGTCCAAGTTCTTTCGTGCCTTAAAGGCTCTCTGTGATTGTCTGCTCACAGAGCAGAACCTGAGGCTGTGGCTCCCCTCTACCTAAGGTCAGAAGCTTCACTCAGCTCACTGGTCCCCAGGCACTTCCCTTCTCTGCCATCTAGACTGTGCAGCACCTCAGGCCTCTCTGTCTCTCATGCTTCTGCCAGAGTTTCTTCCTTTCCAATCTTGCTGCCTGGCTGAACTCTAATTCATCTTTCAAGGGCCAGGTGTGGTGGCTCACACCTGTAATCCTAGTGCTTTGGGAGGCTGAGGCTGGAGGCTCATAGGAGCCCAGGAGTTCGAGACCAACCTCGGCAACACAGTGAGACCTTGTCTCTACAAAAATATTTTTAAAAGTTAGGTGTGGTGGCAAATGTCTGTAGTCCCAGCTACTCACAAGGCTGAGGTGGGAGGTTCATTTGAGTCTGGGAGTTTGAGGCTGCAGTAAGCTATGATTGCAACATTGCACTCCAGCCTGAGCGACAGAGTGAGAACCTGTCTCTAAAAACAACAACAAAAAAAAGTTATTTATCTTTTAAAACCTTGATCAGATGTCAATTTCTTGGGAAGATTTTGTGACCACCATCAGGGTAAAAACTTCCTCTTCTGTGCCTCATCCTGTACTATCATCATTTATCTGTTCTGGATCTTAAGTTTTCTTAAAGACAAGGCCTAATTGCTGTTTTATTTCCAGAGTCTATTCTACCACCCAGCACATAGTAAGTTTTTAATAAGTGTTGGCTGAGTCGAATATGATGGTTTAAAAATAAGATTTGTGGATTAGTGTAGGCAATGACAGCCTTTATAACATTTTTTTCTGTGACCAGAGACTATTCCAATGAACTTTTGGAATTCATTTGAAAGTTGTAAGGCAATTTCAGAAAATATATGAATAGGACAGATTGGTACCCTGAAACTTCAGAGAAAAGACAAATTACCATGGCCTCAGGTTTCTCAGAAATGACTTTGTAAGGCAATGGGACAGAATTCACTTACCATTTATTGAGTGTCTATTGTGTGCCAGACTTTATGCCATGTGCTTTGTTTAGGAAATGAGTAAAAGATGGTTCCTGAAGAAGATGCCACAGTCTGGTAGATGAGAGGTAGTAAGGAGACATGTAATTAAAATACAGTGTGATAAGTGTTCCAACAGTTGATATTTTAAGTTTGGAGAATTTGACATAAAACATTAAAAAGCCATTGGAATTGTGGAGTTACACTTCCTGCTTAGGACAGATTTAACCTACTCTGGTTAAAATTTCTTTTCTTTGGTTTCTTAATCATCCTTCAGTCCTGACATGACATTCATTAACTGGGCCACCATTATTGTTCACAACTGACATGCAGGCTCTGTGTAATTCTGATATTTGTCTGAGCTGTGAGTATCAACATGAAGGAGGAACCAACCAATCTTAGTTCTGGGACATCTAGTGTAGCCCTAGTCCCTTCAGGCTCTTGGGGCAGGTGCAGAAGCTCAGAAGATGCCAAGAGCTCACCAAGAAAAGACGGAATGGAAAAGAAGGTCACTGACTCCACCTGTCTCATTTGGTACTGTTCCTTCCCCACGTACTCCCTGCTCCAACCATTTGCAATGAATCTACTCCCCTAACCCTACCTCCCTTATCTACTTGTAAAACTGTACTCAGGTTTCAAGACCCAGCCTAAAGAATTTGCACATAACCTTGTCAGTATGGAAAGTCCCCAAATATTTTTGAGCAGGGATCTGACATAATAAAAGTGGTCTTCTGGGAAGAGGACTCTACTATTAGGGAGATGTGTTAAGAGTCTAGGTACAAAGTGATGAGAAACTAGAGGAAGACAACAGCAGTTAGGAGCAGAAATGGTATCCATTCTTGTGAATCCTTGACTAGTGACCCATGAACTGCTTTTTGGATATTATTAATTAGACTGGGCTGTCTTTAAGTTACATGACTTCTCCTCCTGTTGTAATTGCTCATTTATTTGTCTCTACCACTAGAATGTAAGTCCCCTAAGGCCAGGCTCAAGTCTGTCTTGTTTATTACTGGCTCTTCAGGATCTCATACTACATGCTCCATACATATTTATTGGATGGATCATTGCCTATATAGCAATGTTAAGAGTCCTGGAAAATTCCTCATTTGGAAATCACTTCTAAACTGAAAGAGTCACCTAATTTTAGAGATGCTCTCAGCCCATCATGCCATCCCATCTCCATCAGTGAGCTTCAAGCCAGGCCCTCATTAAACCAAAGTAAAAGACAAAGTCAGGCAAATTTGGCTTTTGTGTTTTAATTTTCTCTTCAGTGATTTTTTAGCCTCAGGGTCATGTGGAGATCACAAAGTTTGACAACTTGTCTCCCTGCCCGTTTTGGATGTTAATTATATCTTTGTTTCTAATGACTTTACAATTCCCATGGGGCATTGACAGGGTTCTGGCTAAGGGTCAAAGGAACAGGCTGGCAATCAGTGTGATCATCATAATTTATGTCCTGCTTCGACTCTCAGAAAGTTCACCAGTTTCCCGAATACACAAAATCTCCTTACTAGAAAAAGGAAAAGGAAAGAAACCACTTGACTCACGTTGATGTCATAGCCAAGTCCCTTCATAGATCTAAGAAAGTGGCATTTTTAAATACTGTCTTCATCAATTGATATTTCTTAACACTCTATGTCAAGACTGGCTGTTCTGTGGCTGTAGAAGCAAATGTCACAAGTTTCAGGAACTGCCTAACAAGAATAGCCAACATTTATTGGTTCCTTACTGTGTGCCTGCTCATTTGCAAGCATAGGCCCATTTAATCATCAAAACAACACTAGGAGATAGGTACTATTATTACTCCCATTTTATAGTTAAGGGCACTGAGGGTAGTTGACTCCGCAAGACCCCTCCCTCTCTCTTGTCTGGGAGTCTCCCTAGGGCCACACATTAATTGATCAAAATGTGGAAACTTCCCTGGCTGAGGCTCACTCCTACCTGATTAGCTGCTGGAAACAGCCACTTAAGAATACCCTCTTGTTTAGTATAAACACCGGCAAAGAAGCCTCTTTCACAGATCTCTTGATTAGGGCTGCTTGGAATCTTCTGAATGGTCCTTGTGGGATGCAGAACTATAATCTACTCCAGGGAGAAAGCACCCCAAAGCATAGGCCCATGGGCATTTGCCTCAGTGGAACCAGCAGTTTAATTGCCCTCTTGGTTTTAGGAATTAGGATGTTAGCTGTTAAGGCCTACCTTTAATCTGCTAGGCACTCTGGTTTATCTCCTGGATATGACTGCCCTGCACATAGCCCTTGGGGCTTCTTGCCGCCTATTAAAACGCCCATATTCTTTCTTTTAAACATTTTAAAACTGTGATATAACACACACAAGAAATCTCATGAGACATACACATTCGTGTTGTCAAATAATTCCAAAGCAACCATCTGCATTCCTATGGTAATCCAGGTCAAGCAATGGGGCATTGTGTCTGGAAGATGACTATTAGCATCTGCTGACCTCACAGAGAGAGGCCATTAGGCATTATGAACCTCTTGATGGAAATGCCCCACTTCACCTACAAAGCAGTGTTGCAAAAAACGTTGAACCCAAATCTGATGAAGCTCTAGATTGAACTGCTAGTTTATACAAACTACAGGGAGCAGAGGCACACATTAAATGTTCTTGAGATGCAATCAGCAAAATCCAAACTTGGCAAATTCTATAGGACAGATGACATAGTTTCTTCAACAACAAAAAATTGCAAGGAAGAAAAGGAGGAGAAAACTATTTAAGAGACTCATCAATCTAGTTTGTATCCTGGTTTGAACAAACCAACTATGAAAAATATTTATGAGACAATTGGGTACTGATTGGAAATTTGATGATATTGAAGAATTTTTTAAATATATTGTGCTTATATTAAAATAAAGTCTTTATCTTTTAGAAACACATATTGAAGTACATTCCTATGGAATGATATGCTTTCTGGGATTAGTGCATTCCAAGAACACTGTTCACTCTTACCGACACTATGTCATCACCATCTCCTTTTCATTTTCATTATCATCACAGTCATCATTCTCTGCTATTTCTCAGTGTTATCATACGCATGTAAATGAGCTCAGCATCACACAACAAAAACAGGCATTTCTGGGGAGAAAACGATCTGAGAATCACAGTGAAACAGCAGCTGAATTAAATTAGAAGTGGAGTTATGTGAAAGCAAACATGAAATTTGGGGCAGGGTGACAGAAGACATACCTATATTCTTGGAGGGGGTGAGTACATTTAATCTTGGGTCACTGTATTTTGAGAAGAAGGTGCAGCACCTGAAATGATCCTGAGAGGAAACATGGAAAATAGAGGAATGGCTTCTAGCCTTAAGCTTACAAGGGTATTTTCTCCTGGAGAAAGAGGAGACCCTATTAGGAAGGCTGGTAAACAAGAGCAGGAAAGTGAAGTGGGGAAATCTAAATTCAGTTTCTAGCCATAGCCAGTGCCTCTCTATCAGCTCAGAAGATTAAAGAGGAAGAAATGGGCCTCATTAAGAGAGAGTTCAATTAGGAGAAAACTGTGCCCGTGATCACAAGGCAGAACAGGCTCTCAAAAGAAGTAATTGAGCCTCCATTGGCTCATATCTTTGAAAACAGAAAAATTCCCAATTTCTCCTACATGAACTGGTGCACTTGGGAACATTTGGCTGGACCAGGAGATTTCCAACTTTAACTCCCATCACTCCTAATATTGTCTCTTGCCTAGAGCTTACATATCATCCCAAGGGAGACTTTCAGCCTCCTTCCTCTTCTCCCACAGGAGTGCACCTGGAGTTATTTTTATAGGAGCAGGTGTGATTTAGCAGCTACTTGCTGGGTTCACAGATGATCAGCCCAAATCTGAGGCTGCTGGCTGCTGGGGTCTGGCCCTGGAACACAGCAATTGGCTCACTGAGTCTGGGGGTCATATCATGGTTCTTCCATCATTTAAACCATTATGGACAATTCCACTTTTTACTATCTGAGTGCCACTAAACCCTGGGTTATGCAAGGCAGGTCCCATTGCCTCTCTCCCCACCCACTTTTTATAATGAATTTTGGATTGGAAATGCCCCTATAAATCTCTGAGTCCGACACTTTCGTTTTGCAGATAAGCAAACTGAGGCTTAGGGAACTGACCTGCCTGAGGCCACACACTGGTAGGTTCCTGCTGCTACCCAGGCCACTGTTTCAATAGCCAAAGAACAGAAGATTAACTCTTAGGAAGAGTGGAGATCAGCTCAACTTCAACCAAAGGCAAAAGATGAATGAGTTTTGGAGAGCTTCAGGGTTCATATGTTTTTCCATAAGTCTGCTGGGCTAAAAAGGAATGGAATGGCCCTATTGGAGTGAAAAACAGAGTTCCAAAATTCTGGGAAAGCCACACCGGGCAATTTTCTTCTTCCCCATTACAGAGATGGACTAAACTGGCAAAGGGGTAGGAATTACGTCCACCTCACACCTGCCTCATTAATTATTTCACTTGACGTTCATGTAGAAAGAACTACTAAGTGCTGGTCACTGTGCTCGGTGCTGCAGTAAACCCAAAGATACATAAGTCCCTACCCCAAGCAGCTTACAGGCAGGTGGGACCTATTGCTAGGTGATGCAAGCATGTAGACACCCAGGAAACCAGGCCATCAAGCAGTCCCAGCCTCATCCCTCGGACAACTGGCAAGATTGAGGCAGTGAAGTACAACCATTTCTGGAGCATGGATGTTACATTTTTTTTCTGCTAGTTTCATTAGCTTTATTTTCTCCCCCTTCTCAGAATCTTAAGGCTGAAATGAGTCTTAGAGATCATCTAGCCCAACTGTCTTCATTATGTGGATGAATAAGCTGAAGGCAGGTAGTGGAGGGTGCTAAGTGAATTCCCTATATCAGCATGAGTCTGGGCTGAAAACACTCCCCATGATGAGCCCCAGCCTCCCTGCACACCGAACATGAGCTAGGCTGTTTCTTTCCTAGTCCTTTTTTTCTGGATCAATGTAATGAGCCAAGACCAAAGCAAAGCTGGTTTTTAAGCAGAAACCTGCTAAATGTGGACACACTGAATTATTCATATTTGGGGTCATTAATAATGTATTGGGTGTTAATATCGAATTTATAAATGTGTCCATAACCATAGAGGTGATTAGTCACTGTTATGTGCTGCTCAGAGGTAACAGATTACCTGGCCCAAGTGTCCTTGACTAGCTCCTGTGCTTGGAGACGGCTCCCCTGCAGAGCACTGTGACCTTCCT